>NC_000022.11:16314010-16634863 GCF_000001405.40 Homo sapiens
TTCGATTCCATTCGATGATTCCCTTCGATTCCGTTCCATGATGATTCCATTCCATTCCATTTGATGATTCCATTCTAATCTATTCCATGATGATTCCTTTTGATTCCATTCTCTAATGATTCCATTTGATTCCATTCGATGATGATTCCATTTGATTCCATTCGATGACGATTCCATTTGATTCCATTCAATGATGATTCCATTCTATTCCATTCAATTATTCCATTAAATTTCATTTGATGATTACTCCATTCGAGTAAATTCAATGATTCCATTCAATACCATTCGATGATGATTCCTTTCGAGTCCATTCAGTGATTTCATTCAAGTCCATTTGATGATTCCTTTCAATTCCATTCGATGATGATTTAATTCGAATCCATTCGATGATTCAATTCGCTTCCATTCGATGATGATTCATTTGAGTCCATTCGATGATTCCATTTGATTACATTCAATGATTCCATTCGATTCCATTCAATGATGATTCCGTTCGAGTCCATTTAATGATTCCATTGGTTTCAATTCGAAGATGATTAAATTGGATTCCATTCTATGATTCCATTCGTTGATGATTCCATTCGATTCCATTCGATGATGATTCAATTATATTCCATTCGATGATTCCATTCGATTCCATTCTATGATGATTCCATTTGAGTCCATTCGAAGATTCCATTTGATTACATTCTATGATGATTCCATTTGTGTCCATTCGAATATTCCATTTGATTACATTCTATGATGATTCCATTCGAGTCCATTTGATGATTCCATTTGACTCCATTCAACGATGATTCCATTCGATGCTATTCAATGATTCCATTCGATTCCATTCTATGATGATTCCATTCGAGTCCATTCGATGATTCCATTCAACTCAATTCGGTGATGATTCAATTTGATGACATTCGATGACTCCATTCAATTTCATTTGATGATGATTCCATTCGATTCCCTTCGATGATGATTACATTCGAGTCCGTTTGATGATTCCATTCTTTTCCATTCGATGATGGTCCATTCATGTCTATTCGAAGATTCCATTCAATTCCATTCAATGATGATTCCATTTGATTCCGTTCGATGATTATTCCGTTAGATTCCATTAGATGATTGCATTCGATTCCATTTGATTCCATTCAATGATGATTCCATTAGACTCCATTCGATGATTCCATTCGAGTCCATTCAATGATTCCATTCGAGTCCATTTGATGATTCCATTCTTTTCCATTCGTTGATGATTCTATTAGAGTCCATTCGATGATTCCATTTGAGTCCATTCGATAATTTCTTTCGAGTTCATTTGATGATTCCATTCGAGTCCATTCGATGATTCCATTCGAGTCCATTTGATGATTCCATTCTTTTCCATTTGATGATTCCATTAGGGTCCATTCGATAATTCCTTTCGAGTCCTTTTGATCACTCCATTCGAGTCCATTTGATGATTCTATTTGATTCCATTCGATGATTCCATTCGATTCTATTTGATGATTGCATTCGAGTCCATTCGATGATTCCATATGATTCCATTCGACAATGATTCCATTAGTGTCCATTTGATGATTCCATTCATTTCCATTCAATGATGATCCCATTCGAGTGTACTCGATGATTCCATTCAAATCCATTCGATGATGATTCCATTTGAGTCCATTCGATCATTCCACTTAATTCCATTTGATGACTATTCCATTTGAATCCATTCGATGATTCCATTCGTTTCCATTCGATGATACAATTCGAGTATATTCGATGATTCCACTCGATTCCATTTGATGATTATTCCATTGGAGTCCACTTAGTGAATCCTTTAGATTCCACTCGAAGATGATTCCAGTCGATTCCATTCAATGATACCATTAGATTCCATTCGTTGATTATTCCATTTGAGTGCATTCGATGATATCCTTCAATTCCATTTGATGATGATTCCATTCGATTCCATTCGATGATTCTATTCGATTCCATTCAATGATGATTCCACTCGAGTCAATTCGATGATTCCATTGGACTCCATTTGATGATGACTCCATTCAATGATTCCATTTGATTCTATTCAATAATGATTCCATTTGATTCCATTCAATGATGATTCCATTCGATTCCATTTGATGATTGCATTCTATTCTATTCAATGATAATTCCATTCGATTCCATTCGATGATGATTGCATTCGATTCCATTCGATGATTTCATTTGATTCCATTCAATTCCATTCGACGATGATTCCATTCGATTCCATTCAATGATTCCATTCTGTTCTATTCGATGATAATTCCATTCGATTCCATTCGATGATTGCATTTGATTCCATTCGATGATTTCATTTGATTCCATTTGATGATGATTCTGATCAATTCCATTTGATGATTCCATTCGATTTCATTCAAAGATGATTCCATTCGATTCCATCTGATAATTCCATTCCATTCCATTTGATGATTCCAATGTATTCCATTTGATGATGATTCCATTCGAGTCCATTCGATGATTCCATTCAATTCCATTTGATGATGATTCCATTCGAGTGCATTCATTGATTCCATTCGATTCCATTCAATGATGATTCCATTTGAGTCTTTCTGATGACTCTATTCTATTCCATTCTATAACGATTCTGTTCGAGTCCATTTTATGATTCAATTTGAGTCCTTTCGATGATTCCATACTATTCCATTTGATGGTGCTTCCATTCGAGTCTATTCGATGCTTCCATCTGATTCCATTTGATGATTCCATTTGAGTCCAATTGATGATTCCATTCAATTCCATTCGATGATGATTCCGTACGATTCCATTGGGTGATGATTCCATGTGATTGCATTCAGTGATGATTCCTTTTGATTCCATTCTATTATGATTCATTTCGTGTTCATTCGATGGTTCCACAGGTTTCCATTTGATGATGATTCCATTCGAGTCCATTCCATGATTCCATTCTATTCCATTCTATGATGATTCCATTTGATTCCATTCATTGGTGATTCCATTAATTTCCATTCAATGATTCCATTCCATTCCTTTTGACAATGATTCCATTAGATTCCATTCAATGATCCACTTGATTCCATTTGATGATGATTCCATTCGTGTCCATTCGATGATTCCATATGTTTCCATATGATGATGATTCCATTCAAGTCCATTCAATGGTGATTCCAATCAATTCCATTCGATGATTCCATTCGATTCTATTCGATGATGATTGCTTTTGATTCCTTTTGATGATTCCCTTCAATTCCATTCAAAGTTGATTCCATTCGATTCCATTCGATAATTCCATTTGATTCCATTCCATGATGATTCCATTCGAGTCCATTCGATGATTCCATTCAATTCCAGTCAATGATGATTCCATTCAATTCCATTCGATGATTCCATTGGCTTCCATTCGATGATGATTCCTTTCGAATACTTTCAATGATTCCATTCGAGTCCATTCGATGATGATTCCATTTGAGTTCATTCTATGATTCCATTCTGTTCCATTCAATGATAATTCCATTCGAGTCCATTCGATGATTCCATTCTATCCCATTAGATGATTATTCCACTCAAGTCCATTCAGTGATTGCATTCGAGTCCATTCGATGATTCCATTCGATTCCATTCGATGATGATTCAATTCGATTCCATTCGATGAGCCATTCGATTTAATTTCATGATGATTCCCTTTGATTCAATTCGATGATGTTTCCATTCGAGATCATTCGATGATCACTCCATTCGAATGCATTCGATGAAGATTCCATTCGAGTCCATTCAATGATGATTCCATTCAAGTCCATTTGTTGATGATTCCATTCGATTTCATTCGATGTTTCTGTTTGATTCCATTCAATGATGATTCCATCTGATTCTGTTCAATGATTCCATTCCATTCCATTCAGTGATGATTCCATTCGATTCCATCTGATGATGATTTCATCTGATTTCTTTCGATGATGATTCCATTTGATTGCATTCGATGATGATTCCAATCAAGTCCATTTGAAAATTCCATTCGATTCCATTCAATGATGATTCCATTCGTCTCCATTCAATGATTACATTCCATTCCATTTGATGATTATTCCATTCTATGCCATTTGATGATTCCATTCGATTCCATTCGTTGATGATTCCATGTGATAACATTTGATGATGATTCCATTCGATTCCAGTCGATGATGATTCCATTCGAATCCATACGATGATTCCATTCGATTCCGTTCGATTATTCCATTCAATCCCATTCTATGATTCCTTTCATTCCCATTCGATGATTCCTTTTGATTTCATTCGATGATCATTCCATTCAAATCGGTGATACCATTCGATTCCATTGGATGATGATTCCATTCGATTCCATTCGGTTCCTTGTGATGATGATTCCATTAGTTTCCATTCGATGATTCCATGTGATTCCATTTGTTGATGATTCCATTTGATTCCATTTGATGATGATTCCATTAGATTCCATTTGATGATGATTCCATTCGATTCCATTCGATGATTCTGTTTGATTCCATTCAATGATGATTCCCTTCTATTCCATTCGATGATTCCGTTCGATTCCATTCTGTGATGATTCTATTCGATTCCTTTTGATGTTGATTCCATTTGATTCCATTCAATGATGATTCCACTGGTGTCCATTCTATGATTCCACTTGATTCCATTCGATGATGATTTCATACGAGTCCGTTAGATGATTCCATTTGATTCCATTTGATAATGATTCCATTTGATGCCATTCAATGGTTCCATTCGATTTCATTTGATGACTATTCCATTTGACATCATTCGATGATTCCATTTGATGAGGATTCCATTAGAAGCAATTCGATGATTCCATAACATTCCATTTGATGATGATTCCATTCGTTTCCATTCGATGATTCCATTCTAGTCCTTTCGATGATTCCACTTGAGTCCATTTGATGACACCATTCGTGTCCATTCGATGATGATTCCATTCGTGTCCATTCGATGATGATTCCATTCGATTCCCTTCTTTCATTTTTCCATTAGATTCCATTCAAGGTTGATTTCATTCGACTCTATTCGATGATGATTCCATTCGATTTCATTTGATGTTTCCATTCGATTCCATTCAATGATGATTCCATTCAATTCCATTTGATGATTCCTTTTGATTCCACTCGATGATGATTCCATTCGATTCCATTCGATGATTCCATTTGATTCCATCTGATGATGAGCCATTCGATTCAATTCCATGATGATTCCATTTGATTCAATTCAATGATGTTTCCATTCGGTTCCATTCGATGATGATTCCATTAGATTCCATTCGATGATGATTCCATTCGAGTCCATTCGATGATGATTCCATTTGAATCTGTTTGATGATGATTCAATTCGATTTCATTCAATGCTTCTATTCGATTCCATTCAATGATGATTCCATCAGATTCCATTCGATGGTTCCATTTGATTCCATTCAGTGATGGTTCCATTCGATTCCATTCGATGATGATTCTATTCGAGTCAATTTGATGATTCCATTCGATTCCATTCGATGATGATACCATTTTAGTCCATTGGATGATTCTACTCGTTTCCATTTGATGATGATTCCATTTGATTCCATTCGTTGATGATTCCAGTCAAGTCCATTTAATGATTCCATTCATTTCCGTTTGATGATGATTCCTTTGGATTCCATTCGATGATTCCATTTGATTCAATCCGTTGATTATTCCATTAGGTTCCATTCATGATGATTCCATTCAACTGCATTCGATGATGATTCCAGTCGATTTCATTCGATGCTTCTATTTGATTTCATTCGATTATGATTCCATCTGATTCCATTCAATGATCCCATTCGATTCCATTCAGTGTTGATTCCATTCAATTCCATTTGATGATGATTTCATTTGATTCCATTCAATAATGATTTCATTCAACTCCATTCAATGATTCCATTCGAGTCCATTCGATGATTCCATTCGAGTCCATTTGATGATTCCATTGGACTCCATTTGATGATGAATCCATTCAGTGATTCCATTCGATTCTATTCTATGGTGATTCCATTCGATTTTGTTCGATGCTGATTCTTTCAATTCCATTCGATGATTCCGTTCGATGATTCCATTCGATTACATTCGACGATGATTCCATTCAAATCCTTTTGATGATTCCATTCGATTCTATTTGATGATGATTCCATTCGATTCCATTTGATGATGACTGCATTAGTTTCTGTTCGATGATTCCATTTGATTCCATTCGATGATGATTCTGATCGATTCCATTTGATGATTCTGTTTGATTCCTTTTGATGATTCCATTTAATTCCATTTGATAATGAATCCATTCAAGTCCATTCGATATTTCTAGTCGAGCCCATTAAATAATTCCATTTGGGTCCAATCAATAATTCCATTCGAGTCCATTCGATCATTCCATTTGAGTCCATTAGATGATGATTCCATTCGWGTCCATTCGATGATGATTCCATTTGAGTTCATTCAATGATTCTATTCTATTCCATTTGATGTTGATTCCCTTCCACTCCATTCGATGATGATTCCATTCGATACCATTTGATGATTCAGTTTGATTCCTTTCGATGACTCACTTCGATTCCTTTTGATGATGATTCCATTCGATGATTCCTTTCAATTTTATTCAATGATGATTCCATTTGATTCCGTTTGATGATGCTTCCTTTTGATTCCATTTGATGATGATTGCATTCGTTTCCTTTTGATGATGATTCCTTTTGATTCAATTTGATGATGATTCCATTCAATTCATTTGAGGACGATTGCATTTGAGTCCATTCAATGATTTGATTCGAGTCCATTCAACGATGATTCTATTTGATTCAATTCGATGATGATTCCATTGGAGTCCATTCGATGATTCCATTCTATTCCATTCGATGATTCCATTCGTTTCCATTCGATGATTCCATTTCATTCCATTCGATAATGATTCCATTCGATTCCATTTGATGCTGATTCCATACGATGCCATTCGATGATGATTCTATTCGAATCCATTTGTTGATGACACCGTTAGTTTCCATTAGAGGATGATTCCATTCAGTTCCATTCAATGATGATTCCGTTAGATTCCATTTAATAATTCCATTCCATTCCATTCATTGATGATTCCATTCGAATCCATTTGATGATGATTCTTTTTGATTCCATTCGATGATGATTCCATTTGAGTCCATTCAATGTTGATTCCATTGGATTCCATTTGATGATGATTCCATTCGATTTCATTTGATGATTCTATTCGTTTCCATTTGATAATGTTTCCATTCGATTCCATTCCATGGTAATTCCTTTCGAGTCCATTTGATAATTCCATTCGATTCGATTCAATGATGATTCCATTCTAGTCCATTAGATCATTCCATCCGATTCCATTCGATGATCATTCCATTCGAGTCCATTCGATGATTCCATTCAGTTCCATTTGATGATGCCATTAGATTACAGTTGATGATTCCCGTTGATTCCATTCAATGATTATTCCATTCGATTCCATTCGATGATTCCAGTCGATTCCATTCAATGGTGATTCCATTGGATTACATTCGATTATGATTCCATTCAATTCCATTCGATGATGATTTCATTCGATTCCATATGACGATGACTCCATTAGGTTCCATATGATGATTCCATTGTGTTCCATTCGATGATGATTCCATTGGATTCCATTTGGTGATGATTCCATTCGATTCCATTTGATGATGATTCAATTGGATTTCATTCTGTAAGTCTATTTGATTCCATTCACTGAGATGCCTTTCTATTGCATTCGATGATTCCATTCGATACCATTCAATGATGATTCCATTCGATTCCATTCGATGATGTTTCCATTCCATTCCATTGAATGATGATTCCATTCGAGTCCATTTCATGATTCCATTTGATTCAATTCGATGATGATTCCATTAGGGTCCATTCAATGAATTCATTCAATTCCATTCGATGATGATTCCATCCGATGCCATTCGATGATTACATTCGATTTTATTCGATGATGATTCTGTTCGATTGCATTCAATGATTCCATTCGATTCCACTCGATTATGATTCCTTTCAAGTCATTCGATGTTTCCATTAGATTCCATTCGAAAATGATTCCATTCGAGTCCATTCAATGATTCCATTCGAATCCATTCGATGATGATTCCATTCAATTCCATTTGATGATTCCATTTGATTCCATTCAATGATGATACCATTTGAGACCATTCGATGATTCCACATGATCCCATACGATCATTCCATTTGAATCCACACAATGATTCCATTCAAGTTCATTCAGTGATTCCATTCGATTCCATCCAATGTTGATTCCGTTCGATTCCATTCGATGGAATCATCCGTTTCATTCGATCCGATGATGATTCCATTCAAGTCCATACGATGATTCCATTTGATTCCATTCGATGATTCCATTCGATTCCATTTGATGATGATTCCATTCAATTCCATTGGATGATTCTATTTGATTCCATTCGATGATGATTCCATTAGATTCCACTCGATGATGATTCCTTTTGATTTCATTTGACGACTCCACTCTATTCCATTTAATGATGATTCCATTCAATTCCATTCGACGATTCCATTTGATGACGTTTCTATGAGAGTCCATTTGGTGATTCCATTCCTTTCCATTTGATTATGATTCCATTTGTATCCATTCGATGATTTCATTCAATTCCATTCAATGATACCTTTCGAATCCATTTGATGATTCCCTTAGATTCCATTTGATGATCATTCCATTCGATTCCATTCGATGATTCCATTCGATTCCATTCGATGATGATTCCATTTGATTCCATTTGATGATGATTCCATTGGATTCCATTCATTGATGATTCCATTCGATTCCATTCGATGATGACTCCTTTAGGTTCCATTTGATGATTATTCCATTCAGTTCAATTCGCTGATGATTCCAATAGATTCCATTCGATGATTCCATTCGATTCCATTCATGGATTGTTCCATTCGATTCCAATCAATGATGATTCCATTCGATTCCATTCAATGATGATTCAATTCAATTTCATTGGATAATGCTCTTCAATTCCATTCAATGATGATTCCATTCTATTCCATTCAATGACGATTTCATTTGATTCCATTTTATGATGATTCCATCCAATGTTATTCAATGATTCCATTCTATTTCATTCGATTGTGTTTCCATTCGATTCCATTCGATGATGATTCCATTCAATTCAGTTCGATGAAGATTCCTTTCGAGTAAATTCGATGATTCCATTAGACTTCATTTGATGATTCCACTCGAATCCATTCGATGATTCTAATCGATTCTATTCAATGATGATTCCATTCGAGTCCATTCTACAATTCCATTCGATTCAACTCGATGATGATTTCATTCGATCCAACTCGATGATGATTCCATTCGAGTCCATTAAATGATTCCATTCGATTCCATTCAATGATGATTCCATTTGGGTCCATTCGATGATTCCATTTGATTCCATTGGATGATCATTCCATTCGATGCCATTCCATGATTCCATTCGATTTCATTTGATGATGATTCCATTCCATTCCATTCATTGATGATTCCATTCAATTCCATTCTATGATGATTCCCTTCAATTCCATTCGATGATGATTCCATTCAATTCCATTCGATGATTGCATTCGATTCCATTCAATGACGATTCCTTTCGTGTCCATTTGAGGATTCCATTCGATTCCATTTGATGATGATTCCATTCGAGTCCATTCAATGATTAAATTTGATTCCATTTGATGATGATTCCATTCGAGTCCATTCGATGATTCCATTCGATTCCATTTAATGATGATTGCATTCGAGTTAACTCAGTGATTCCATTCAACTCTATTCGATGATGATTCCATTCGATTCCATTCGAAAATTCCATATGATTTCAATTGAGGGTGATTCAATTGGAGTTCATTCGATGACTCCATTTGATTCCATTCGATGATGATTCCATTCAAGTCCATTCAATGATTCCATTCGATTTCATTCGATGATTCTCTTCGATACCATTTGATGATGATTCCATTCTATTCCATTCGATGATTCCATTCGATTCCATTCAATGATGATTCCCTTCATTCCATTCGATGATGATTCCATTCAATTCCATTTGATGATGATTCCATTCGAGTCCATTCAATGATTCCGTTCACTTCCATTCGATGTTGATTCCATTTGATGATTCCATTTGATTCCATTTGGTGAAGATTCCATTCATGTCCTTTCGATGATTCCATACGATTCCATTCGATCATACCGTTTCATTCCATTCGATGATTCCCTTCGATTCCATTCAATGATCATTCCATTCGATTCCGTTCGATGATTCCATTCGATTGCATTCGATGCTGATTTCATTCACAACCATTCGATGATGATTCCATTCGAATCCTTTCGATGATGATTCCATTCATTTCCATTTGATGATGACTCCTTTTGGTTCCATTTGATGATGATTCCATTCGGTTCCATACTATGATGATTCCATTAGATTCCATTCAATGATTCGATTCGATGATGATTCCATTCATTCAATTCGATGATGTTTCCATTCGATTCCATTCAATGATGATTCCATTTGAGTCCATTCAATGATTCCATTTAATTCCATTCGATGATGATTCCATTTGTGTCCATTTGAAGATTCCATTCTCTTCCATTCGATGATGCGTCCATTCGATGCCATTCGATGATTTCATTTGATTTCATTCAATGATGATTGCATTCACGTCCATTCTTTGATGATTCCATTTGATTCCATTCGATGATGATTCCATTCGAATCCATTCGATGATGATTCCATTCAAGTCCAATCGAGGATTCCATTTGAGTCTATTCGATGATTCCATTCATTTCCATCCCATTATGATTCAATTCGAGTCCATTTGATGATGATTCCATTCAATTCTATTTGATGATTCAAATCGATTCCATTCAGTGATTCACTTCGAATACTTTTGATGATGATTCCAATCGATTCCATTCGATGATTCCATTCGATTCCATTAGATGAGGATTCCATTCTATYCCACTCGATGATTCTATTTGCTTCCGTTCAATGATGATTCCATTTGATTACATTCAATGATTCAATTCGCTTCCATTTGATGCTGATTCCATTCGATTCCTTTCGATGATGATTCCTTTTGATTCTATATGATTTTCATTGCATTTGATTCCATTGATAATGATTGCATTCGAATCCATTTGATGATTCCATTGGTGTCCATTCGATGATTCCTTTCGAGTCCATTCCACAATGACTCCATTTGATTACATTCGATGATCATTAAATTCGACTCCGTTTGATGATTCCATTCCCTTCCATTCGACGAGGATTCCATTCGTTTCCAATCGATTATTGCATTCAATTCCATTCAATGAGGATTCCATTCCATTCCATTAGATGATTCCAATCGATTCAATTCGATGGTGATTCCATTTGATTCCATTCGTTGATTCCATTCCATTCCATTGGGTAATGATTCCATTCGTGTCCATTCGATGATTCTGTTTGAAGCCATTTGATGGTTACTTTCGTTTCCATTCTATGATGATTCCATTCGATTCCATTTGATGATGATTCCATTCAACACCATTCTGATTCCATTCGATTCCATTCGATGATGATTCCATTTGATGCCATTCAATGATTCAATTCGCCTTCATTCGATGTTGACTCCTTTCGATTCCTTTTGATGATTCCTTTTGGTTCCATTCGATGATGATTCCATTCGTGTCCATTCGATGATTCCATTCAAATCCATTCGAACATACCGCTCGATTCCATTCGATGATTCCCATCGATTCCATTCGATGATCATTCCATTCGATACCATTCGATGATTCCATTTGATTGCATTCGATGTTGATTCCATTCACAACCATTCGATGATGATTCCATTCGATTCCATTCGATACTGATTCCATTCCATTCCATTTGATGATGACTACATTAGGTTCCATTTGATGATGATTCCATTCGGTTCCATACGATGATGATACCATTAGATTCCATTTGATGATTCCATTCCATTCCATTCGTTGATGATTCCATTCGATTCCATTCAATGATGATTCCATTCGATTCCATTCGATGATGACTCCATTTGGTTCCACTTGATGATGATTTCACTCACTTCCATACGATGAAGATTCCATTAGATTCCATTCCATGATTCCATTCAATTCCATTCGATGATGATTCCATTCGATTACATTTGATGATGGTTTCATTCGATTCCATTTGATGACGATTCCATTTGATTTCTTTCTTTAACTCTATTCGATTCCATTTGATGATGATTCCATTCGGTTCCATTCGATGATAATTCCTTTAGATTCCATTTGATGATTCCATTCAATTCCATTCGTTGATGATTCCATTCAATTCCATTTGGTGACGATTCCATTCTATTACATTCAATGATGGTTCAATTCAATTTCATTCTATAACTCTATTCGATTCCATTCGATGATGTTTCCTTTCTATTCCATTAGATGATTCCATTCTATTCCATTCAATGATTATCCCATTCGATTCCATTCGATGATGACTCCAATCGATTCCATTCAATGATGATTCAGTTCGAGTCCATTCAATGATTCCATTCGATTCCATTCGATGATGATTTCATTCTAGTCCATTCAATGATTCCATTGGATTCCATTCAATGATGATTCCATCCAATGCCATTTGATGATTTCATTCGACTTCGTTTGATGATAATTCCATTCGATTCCACTCRATGATTCCATTGGATTCCATTCAATGATCATTCCTTTCAATTCCAATCGATGTTTCCATTCAATTCATTCGATGATGATTCCATTTGATTCCATTCGATGACTCCATTCGGGTCCGTTCAATTATTCCATTCGATCCCATCCCATGATGATTCCATTCGAGTCCATTCGGTGATGATTCCATTCGATTCAATTCGATGACTCAATTCGATTCCATTCAATGATTCACTTCGATTACTTTCAATGATGATTCCATTYCATTGCATTCGATGATTCCATTTGATTCCATTCGAAGATGATTCCTTTGGAATCCATTTGAGTTTGATTTCATTCAATTCCATTGATGATGTTTGCATTCTAGTCCATTCAATGATTCCATTCAAGTCCATTTGATGATTCCATTCAAGTCCATTCAACGATGATTCCATTCAATTCCATTCGATGATGATTCCATTCGATTCCATTTGATGATAATTCCATTTGATTCCATTCGATCATTCTATTCCATTCCGTTTGTTGATTATTCCCTTCGATTCCATTGATAATGATTGCATAAGTTTCCATTCAATGTTTCCATTCGTGTTCATTTAATGCTTCCATTCAAGTCCATTTGAGTATGATTCCATTCGATTCTATTCGATGATGATTCCATTCGAGTCCATTCGATGATTCCATTTGATTCCTTTCGATGAGGTTTTCATTCCAGTCCATTAGATGATTCCATTTGATTCATTTTGATTATGATTCCATTCGATTCCATATGTTGATTTGATCAGATTCCATTCAGTGATGATTCCATTCGTGTCCATTCAATGATTCTATTCAAATCCATTTGATGATTGCCTTTAATTCCATTCGATGGTGATTGCATTTGATTCCATTTGATGATGATTCCATTCAAAACCATTCTATGATTCCATTGATATCATTTGATGATGACTCCATTCCATTCCATTTGATGATTCTATTCGATTCCATTCGATGATGATTCCTTTGATTTCATTCGATGATTCAATTCGATTCCATTCAATGATGATTCCATTCGATTTCATTAGATGATTCCATTCGATTACCTTCGATGATGATTCCATTCCATTCCATTCGATGATACTATTCGATAAGGATTCCATTCGATTCCTTTCGATGATCCCATTCAATTTCATTCGATGATGTTTCTATTTGATTATTCCATTCGATTCCATTCGATGATGATTCCATTCGTGTACATTCTATGTTGATTCCATTCGATGATGATTCCTTTCAATTCCATTTGACGATGACTCCATTAGGTTCCATTTGATGGTGATTCCATTCAGTTCCATTTGATGATGATTCCATTTGATTCCATTTGATGATTCCATTTGATTCCATTCGTTGATGATTCCATTCAATACCATTCAATGATGATTCCATTCGATTCCATTCGATGATGATTCCATTCGATGATGATTCCATTCAATTCCATTCGAAGATGATTCCATTCGATTTCATTCGATCATCCTATTCGATTCCATTTGATGATTCTATTGGATTCCATTCGATGATGATTCCATTCGATTCTTTTGATGATGATTCCATTTGAGCCCATACAATGATTCCATTCAATTCCATTCGCTGATGATTACGTTCGAGTCTGTTCGACGATTCCATTCGATTCCATTTGATGATGATTCCATTCGATGTCATTCAATGATTCCATTCGTTTTCATTCGATGATGATTCCATTCGATTCCACTAGATCATTCCATTTGATTCCTTTCTATCATGATTCCATTCGAGTCCGTTAAATGATTCCGTTTGATTCCTTTCTATCATGATTCCATTCGAGTCTGTTCAATGATTCCATTCGATTCCATTCGATGATTATTCCATTCGGGGTCATTGGAGGATTCCATTCAATTCCATTCGATGATTCCATTCGAGTCCATTCGATGATTTCATTCGAGTCCATTCGAGGATGATTCCTTTTGATTCCATTCCATGACTATTCCATTCGATTCCATTCAATGAAGATTCCATTCGATTTTATTCAATGATTCTGTTCGATTCCATTCAATGATGCTTCTATTCAAATCCATTCAATGATTCCATTTGATTCCATTCGAAGATGATTCCATTCCAGTCCTTTAGATGATTCCATTAGATAATGATTCCATTTGATTCCTTTCAATGAATAAATTCGATTTCATTCAATGATGTTTCTATTCGAGTCCATTCAATGATTCCATTCGATTCCATTCTATGATAATTCCATTCGAGCCCAATGGAAGTGTCCATTAGATTTCATTCGATGATGATTCCATTCGAGTCCATTTGATGATTCCATTCGATTCCATTTGATGAGTCAATTCGATTCGTTTCGATGATTCCCTTCAATTCCATTCGATGATAATTCCATTCAATCCCATTCGATAATTCCATTTGATTCCATTCATTGACAATTCCATTGCACTGCATTTGATGATGATTCCATTTGATTTCATTTGATGATATTTGCATTCCATACCATTGTATGAATCCATTTGATTCCATTCGATGAGGATTCCATTGGAGTCCATTTGATGATTCCATTCGATTCCATTTGATGATTCAATTCAATTCCATTCGATGATTCCCTTCTATTCCATTCGATGATAATTCAATTTGAGTCCATTCAATGAATTCATTCGATTCCATTCGGTGTTGATTCCATTCGAGTCCATTCGAGGATGATTCCATTCGAGTTCATTCCATGATTCCATTCGATTCCATTCGTGATGATTCTATTCGATTCCGTTCGATGGTGATTCAATTCGATTCCATTCGATGGTTATTCCATTTGATTCCATTCGGTGATGATTCTATTCAATTCCGTTCGATGGTGATTCAATTCGATTCCATTCGATGCTTATTCCATTCGATTCCATTTGATGATTTCATTCAATTCCATTCGATGATTTCATTCGATTCCATTCGATAATTCCATTCGATTCCATTTGATGATTCCATTCGATGATTTCATTTGATGATTTCATTCGATTCCATTCGATGATGATTCCATTCGAGTCCATTCGCTTATTCCATTCTATTCCATTAGATGACGATTACATTCGAGTCCATTCTATGATTCCATTCTATTCCATTAGATGATGATTACATTCGAGTCCATTCTATGATTCCATTCAATTCCATTAGATGATTACTCCATTCAATTCCTTTTGATGATGATTCCTTTAGATCCCATTCCATGATGATTCCATTCGTTTCCATTTGATGATGATTCTATTAGTTTCCATTCAATGAGGATTCCATTCGATGATGTTTCTATTCAATTACTTTCGAGGATTTTTTTTCTTCCTTTCGATGTTCATTCCATTCAATTCCACTGGATGATTCCATTCCATTCCATTCGATGATTATTCCATTTGATTCCATTTGATGATCAGTTATTTTGATTCCATTAGATGATGATTCCATTCAATTGGATTTGATGATGATTCCGTTTGATTCCATTCAATGATGATTCCATTCGAGTCCATTCCATGATGATTCCATTCGAGTCCATTCCATGATGATTCCATTAGAGTCCATTTGATGATGATTCCATTCGAGTCCATTCAATGATTCCATTCTATTCCATTCAATGATGATTCCATTCGAGTCCATATGATGATTGCATTTGATTCCATTCGACGTTGATTCCATTCGAGTCAATTTGTTGATTCCATTTGATTCCATTCGATGATGATTCCATTTGATTCCATTCGATGATGATTCCATTCGACTCTTTTCAATGATTCCCTTCGATTCCATTGAATGATGATTCCATTCTAGTCCTTTCCATGATTCCATTCGATTCCATTAGATGATGATGCCATTCAATTCCATTCGGTGAAGATACCCTGCAATTCCATTTGATGATTATTCCATTCGATTCCATTTGATGATGATTCCATTCGATTCCATTTGATGATGATTCGATTCAATGACGATTCTGTTCAATTCCATTTGATGATGATTCCCTTCCATTCCATTAGATGACGATGCCATTCGATTCCATTTGATGATGATTCCATTCGATTCCATTCAATGATTATTCCATTCGAGGCCATTCGATGATTCCATTCAATTCCATTAGATGATTCCATTCAATTCCACTTGCTGATGATTCCATTCAATTCCATGTGATGATGATTCCATTCGATTCCATTCGATGATGATTCCATCTGAGTCCATTCGATGATGATTCCATTTGAGTTCATTCAATGATTGCATTCGATTCCATTTGATGATTATTCCATTCGATGCCATTAGATGGGGATTCCATTCTATTTCATTCAATGATCATTCCCTTTGATTCCACTTGATGATTCATTTCGATTCCACTCAATGATGACTCCATTTGAGTCCATTCGATGATTCCATTTGATTCCATTCAATGATGATTCCATTCGGGTACATTCCATGATTCCAATCGATTCCATTCAATGATGATTCCATTCAATTCCATTCGATGACTATTCCTTTTGCTTCCATTCGATGATGATTCCATTCAATTCCATTCGATGATGATTCCTTTCGATTCCATTCCATAATGTTTCCATTTGATTCCATTCGAAGATTTAATTCAAATCCTTTTGATGATGATTCCATTCAATTCCATGCGATGATTATTCCACTCGGGTCCATTCGATGATGATTCCGTTCCATTCCACTCAATGATGAATCCACTCGAGTCCATTCAATGATAAAATTCCATTCCATTCGATGATGATTACAGTCGGGTACATTCCATGATTCCAATCGATTCCATTCAATTATGATTACATTCGGGTACATTCCATGATTCCAATCGATTCCATTCGATTATGATTCCATTCAATTCAATTCGATGATGATTCCTTTTGATTCCATTCGGTGATGATTCCATTTGATTCCATTCAGTGATGATTCCTTTTGATTCCATTCGATGATGATTCAATTTTATTCCAATCGATGATGATTCCTTTCGATTACATTAGATGATGATTCCATTCGATTCCATTCGATGATGATTCCTTTTGATTACATTTGATGATGATTCCACTTGATTCCATTCGATGATTAAATTCGATTTCTTTTGATGATGATTCCATTCGATTCCATAAGATGATTATTCCATTCGATACGATTCGATGATGATTCCATTTGGTTCCATTCCATGGTGATTCCATTTGATACCATTCGATGATGATTCCTTTCAATTCGTTTCAATGATTCCATCCAATTCCATTCAATGATTCCATTCGATTCCATTCAATGATGATTCCATTCGAGTCTATTCGATGATTCCATTTGAATTCATTTGGTGATGATTCCCTTAGATTGCATTCAATGATTCCTTTCTATTCCATTCGATGATGATTCCATTCATGTACATTCGATGATTCCATTCGAGTCCATTTAATGATTACATTGGGTTCAATTCGATGACAATTACTTTGGATTCCATTCTATGTTTCCATTTGATTCCACTCATTGATGATTCCATTCGATTCCATTCGAAGATGATTCCATTCGATTTCATTCAATGGTTCTATTCGATTCCATTCAATGATGATTCAATTCTCTTCCATTCGATGATTCCATTCCATTCCATTCGATGATGATTCCATTCGATTGCATTCTATGGTGATTCCATTCGAGTCCATTCGAAGATTCCATTCGATTACGTTCCATGACGATTCCATTTGAGTCCATTCGATGATTCCATTCGACTCCATTCGACGATGATTCCATTCGATGCTATTTGATGATTCCTTTTGATTCCATTCGATGATGATTACAATCAACTCCATTTGATGATTCCATTCGAGGCCATTCAATGATGATTGCATTCGTGTCCATTCGATGATTCCATTCAATTCCATTCGATGATGATTCCATTCGAATCCATTTGATGATTCCACTCGATTCTGTTCGATGACTCCATTTGATCCCATTTGATGATTCCCTTCGATTCCATATCGTGATCCTTCCATTTGATTCAATTCAGTGATTCCATTTGATTCTATTCAATGATTGTTCCAATCGAATCCTATAGATGATGATTCCCTTTGATTTCATTTGATTATGATTATATTCGATTCCATTTGATGATGATTCCATTCGAGTCTGTTCAATGATTACATTTGATTCCATTCGATGATGATTCCACTCAAGTCCATTCATTGATTCCATTCGATTCCGTTCGATGATTTCATTAGATTCCATTCGAAGATAATTCCATTCGATGTCATTCGATGATTCCATTCGAATCCATTCAACGATGATTCCATTCATGTACATTTGATGATTCCATTCGATTCCATTTGATGGTCATTCCATTAGAGTCCATTCGATGATTCTGTTCAATTCCATTCAATGATGATTCCATTCTAATCCACTAGATGATTCCATTCGATTCCATTCGATGATGACTACAATCGGTTCCATTTGATGATGATTCCAACGGATTCCATTCTATTTCTTCATTTGATTCCATTCGTTAATGATTCCATTCGTTTCCATTAGATGATGATTCCATTAGATTCCATTCAATGATGATTCCGTTTGATTCCATTCAATGACTATTCCATTTAATTCCATTCAATGATGATTCCACTCGATTCCATTCGATGATTCCATTTGATTCCATTCGATGGTGATTGCATTCGGGTGCATTCTATGATTCCATTCGATTCCACTCGATGATATTTCAATTCGAGTCCATTCAATGATTCCTTTCGATTCCATTCGATGATGATTCCATTCGAGTCCATTCGATGATTGCATTCGAGTCCATTTGATGATTCCATTCGATTCCATGCGATGATGATTCCATCGAATACATTCAATTATTCCATTTGATTTCACTCGATGATGACTGCATTCGGTTCCATTCTATGATGATTCCAACGGACTCCATTTGATGACTCCATTCGATTCCATTCATTGATGATTCCATTCGATTCCATTCGATGATGTTTCCATTCGATTCCATTCGTTGATGATTCCATTCGATTCCATTCGATGATGTTTCCATTCGATTCCATTCGATGATGATTTCATTTGACTCCATTCCATGATTATTCCATTCGATTCCATTCAATGATGATTCCATTTGATTCCATTCGATGATTCCTTTTGATTCCATTTGAGTCCATTCGATGATTCCAGTCGATTCCATTCGATGATGATTCCATTCGATGATTCCATTCAATACCATTCGATGTCTCCTTTCGATTCCACTTGATGTTGATTTCATTGGAGTCCATTCAATGATTGCAGTCCATTCCATTCGATGATCATTCCATTCGATGATTCCATTCAATACCATTCAATGTTTCCTTTCGATTCCACTCGATGTTGATTTCATTGGAGTCCATTCCATGATTCCATTCGAGTGCATTCCATGATTTCATTCGATTCCATTCGATGATGATTTCATTCGAACCCATTCAATGATGATTCCATTTGATTCCATTCGATGATTCCATTGGATTCCATTCTCTGTTTTATTTCGATTCTTTTTGATGATGATTCCTTTCTCTTTCATTCAATGATCTCATCCGATTCTAATCCATGATAATTCCATTCTATTCCATTTGATGAAAATTCCATTCGATTCCATTTGATGATAATTGCATTCGATTCTATTTGACGCTGATTCTATTCGATTCCTTTCAATGATGATTCCATTCAATTCCATTCGATGATTCCATTTGATTCCATTCGATGATGATTCCATTCGAGACCTTTTGATGATTCCATTCAATTCCATTCAATAATGATTCCATTCGAGTCCATTTGATGACTCCATTCAAGTCCCTTTGATGATTCCATCTGATTCCATTCGATGATGATTCCATTAGGGTCCATTCGATGATACCATCCGATTCCATTCAGTGATGATTTCATTCGATTCCATTCAATGATTCCATTCGATTCCATTCGATGATGATTCCAATCAATTCCAATAGATGATTCCCTTCGAATCCATTTGATAATGAGTCTATTCATTTCAATTCCGTGATGATTCCATTCGATTCAATTCGATGGTGTTTCCATTTGATTCCATTCGATGTTGATTCCATTTGATTCCATTGGATGATGATTCCATTCGAGTCCATTCGATGATGGTTCCATTCGAGTCCATTCGATGTTGATTCCATCCGATTACATTCGATGATTCTATTCGATTCCAATTAATGATGATTCCATCTTATTCCATTCGATGAATCATTCGATTCCATTCGATGATGATTCCATTCGAAGAATCATTCGATTCCATTTGATGATGATTCCATTCGTTTAAATCCGATGATGATTCCATTCGATTCCATTTGATGATTATTCCATTTGAGTAAATTCAATGATTCCATTCGATATCATTTGATGATGATTCCACTCAAGTCCATTCGATGATTCCATTCGATTCCATTCGATGATTTCATTAGATTCCATTCGAAGATGATTCCATTCGATGTCATTTGATGATTCCATTCGAATCCATTCAACAATGATTCCATTCGTGTACATTCGATGATTCCATTCGATTCCATTTGATGGTCATTCCATTCGAGTCCATTCGATGATTCCATTCAATTCCATTCGATGATGATTCCATTCTAATCCATTAGATGATTCCATTCTATTCCATTCGAAGATGACTGCATTCGGTTCCATTTGATGATGATTCCAACGGATTCCATTCTATTTCTTCATTTGATTCCATTCGTTGATGATTCCATTCATTTCCATTATATGATGATTCCATTAGATTCCATTCGATGATGATTCCATTCAATTCCATTCAATGATGATTCCATTTAATTCCATTCAATGATGATTCCACTCAATTCCATTCGATGATTCCATTCTATTCCATTCGATGGTGATTGCATTCGAGTGCATTCGATGATTCCATTCAATTCCACTCAATGATACTTCAATTCGAGTCCGTTCGATGATTCCTTTCGATTCCATTCGATGATGATTCCATTCGAGTCCATTTGATTATTGCATTCGAGTCCATTCGATGATTCCATTCGATTCCATGTGATGATTCCATTGAGTCCATTCAATGATTCCATTTGATTTCATTTGATGTTGACTGCATTCGGTTCCATTCTATGATGATTCCAACGGACTCCATTCGATGACTCCATTCGATTCCATTCATTGATGATTCCATTCGATTCCATTCGATGATGTTTCCATTCGATTCCATTCGTTGATGATTCCATTCGATTCCATTCGATAATGTTTCCATTCGATTCCATTCGATGATGATTCCATTCTACTCCATTCCATGATTATTCCATTTGATTCCATTCAATGATGATTCCATTCAATTCCATTCGATGACTCCTTTTGATTCCATTCAATAATGATTCCATTCGGGTCCATTCGATGATTCCAATTGATTCCATTCAATGATGATTCCATTCGATGATTCCATTCAATTCTATTCGATATTTCCTTTCAATTCTACTCGATGTTGATTCCATTGGAGTCCATTCGATGATTCCATTCGAATGCTTTCCATGATTTCATTCGATTCCATTTGATGATGATTCCATTCAAATCCATTCAATAATGATTCCATTGATTCCATTCGATGATTACATTGGATTCCATTCTTTGTTTTATTTAGAGTCTTTTTGATGATGATTCCTTTCTCTTTCATTCGATGATCCCATACGATTCTAATCCATGATGATTCCATTCGATCCCATTTGATGAAAATTCCATTCAATTCCATTCGATGATGATTGCATTCGATTCTATTTGATGCTGATTCTATTTGGTTCCTTTCGATGGTGATTCCATTCGATTCCATTCGATGATTCCATTCAATTCCATTCGATGATGATTCCATTCGAGACCTTTCAATGATTCCATTCAATTCCATTCAATAATGATTCCATTCGAGTCCATTCGATGACTCCATTCAAGTCCATGAGATGATTCCGTCTGATTCCATTTGATGATTCCATTAGGGTCCATTCGATGATTCCATTCTATTCCATTTGGTGATGATTTCATTTGATTCCATTCAATGATTCCATTCGATTCCATTCGATGATGATTCCAATCAATTCCAATAGATGATTCCCTTTGAATCCATTTGATGATGAGTCTATTCATTTCAATTCCGTGATGATTCCATTCGATTCAATTCGATGGTGTTTCCATTCGATTCCATTCGATGTTGATTCCATTTGATTCCATTGGATGATGATTCCATTCGAGTCCATTCCATGATGGTTCCATTCAAGTCCATTCGATGATGATTCCATTTGATTACATTTGACGATTCTATTCGATTCCATTCAATGATGAATCCATCTTATTCCATTTGATGAATCATTCGATTCCATTTGATAATGATTCCATTTCATGAATCATTCGATTCCATTCGATGATGATTCCATTCGTTTAAATCCGATGATGATTCCATTCGATTCCATTTGATGATTATTCCATTCGAGTAAATTCAATGATTCCATTCGATACCATACGATGATGATTCCATTCGAGTCCATTCGATGATTCCATTCGAGTCCATTCAATGATTCCATTCGAGTCCATTTGATGATTCCATTCGAGTCCATTCAATGATTCCATTCGAGTTCATTCGATGATTCCATTTGATTCCATTTGATGAAGATTCCATATGAGTCCATTTGATGTTTCCATTTGATTCCAATTGATGATGATTTCTTTCGAGTCCTTTCGATGATTCAATTTCATTCCATTCGATGATGATTCCATTCGAGCACATTGACTATTCCGTTCCATTCCATTCGATGATTCCATTTGAGTACATTTGATTATTCTATTCCATTCCTTTCGAAAATTCCGTTCAATTCCATTTGATGTTGATTCCATTCGAGTCCTTTCGATGATTATTCCATTCAATCCTATTCGATGATTCCATTCGATTCCATTCAATGATGATTCCATCCGTGTCCCTTCGATGATTCCATTTGGTAAAATTGGATGATGATTCCATTCGATTGCATTCGATGATTCCATTCTATTCCTTCGATGATGATTGCATTTGAGTCCATTCGATGATTCCATTCAAGTCCATTTAATGATTCCATTTGGTTCAATTCAATGATGATTATATTGGATTCCATTCTATGGTTCCATTCTATTCCATTCGTTCATGATTCCATTCGATTCCACTCGATGGTGACTTTATTCGGTTTCATTCAATGATTCTATTCAATTCCTTTCAATGATGAATCAATTCTTTTCCATTGGATGATTATATTCGATTCCATTTGATGATGATTTCATTCGATTCCATTCGATGATGATTCCATTTGATTGCATTTGATGATGATTCCATTCGTGTCCATTTGAAGTTTCCATTCGATTACATTGCATGACGATTCCATTCCAGTCCATTCGATGATTCCATTCAACTGCATTCGACGATGATTCCATTCGATGCTATTCGATGATTCCACTAGATTACATTTGATGATGATTCCATTTGACTCCATTTGATAATTCCATTCGAGTCCTTACCATTATTCCGTTAGATTCCATTCGATGAGGATTCCATTAGATGCCATTCGATGTTTCCATTTGATTCCATTCGATGATGTTTCCATTCGAGTCCATTCAATGATAACTGCATTGGATTCCATTCGATGACTCCATTTGATTCCATTCAATGATGATTCCGATCGATTCCATTCAATGATTCCATTCGATTCCATTCCATGATTCCAATTGATTCAATTCGATAATGATACCTTTCGAGTCCATTTGATGATTACATTCGAGTCCATTTGATAATTCCATTTGAGTCCAATCCATGATTTCATTCGAGACCATTCAATCATTCCATTTGAGTCCATTCGATGATGATTCCATTCGAGTCCATTCAATGATTCCATTTGATAGTTCCATTTGAGTCCATTCCATGATTGCTTTTGATTCCATTTGATGATATTCCATTCCACTCCATTCAGTGATTCCATTCGATTCTATTCAATGATGATTCCATTCGTGTCCATTCGGTGATTCCATTCAATTTCATTCAATGATGATTCCTTAGGAGTCTATTAGATGATTCCATTCGATTCCATTACATGATGATTCCATTGGAGTCCATTCAGTGATTCCTTCGATTCCATTCTATGATGATTCCATTCGAGTCCAATTGATGACTCCATTCGATTCCATTTGATGATGATTTCATTCGAGTCCATTCAACGATTCTATTCAATTCCATTCGATGATGATTCCATTCCACTCCATACGATGATTCAATTTGAGTCCATTCGATTATTCCATTAGATTCCATTCGATGATGATTCCATTCGATGCCATTCAGTGATTACATTCGATTCCTTTCAGTGATGATTGCATTCGTGTCCATTCGAATATTCCATTCGATTCCCTTGGATGATGATTTCATTTGAGTCCATTTGATGATAAATTCATTCATGTCCATTCAATGATGATTCAATTCGATTACATTCGATGGTTCTATTCGATTCCATTCGATGATGATTCCATCTGATTCCATTCGATGAATCCATTCAATTCCATTCTATGAAGATTCCATTCATTTCCATTCGATGATGATTCCATTCGATTCCATTCAATGATTCCTTTCGATTCCATTCAATGATGATTCCAATCAATTCCATTTGATGATTCCATTCGAATCCATTCAATGATGAGTCCATTCGTTTCAATTCCATCATGATTCCATTCGACTCAATTCGATGGTGTTTCCATTCGATTCCATTTGATGTTGATTCCATTGGATTCCATTGGATGATTATTACATTTGAGTCCATTCGATGATGATTCCATTCGATTTCATTTGATGATTCTATTTGATTCCATTCGATGATGATTCCATCTGACTCCATTTGATGATTCCATTCAATTCCATTCAATGATGATTCCATTCATTTCCAACCAATGATGATTCTATTCGATTCCATTCAATGATTATTCCATTCGAGTCCATTCAATGATTCCACTCGATACCATTCAATGATGATTCCATTCGAGTCTGTTCAATGATTCCATTCGACTCCATTCAATGATGCTATTCGATTCCATCCGATAATTCCGTTCAATTCCATATAATGATTATTCCGTTTGAGTCCCTTTGATGATTATTCCATTCGATTCTATTTGGTGATTCTTTTCGATTCCATTTGATAATGATTCCATTCGAGACCATTCGATGATTCCATTCATTTCATTTGATGATGATTCCATTCAATTCCATTCGATGATTCCATTAGATTCCATTTGACAATGATTTCATTTGATTCCATTTGATGAAGATTCCATGCGATTCCATTTGATGATGACTCCTTTTGCTTCCATTCGAAGATGATTCCATTCAGTTCCATTCGATGATTATTCCTTTGGATTCCATTTGCTGATGATTCCATTCTACTCCATTTGATGTTTATTCTTTTTTATTCCATTCGATGATTATTCCATTTAATTCCATTCGATGATGATTCCATTCGATTCTGTACGATGATGATTCGATTCCAATCCATTTGATGATTCCATTCGATTCCATTCGAAGATTCCATTCGATCCCTTTAGAAGATTATTCCATTCGAGTCCATTCGGTGATTCCTTTCTATGCCAATTGAAGATTTTTCCATTCAAGTCCATTCAATGATACCATTCGATACCATTAGTCGATGATTCCATTCAAGGGCATTTGATCATACCATTTGATTCCATTTGATGATGATTCCATTTGATGATTCCATTCAATTCCATTCTATGATCATTCCATTTGAGTCCATTTGATGATTCCATTGGACTCCATTTGATGATGATTCCATTCAATGATTCCATTCGATTCTATTCAATGATGATCCCATTCGATTTCGTTTGTTTGCTGATTCTATTCAATTCCATTCCATCATTCAATTTGACTCCATTCAATGATTCCATTCAATTCCATTTGATGATTCCATTTGATTCTATTCAACGATGATTCCATTCGATTCCATTCGATAATGACTGCATTCTGTTCCATTTGATGATTCCATTCGATTCTATTTGATGGTGATTCCATTCGTGTCCATTCGTTGATTCCATTCGATTTCATTCAGTGATGATTCCTTTTGAGTGCTTTAGATTATTCCATTTGATTCCATTTGATGACGATTCCATTCGAGTCCATTCAGTGATCCCATTCAATTCCATTAGATGATGATTCCATTTGATTCCATTCAATGATTCCATTCGATTCCATTTGATGATGATTTCATTCGAGTCCATTCGGTGATTCCGTTTGATTCAATTCGATGATGATTTCATTCGAGTCCATTCAATGGTTCCATTTGATTCCATTTGATGATGATTCCTTTCGAATCCATTCAATGATTCTATTTGAATTCATTTGATGATTGCTTTTGATATTTGATGATTATTCCATTCAAGTCCATTCGATGATTCCACTCGATTCCATTCGATGATAATTCCATTCGAGTCCATTTGATGATTCCGATTGCTTCCATTCTCCGATGATTACATTTGAGTCCATTCAATGATTCCCCTCGATTCCATACGATGTAGATTCCTTTTGATTCCATTCGATGATTCCATTCTATTCCATTCAATGATGATTCCATTCGAGTACATTAGATGATACCATTCAATTCCATTCGATGATGATTCTATTCGTGCCCATTAGATAATTTCACATGATTCCATTCGATAGTGATTCCATTCGAGTGCATTCGTTCATTCCATTTGATTCCATTGGACGATGATTCCATTTCATTCAATTCACTGGTGATTCCATTCAATTACATTCATTGATTCCATTCCGTGCCATTCGACAATGATTCCATTCAATTCCATTCGATGATTCCACTCGATTCCTCTTGACAATGATTCCCTTCCATTCCATTCGATGATTCCCTTTGATTCCATTCGATGATGATTGCCTTCAATTCCATTTGATGATTCCATTTGGTTCCATTCAATGATGATTCTGTTTGATTCCATTTGATGATTCCATTTGATTACATTCGAGGATTCCATTTGATACCATTTGATAATCATTCCATTCGATTCCATTCAATGATTTCATTCGATTCCAATCGATGATGATTCCATTCCAGGCCATTCGATGATTCCATTCAATTCCATTCGATGATGCTTCCATGCGATGCCATTAGATGTTTCCATTCGAATCCATTCAGTGATGATTCCATTCGAGTCCATTCGAAGATTCTATTCGATTCACTCGATGATAATTCCATTCGATTCAATTCAATGATTCCTTTTGATTCCATTCGATGATGAATCCATTTGAGTCCATTCGATGATTGCATTCAAGCCCTTTTGATGATTCCATTCGGTTCCATGCAATGATGATTCCAATGAGTCCATTTGATGATTCCATTTGATTCCATTCGATGATGACTGCTTTCGGTTCCATTCGATGGTGATTCCAACAGACTCCATTCGATGACTCCATTCGATTCCATTCATTGATGATTTCATTCGATTCCATTCAATTATGATTCAATTCAATTTCATGCGATGATTCCACTTGATTCCATTTGATGATGATTCCATTCTTGTCCAATCGATGATTCCATTCAATTCCATTTGATGATGATTCCATTCGAGTCCATTCGATGATTCCATTCGACTACATTTGATGATAATTCCATTGGATGCTATTCGATGATTCCATTCGATTCCATTCTATGATGATTACATTCGACTCCATTTGATGAATCCATTCGAGTCCATTCAATGATGATTGCATTCATGTCCATTCGATGATTCCATTCAATTCCATTCGATGATGATTCCATTTGAGTCCATTCAATGATTCCATTCGAATCCATTCGATGATTCCACTCGATTCCATTCAATGACTCCGTTCGATCCCGTTCAATGATTCCATTTGATTCCAGTTCATGATTCTTCCATTTGATTCAATTCGGTGATTCCATTCAATTCTATTCAATGATTGCTCCAATAGAATCCTAGAGATGATGATTCCATTCGATTCCATTTGATTACGATTATATTCGATTCCATTTGATGATGATTCCTTTCGAGTCCATTCGATGATTCCATTAGATTCCATTGGATGATGATTCCACTCGGGACTCGAATGGAATGGAATGGACTTGAATGGAATGGAATGGAGAGGAATGGACCCGAATGGATTGGAATGAAATGGAATGGACTGGAATGCAATGGAATGGAATGGAAGGGTCTTGAATGGAATGGAATGGATTGGAATAGAATGGAATTGAATGCGATGGACTCGAATGGAGTGGAATGGCCTCAAATGGAATGGAGTGGAATGGAACGGAGTCAAATGCATTAGAATGTAATTTACCGGATATGTCACTAATGCAATGACTCTAATGGAATAGAATGAAATGGACTCAAATGGAATGGAATGGAATGTACACTAATGGAATGGAATGAATGGAATGGAATGGACATGAAGGGAATAGAAAGGAATGGAATGGACTGGACTCGAATGAAACGGAATGGAAAGGACACGAATGGAATGGAATGGACTCGAATGGAAAGGAATGGAATGGAGAGAAATGGAATCGAATAGAATGCAGTTGAATGGAATGGACTAGAAAGGGATTGAATGGAAAGGAATGGAATGGAATGGAATGGAATGGAATGGAATGGAGTGGAATGGAATGGAATGGACTAGGAAGGAATGGAATGGAAAGGAATGGAATGGAAAGAAATGGAATCGAATATAATGTAGATGAATGGAATGGACTAGAAAGGAATGGAATGGAAAGGAATGGAATGGAATGGAATGGAATGGACTAGGAAGGAATGGAATGGAATCGAATGGAAGGGAATGGAATGGAATGGACTCGAATGTAATTTAATAGACTCGAATGAAATGGAATGGAATGGAATGGAATTGACTCGAGTGGAATGGAATTGAATGGAGTGGACAGGAATGAAATGGAACGCAATGGAATGCAATGGAATAGACTTGAAAGGAATGGAATGGAATGGACCCAAAGTAATGTAATGTAATGGAATCGAATGGAATGGAACTTACTCGAATGTAATGGCATGGAAAGAATGGACTCTAATGGAATGCAATGGAAAGGTATGGACTCGAATGGAATGGAATGGAATGGAGTTAAAGGGAATGGAATGGATTGAACTCGAATGGAATGGAATGGATTGGAATAGACTTAAATGGAAAGGAGAGGAATGCAATGGAATGTAATGGACTCGAATGGAATAACATGGAATATAAAGGACACGAATGTAACGGGATGGAATGGAATGGATTTAAATCTAATGGAATGGAATGGAATGCACCTCAATTGAGTGGAATGGAACGAATGGATTGGAATGGAATGGAATGGAACTGAATGGAATGGAATGGAATGGAACTGAATGGAATGGAATGGAATGGAATGCAATGGAATGTTATGGAACGGAATGGACTTGAATGGAATAGAATGGAATGAAATGGAATGTGCTCGAATGAAATGGAATCGAATGGACCCAAATGGAATGGAATTGAATGGAATGAATTCGAACGGAATGGAATGGAATGGAATGCAATGGACTCGAATGGAATGGAATGGAATGGACTCGAATAGAATTGATTGGAATGGAGTGGAAAGGAATGGACTCGAATCGAATGGAATGGACTTGAATGGAATGGAATGGAGAGGAATGGACCGGAATGGAATGGAATGAAATGGAATGGACTGGAATGCAAATCGAATGGAATGGAAGTGAGTTGAATGGAATAGAATGGAACAGAATGGACTGGAATCGAATGGAATTGAATGGAATGGACTCGAATGGAGTGGAATGGACTCAAATGGAATAGAGTGGAATGGAATGGAGTTGAATGCAATAGAATATAGTTTACCGGATTGGACACTAACACAAAGGACTCTAATAGAATGGAATGAAATGGACTCAAATATAATGGAATGGAATGGACACGAATGGCATGGAATGGAATGGAATTAAATGGACTGGACTGGAATGGAATGGAATGAATGGAATGGAATGGAATGGAATGGACTTGAATGGAATAGAATGGAATGGAATGGACTGGACTCAAATGAAATGGAATGGAATGGACACGAATGGAATGGAAGGGATTCGAATCGAATGGAGTGAAAAGGACGCGAGTGGAATGGAATGGAAAGGAATGGACTCGAATGGAATGGAATGGAATGGAATTGACTCGAATTGAATGGAATGGAATGGACTCGAAGGCAATGGAATGGATTTAAATTCACTTGAGTGGAAAAGAATGGAACGGAGTCGAATATAATGGAATGTACATGAAAGAAATGGAGTCGAATGGAATGGACTCAGGTGGAATACAGTTGAATGGATTCGAATGGAATGGAATGCAATGGAATGGACTCGAATGGAATGGAAAGGAATGGACTCCAATGGAATGGAATGGAATGGACTCGAATGGAATGGAATGGAATGGACTCAAATGGAATGGAATGGAATGGAATGGACTCGAATGGAATGGAATATAATGGACTCAAACCGAATGGAATGTAATGTAATGGACTCGAATGGAATGGAATGGAATTTAATGGAATGGACACTAATGGAATGTAATGGAATGGACTCGAATGGAAGGGAAAGAACTCGAATGGAATGGAATGTTATGAAATCAACTCGAGTGGAATGGAATGGAATGGACTCGAATGGAAAGGAATGGAATGGACTCGAATGGAAAGGAATGTAATGGACTCGAATGGAATTGAGTGGAATGAAATGGAATGGAATGGAATAGACTTGAGTGGAATGGAAAGGAATTGACACTAATGGAATAGAAAGGAATGGACTCCAATGGAATGGAATGTAATGGAATGGACTCGAATGGAATTGAGTGGAATTGAATCGAATGGAATGGAATGGAATGGAATAGACTCAAATAGAAAAGAATGTCATGGAATGGAATGGAATTGAATAGACTCAAATAGAAAAGAGTGTCATGGAATGGAATGGAATTGAATAGACTCAAATAGAAAAGAATGTCATGGTATGGAATGGACTTGAATGGAATGCAATTTAAAGGAATGAAAAGGACTCGAATGGAATTAAATGAAATGGACTCTAGAATGAAATGAAATGCCATAAAATGGAATAGAATGGAATGGAATGTACTCGAATAGAATGGAATGGACTCGAAAGAAATGGAATGGAATGGACTCTAGAATGGAATGGAATGCAATGCAATGGAATAGAATGGAATGGAATGGACTCGAAAGGAATGGAATGGATTGGAATTGAATGGAATGAAATTGTCTCGAACGGGATGGAATGGAAAGGAATGTACTCGAATGGGATGGACTGGACTCGAGTGGAATGAAAGGGAATGAAAATCACTCAAGTGGAATTGAATGGAATGGAATGGACTCGAGTGGATGGAATGGACCCAAATTCAATGCAATGTAAAGGAATGGGAGGGACTTGAATGGAATGGAATGCAATGGAATGGAATAGAATGGAATGGAATGGACTCGAAAGGAATGGAATGGATTTGAATGGAATGGACTCGAATGGCATGGAATGGAAAAAACCCGAATGGAATGGAATGGAAAAAAACCCTAATGGAATGGAATGGAATGGAAAGAAACGGACTCGAATGGAATGGAAAGGAATGGAATGGACCTGAACATAGAGGAATGGAATGGAATGGACCCGAATGGAATGGAATTGAATGGACCCGAATGGAATGGAATCTAAAGGAATGGCAAGGCATGGAATGGGATGGAATGGAATGGAATGGAATGGTATGGAATGGAATGGACTCTAATGGAATAGAATGGAACAGACTCTAATGGAATAGAATGGAATGGAATGGAATGGAATCAAAATTAATGGAATGGAATGGACTCAAATGGAATGGAATGCGCACGAATGGATTGGAATGAAATGGACCCGAATGGAATGGAATGGAATGGAATGGAATGGAATGGAATGCAGTTGAATTTAATGGACCCGAAAGGAATGGAATGGAATGGAATGGAACGAAATGGAATGGAATGGAATGGACTCAAATGGAGTGGAATGGAACAGAATGGACTCGAATGAAATGGAATGGACTTGAATCAAATTTAATGGAATGGAATGCATTTGAATGGAATTGAATGGAATGGACTTGAATGGAATGGAATGGACTCGAATGGAATGGAGTGGATTGGAAGCGACTCAAGTGGAATTGACTGGAATGGAATGGACTCGAATGAAATGGAATGTAATGGAATGGACTCGAATGGAACACAATGGAATGGAAGGGACTCGAACCGAATGGAAGGGACAAAAGCATGGAATGGAATGGACCTGAATGGTATGGAATGGAATGGAATGGAATGGAATGGAATGGAATGGAATGGACAAGAATGGAATGGAATGGAATGGAATGGAATGGAATGGAATGGAATGGAATGGAATGGAATGGAATGGAATGAAATGGAATGGACTCGATTGGAATGGAATGGAATGGAATGGACTCGAAAGTAATGGAATAGAATGGACTTGAATGAAATGGAATGGAATGGAATTGACTAGAACGGAATAGAATGGAATTTATTGGATTGGATTCTAATGGAATGGACTCTCATGGAATGGAATAGAATGGACTCGAATGGAATAGAATGGAATGGAATGGAATGGAATGGAAATGACTCGAGTGGAATGGAAAGGAATGGAATGGAATGGACTCGAATGGAATAGAATGGGATTTAATGGAATGGACTCTAATGGAATGGAATGCTATGGACTCGAATGGAATGCAATGGAATGGACTCAAATGGAATGAAAAGGAATGGAATGGCCTCAAATGGAATAGAATGGGATTTAATGGAATGGACTCTAATGGAATGGAATGTGATGGACTAGAATGGAATGCAATGGAATGGACTTGAATGGAATGGAATGGAATTCAATGGATTGATTGGAATGGAATGGAGTGGAATATACTTCATTGGAATGGAATGTACCCGAATGGAATGGAATGGAATGAATAGAACATGATGGAATTGAATGGACTTGAAGGCAATGGAATGGAATGGACTCCAATGGAATTGAATGGACTCGAATGGAATGGAGTGGAATTTAATTGAATGGAGTCTAATCGAATAGAATCTAATGGAATGCAAACAATCGTATCGAATGGAATATAATGGAATGGACTCGATTGGAATGGAATGCAATGGAATGGACTGGAATGGAATGAAGTGGAATGGACTGAAATTGAATGGAATGGTACTGAATTGTCTCAAAAGAAATGGAATGGAATGCAATTGAATGGACTCGAATGGAATGAAATGGAATTTAATCAAATGGAATTGAATGGAATGGATCCGAAAGGAATGGATTGGAATGGAATGGACTCGAATGGATTGGAATGGAATGGAGTGGAATGGACTCGAATGGAATGGAATGGAATGGACTCCAGTGGAATGGAATAGAAAGGACTGAAATGGAATGGAATGGACTTGAATGAAATGGACTTGAATGGAATGGAATTGAATGGAATGGACTCAAATGGAAGAGAATGGAATGGAATTGAATGGACTGGAATGGAATGGAATGAAATGGACTTGCATGGAAAGCAGATGAATTGAATTGAGTCAAAAGGAATGGAATGGAATGGAATGGATTGGAATGGAATAGAATGGAATGGACTCGAATGGAATGGATTGGACTTGAATGGAATGGAGTGGATTGGAATCGACTAGAATGGAATGGAGTGGAATACAATGGACTCGAAAGAAATGGAATGCAATGGAATGGACTCGAATGGAATGCAATGGAATGGAAGGGACTCAAATCAAAAGGAAGGGACAAGAATGGCACGGAATGGAATGGACCCGAGTGGAATGGAATGGAATGGAATGGACACAAATGGAATGAAATGGAATGGAATGAAATGGAATGGACTCGAATGGAATGCAATGGACTCGAAAAGAATGGTATGGAATGGACTCGAATGAAATGGAATGGAATGGAATGCACTCGATTGGAATAGAATGGAATTTATTGGATTAGACTCTAATGGAATGGACTGTCATGGAATGGAATGGAATAGACTAGAATGTAATAGAATGCAATGGATTGGACTCAAATGGAATGGAATGGAATGGACACGAATGGAATGGAATGGAATGGAATGGAATGCAATGGAATGGATTCGAATGGTATGTAATGGAAAGGAAATGACTGGAGTGCAATGGAGTGGATTCGAATGGAATGGAATGGAATGGAACGGAGTGGAATATAATGGACTCGAAAGGAATGGAATGCAATGGAATGGAATGGAATGGACACGAATGGAATTGAATGCAATGGAAAGTAATGGACTCGAATGGAATAGAATGGAATGGAATGGACCAGAATGGAGTGGAATGGAATGGAATGGACTCGAATGGAATGGAATGGAATGGAATGGAATGGAATGGTATGGAAAGGAATGTACTTGAATGAAACAGAATGGAATGGAATGGAATGGAATGGACTCGACGGGAATGGAATGAAATGGACTCGAATGGCATGGAATGGACATGAATGGAACAGAATGGAATGGAATGTACTCGAATGGAATACACTGGGATTTAATGGAATGGACTCTAACGGAATGGAATGGAATGGACTTGAATGGAAGAGAATGGAATACACTCGAATGGAATGGAATGCAATGGAATGGAATCAAATTGAATGAAATGGAATGGACTTGAATGGAATGGAATGGAATTGAATGGATTCAAAAGGAGTGGGATGGAATACAATGGAATGGACTCGAATGGAATGGAATGGAATGTACTGTAATGGAATGGAATGCAATACAATGGAGTCGAATTGAATGGAATGGAATTGTTTAAAATGGAATTGAATGGAATGGATCCGAAAGGAATGGAATGGAATGGAATGGAATGGAATGGAATGGAATGGAATGGACTCGAATGGTATGCAATGGAATGGAATGGGCTCAAATGGAACGGAATGAAATGGAAAAGTATGGAAAGGAATAGAATGGAATGGAATGGAATGGAATGGATTTGAATGGAAAGGACTCGAATGGAATGGAATGGAATGGAATGGACTGAAATGGAATAGCATGAAATGGAATGGACTCGAATGCAATGGAATGGAATGGCCTCGAATGGAATGGAATGGACTCAAACGGAATGGAGGTGAAAGGACTCGTATTGAATGCAATGGCATTTAATATACTCGAATGGAATGGAATGTAACATAATGGTATGAACTCGAATGGAATGGAATGTAACGGAATGGTATGAACTCGAATGGAATGGAATGGAATGGAGAGAAATGTGCTCGAATTGATTGGAATGGAATGGAGTGGACAAGAATGGAATGGAATGGAATGGAATGGAATGGAATGGAATGGACACAAACGGAATGCAGTTGAATTGAATGGATCCGAAAGGAATGGAATTGATGGAATGGAATGCAATAGACTCGAATGGAATGGAATGGAATGGACTCGAATGGAATGCAATGGACTCAAATGGAATGGAATGGAATGGAATGGAAAGGATGCGAATGGAATGGTATGGAATGCACACAAATGGAATGGAATATTACGGAAAGGAATGGAATGGAATGGAACCAAATGGAGTGGAATGGAATGGAATAGACTCGAATGGAATGGAATGGACCCGAATGGAATGGAATGGAATGGAATGGAATGGAGTAGCATGGAATGGAATGGAATCGAATGCAATGAATTGGAATATACTCGAATTGAAAGGAATGGACTCAAACAGAATGCAGTGGAATGGACTCTAATGGAATGGAATGGAATTGAGTGGACTCGAATGGAATGGAATGGAATGTAACGGAATGGAATGAACTCGAATGGAATGGAATGGAATGGAATGAAATGGACTCGAATGGAATGGAATGGAAAGGACTCGAAAGGAATGGAATGGAATGGACTTGAAAGGAATGGAAAGGAATGGAATGGAATGGAATGGAATGCAATGGAATGGAATGGAATGGAATAGACACGAATGGAATGTAGTTGAATTGAATGGACCCGAAATGAATGGATTGGAATGGAATGGAATGGAATGGAGTGGAATGGAATGAAAGGGACTCGAATGGAATGGAATGGAAAGGAATGGACTCGAATGAAACGGAATGTACCCAAATGTAATGTAATGGAATGGAATCGAATTGATTGGAATGGTATGGAAAGGAATGGAATGGACTCGAATGGAATGGAATTTAGTGGAGTGGACTCAAAGGGTGTGCAATGGAATGGAATAGATTCCAATGGAATGGAATGGAATGGAATGGAATGGAATGGAATGGAATGGATTGGACTCGAATGGAATGGAATGGAATGGAATGGAATGGAATGGAATGGAATGGACTCGAATGGTTTGGATTGGAGTGGTATGCAATGAAATGAAACATAGAGTAATGGAATGGAATGGATTGGAATGGAATGGAATGGAAAGGAATGGAACAGAATGGAATGGAATGGATTGGAATTGAATGGAATAGAATGGAGTGGATTCGAATGGAATGGAATGAACTAGAATGGAAAGGAATAGAATGGAATGTACTCGAATGGAATAGAATGGAATTGACTTGAATGGAATTGAATGCAATGAACTCCAACGGAATAGAATGGACTTGAACGGAAGTAAATGGGATGGAAACTACTCGAGTGGAATGGAATGGAATGGAATGGAATGGAATGGAATGCACAAGAATGGAATGGAATGGAATTGACTCAAATGGAATAGAGAGGAATGGATTCGATTAGAACGGAATGGAATGGAATGGACTCGAACGCATAGGAAGGGAATGGACTCAAATTGAAGGAAAAGGAATTTAATGGACTCAAATCGAATGGAATGTAATGTTATGGAATGGACTCGAATGGAGTGGACAGGAATGGAGTCGAATGGAATGTAATGTTATGGAATGGACTCGAATGGAGTGGACAGGAATGGAGTCAAATGGAATGGAATGCACTCGAATGGAATGGAAGGGAATGGACCCGAATGGAATCGAGTGGAATGGAATGGAATGGAATGGAATGGAACGGAATGGAATGGAATAGAATGGAATGCAATGCAATGCAATGCAATGCAATGGAATGGTATGGATTGGAATGGATTCAATGAAATAGAATGGGATGGAATGGAAAGAATTCAAAAGGAATGGAATGGAATGTAGTCCAATGGAATGGAAAGACCACAAATTGAATGGAATGGAATAGAATGGACTCAAATGGAATTGATGGGAATTTAATGGAATGGACTCTAAAGGAATGGAATGGAATGCTCTCAAATGGAAAAAATGGAATGGAATGGAATGGACTCTAAAGGAATGGAATGGAATGCTCTCAAATGGAAAAGAATGGAATGGAATGGAATGGACTCGAATGGAATACAATGGAATGGACTCGAATGGAAAAGAATGGAATGGAGTCAAATTGAATGGAGTGGAATGGAATGGACTAGAATGGAATTGAGTGGAATGGACTCGAATAGAATGGAATGGAAGGGAAAGGACAGGAAAGGAATGAAATGTAGTGGAATGGAATGGAATAGAATGGAATGGAATGGAATGGAATGGAATGGAATGGAATAGAATGGAATGGAATGGAATAGAATGGAATGGAATGGATTGAAATCGAATGGAATGGAATGGAAAGGACACGAATGGAATGCAATGGAGTGGACGCAAGTTGAATGTAATGAAATGGAATAGACTCGAAAGGAAACGAATGGAATGGAATGGCATGGACTCGAATTGAATGGAATGGAATTGAAAGGAATCGAAGGGAATGGAATGGAATGGACTCGAATGGAATGGTTTGTAATGGCATCAAATGGAATGGAATGGACTCTAATGAAATGGAATGGACCCAAAAGGAATGGAATGGAATGGAATGGAACGGAATGGAATGGAATGGAATGGAATGGAATGGAATGGAATGGAACAGAATGGAACGGAATGGAATGGAATGGAATGGAATGGAACGGAACGGAACGGAATGGAATGGAATGGAATGCAGTGGAATGGAATGGTATGTATTGGAATGGACTTCAATGGAACAGAATTGGATGGAATGGAAAGAATTCAAAAGGAATGAAATGGAATGGAGTCCAATGGAATGGAAAGGCCACGAATGGAATGGAATGGAATGGAAAGGACACGAATGGAATAGATTGGAATTTAATGGAATGGACTCTAAAGGAGTGGAATTGAATGCTCACAAATAGAAAAGAATAGAAGGGAATGGAATGGACTCAAATGGAATGCAATGGAATGGACTCGAATGGAAAAGTATGAAAGGGAGTCAAATTGAATGGAGTGAAATGGAATGGACTAGAATGGAATTGAGTGGAATGGACTCCAGTAGAATGGAATGGAAGGGAAAGGACAGAAATGGAATGAAATGGAACGGAATGGAATGGAATAGCATGGAATGGAATGGAATGGAATGGAATGGAATGGAATGGAATGGAATGGAATACAATAGAATGGAATGGAATGGATTGAAATAGAATGGAAAGGAATGGAATGGACTCGAGGGAATGCAATGGAATGGACCCAAGTGGAATGTAATGAAATGAAATAGACTCGAAAGGAAAGCAATGGAATGGAATGGACTCGAATGGAATGGAATGGAATGGAATGGAAATGAATGGACTCGAATGGAATGGAATGGAATGGACTCGAATGGAATGGTTTGTAATGGCATCGAATCGAATGGAATGAACTCTAATCAAATGGAATGGACACAAAAGGAATGGAATGGAATAGAAAGGAATGGAATGGAATAAAATGGAATGGAATGGAGAGGAATGGAATGGAATGGAATGGAATGGAATGGAATGGAATGGAATGGAATGGAATTGATTGGAATGGAATGGAATGGAATGGAATGGAATGGAATTGATTGGAATGGAATGGAATGGAATGGAATGGACTCAAATTGAATGGAATGCACTCGAATGGAATGAAATGAAATGGAATGGGCTCGAATGGATTAGAACAGAATTTACTGGATTGGAATACAATGGAATGGACTCTAATGGAATGGAATGGAATGGAATGCAATAGAATCAAATAAAATGGAATGGGATGGACTCGAATGGAATGGAATGGACATGAATGGAATAGAATGGAATGGAATGGAATGGACTTGAATCGAATAGTATGGAATTGAATGGAATGGACTCGAATGAAATGGAAGGGAATGGACTTGAATGGAATGGAGTGGACTCGAGTGGAATAGAATGGAATCAATGGACTCGAGTGGAATGGAATGGACTCGAATGGAATGCAATGGAATGGAATGGAATAGACTTGAATGAAATGGAATGAGTGGAATTGCATCGAACGGAATGGAATAGATTGCACTCGAATGGAATGGAATGGATACGAAAGGAATGGAATGGAATGGACACAAAAGGATTGGAATGGAATAGACTCGAAAGGGATGGAATACAATGGAATGGAATCGAAAGAAATGGAATGGAATTGACTCGAATGGAATCGAATGGAATAGAATAGACCCGAATGGAATGGAATGGACTCGAATCAAATGGAATGGAATGTACTCGAATGGAGTGGAAAGGACTCGAATGGAAAGGAATGGAATGGTATGGACTCGAAAGCAATGGAGTGGAATGGAGTTGAATGGAATGGAAAAAAAATTCATGGACTCAAATCGAATGGAATGTAATGGTATGGAATGGAATGGCATGGAATGGAATGGAATGGAATGAAATGGACTCCAATGGAATGGAATGGAATGGAATGAACCCTCATGGAATGGAATGGAGTGGAATAGAATGGAATGGAGTGGAATAGAATGGAATGGAATGGAATGGAACGGAATGGAATGGAATGGAATGGAATGGAATGGAATGGAATGGAATGGAATTGGATGGACTCATATGGAATGGAATGGAATGGACACGAATGGAATGGAATGGACACGAATGGAGTGGAATGGAATGGAAACGACTCGAGTGGAATGGAATGGAATGGAATGGAATCAAATGGAATGGAATTGACTCCATTGGAATGGAATGGAATGGAACCGAATGGAATGGAATGGAATGGAACAGAATGGACGCGAATGGAATGGAAGGGAATGGAACTGAATGGACCAGAATGGAGTGCAATGGAATGGAATGCACTCGAATGGAATGAAAAGGAATGTACCCGAGTGGAAAGGAGTGGAATGGAATGCAATGGAATGGAATGGAATGGAATGGGATGGTATGGATTGGAAAGGACTTGAATGGAATAGAATGGGAAGGAATGGAATGATTTCAAAAGGAATGGAAAGAAATGAACTCCAAAGGAATGGAAAGGCAACGAATTGAATGGAATGGAGTGGACCGGACGCAAATGGAATATATTGGAATTTAATGGAATGGACTATAATGGAATGGAATGGACTCTAATGGAATAGAATGGAATGGAGTCGCATGGAATGGATTGGAATGGAATAGAATTGTGTGGAATGGAATGGACTCGAATGGAATGGAGTGGAATGGACTCAAATGCAATGGAATAGAATGGACTTGACTGGAATGGAATGGAATGATTTGGACTCGAATTTAATGGACTGGAATGGGATGGAATGGAAAGGAATGGAATGGAATGGACTCGAATGGAATGGAATGGAATGGACTCGAAAGGAATGGAAACGACAGGAACAAAATGTAATGGAATTTACTCGAATCGAATGGAAAGTAATGGAATGGAATGGAATGGAATAGACTTGAATGGAAATGAATGGAGTGGAATGGACTCAAATGGAATGGAATGGAATAGAAGGGATTCGAACGGAAGGGAATGGAATGTACTCAAATGAAATGGGTTGGAATGGAATGGCCATGAATGGAATGGAATGGAATAGAATCAAATGGTATCGAATTGAATGGAATGGACTGGAATGGAATGAAATGGAATGGATGCCAATGGAATGTAATGGACTCGAATGGAATGGAACAGAACAGAATGGACTCAAATGAAATAGAACGGAATAGAATGTAATGTACTAGAATGGAATGGAGTGGAATGGAATGGACTCGAATGGAATAGAATGGAGTGACATGGAATGGTCTCGAATGAAATGGACATGAATGCAATGGAATGGACTTGAATGGAATGGAAAGGAATTCACCCAAATGGAATGGAATGGAATGGAAAGGAATGGAATGGAATGGAATGGATTGGAATGGAATGAAATGGAGTGGAATGGACTTGAATGGAATAGTATGGAATGGAATGGAAAGGACACAAAGGGAATGGAATGGACTCGAATGAAATAGAATGGAATGGAATGGAAAGGAATGTTGTGGAATGGAATGGACTCCAGTGGTATGGAATGGAAGGGACTCGAATGGAATGGAATGGAATGGACTCGAATAGAATTGAAAGGAATGGACCAGATTGGAATGTACTGGAATGGAATAGAATGGAATGTACTGGAATGTAATGGAATGGAATGTACTGGAATGGAATGGAATTGAATGGAATGGAATGGAATGGAATGGGAGAGAATGGAATGGAATGGAATGGACTCGAAGGGAATGGAATGGAATGGACTCAAATGGAATGGAAAGGACTCGAATGGAATGGAATGGAATTTAATTGAACGGACACTAATGGAATGGAATCTAATGGAATGGAATGGACTCTAACTGAATAGAATGGAATGGACTCTAATAGAATGGAATGCAATGGAATAGACTCGAAAGGAGTGGAATGTCATGGATTCAAATGGAATGGAAAGGAATTGAATTGTCTCGAAAGGAGTGGAATGGAATGCAATGCAATGGACTCGAATGGAATATAATGGAACTGACTGGAAGGGAATAGAATGGAATGCACCCGAATGGAATGTAATGGAAACGAATGGACTTGAATTATATGGCATGGAATGGAATAGAATCGAATGGAATGGAATGCATTTGAATGATCTCAAAAGGAATGGTATGGAATGCAATGGAAAGGGCTTGAATGGAATGGAATGGAACTGACCCGAAGAGAATAGAATAGAATGGACCTGAATGGAATGGAATGGAATTGAATGGATTAGAGGGGAATGAAATGGAGTGGAATGCACTCGAATTGATTGGAATGGAGTGAAATGGAAAGGACTTGAATGGAAAGGAATTGAATGGACTGGAATGGAAAGGAATGGAATGGAATGGACTCGAATGGAATGCAAAGGAATAGACTCGAATGGAATAAAAATGAATGGACTCGAATAAAATGGAATGGAAGGGAATGGAATGGACTCGAATGGAATGGAATGGAATGGACTCGAATGGAATGGAATGGAATGGACTCGAATGGAATGGAATGGACACAAAGGGAATGGAATGGAATGGAATGGACTTCAATCGAACAGAATGTAATGTTATGGAATGGACTAGAATGGAACGGAATGAAATGGAGTCGAATGGATTTGCATGGAATGGAATGGAATTGAATGGAATGGAATGGAATGGAATTTAATGGAATAGAATGGAATGGAATGGACTCGAATGGAATGGAATGGAATGGAATGGACTCGAGAGGAATGGAATTGAATGGAATGGAATGGACACGAATGGAATGGAATGGCATGGACTTGAATGGAATGGAATGGACTCAAAAGGAATGTAATGGAATGGAAACAACTAGAGTGGACAGGAAAGGAATTGAATGGAATGGAATGGACATGAATGGAATGGAGTGGCATGGACTTGAACGGAATGGAATGGACTCGAAAGGAATGGAATGGAATGGAAACAACTAGAGTGGACTGGAATGGAATGGAATGGACTGGAATGGAATGGAATGGAATGGAATAGAATGGAATGGACTTGAATGGAATGGAATGGAATGGACTAGAATGAAATGGAATGGAATGGATTGGAATGGAATGGACTCGAATTGAATGGAATGGAAGCAACCCGAATGGAATGGAATGGAACGGAATGGAATGGAATGGAATGGAATGGAATGATGTGGAATGGAATGGATTTGAATGGAATAGAATGGAATGGAATGGAATGGACTCGAAAGGAATTGAAAGGAATGGACTCGAATGGAATGGAATGGACACAAACAGGAATGGAATGTAACGGAAAGGACTCGAATGGAATACAATGGAATTCAATGGAATTGACTCTAATGGAATGGAATGGAATGGACTCGAATGGAATAGAGTGGAATGCACTGGAATGGAATGGAATGGAATGGAATGGACTCAAAAAGCATGTAATGGAATACAATGGAATGGAATCAAATGGAACAGAATGGAAGGCATTCGAATGGAATGGAATGCAATGGAATGGACTCAAATGGAATGGAATGGAAAGGACTCGAATGCAATGGACTGCAATGGAATGGACTCGAATGCAATGGAATGGAATTGACTCAAACGAAATTGAATGGAATAGACCCAAATGGAATGGAATGAATGGAATGGACTCAAATGGAATGGAATGGAATAGAGTGGCATGTGCACGAATGGAATGGAATTGGATGGAATGAATTCGAATGGAATCGAATGGAATGGACTCGAATGAAATGGGTGGAAATGGAATGGATTCGAATGGAATGAATTGCAATGGACTCAAATGGAAGGGAATGGAATGGATTGGAATGGAATACAATGGAATGGAATAGAATGGAACGGAATGGACTCAAATGGAATGGTATGGTATCGAATGGAATGGAATGGAATGGACTCGGATGGAATGGAATGGATTCGAAAGGAATGGAATGGAATTGAAACGAAGTGTCTGGAATGGAATGGAATGGTATCGAATGGAATGGAATGGAATGGACTCGGATGGAATGGAATGGATTCGAAAGGAATGGAATGGAATTGAAACGAAGTGTCTGGAATGGAATGGAATGGAATGGAATGGAATGGAATGGACAGGAATGGAATGGAATGGAATGAAATGAACTCGAATGGAATGGAATGCAATGGACCTTAAAGGAATGGAATGGAATGGAATGGAAAGGAGTCAAATGGAATTGAATATAATGGACTGGAGTGGAATGGAATGGAATGGAATGGACTCGAATGGAATGGAATGGAATGGACTCGACTGGAATGGAATGGACTGGAATGGAATGGAATGATGTGGAATGGAATGGACTTGAATGGAATAGAATGGAATGGAATGGAATGGAATGGACTCGAAAGGAATGGAATGGATTCGAATGGAATGGAATGAAGATGAATGGAATGGAATGGAATGGATTCGAATGGAATGGAATGGAGACGAATTGAATAGAATGGAATGGAATGGACTTGAATGGAATACAATGTAATTTAATGGAATGTGATGGACTCTAATGGAATGTAATGGAATGGACTCGAATGGAATAGAATGGAATGGATGCCAATGGAATGGTATGCAATGGAATGGACTAGAATGGAATGGAATGGAATTGAACCGTCTCAAAAGGAATGGAATGGAATGCAATGGAAAGGACTCGAATGGAATGGAATGGAATTGATTTGAATGGAATTGAAAGGAATGGAACCGAAAGGAATGGATTGGAATGGAATGGACTCGAATGGAATGGAATGGATCTGAATGAACTCTAATGGAATGGAATGTAATAGAGTGGAATGGAATGGACTCAAATGGAACAGAATGGAAAGAACTTAAATCAAATAGAACGGAATGGAATGGACTCGAATGGAACGGAATGGACACGAATGGAATGGAATTCAATGGAATGGAATCGAATGGAATAGAATAGAATGGAATGGAATGTACTCGAAAAGAATGGAATGTAATGGAATCGAATGGAATAGAATGGAATGGATTCGAATGGAATGGAGTGCTATGGAATGGACCCGAATTGAATGGAATGGAATGGAATGGAATCGAATGGAATGGAATGGAATGGAATGGAATCGAATTGAATGGAATGGAATGGAATGGAATCGAATGGAATGGAATGGAATGGAATGGAATCGAATGGAATGGAATGGAATGGAATCGAATGGAATGGAATGGAATGGAATCCAATGGAATGGAATGGAATGGAATGGTCTCGAATAGAATGGAATGGAATGAACCTGAATGAAATGGAAAGGAATGGAATGGAATGGTCTCGAATAGAATGGAATGGAATGAACCTGAATGAAATGGAAAGGAATGGAAAGGAATGGACTCGAATGGAATGGAATGAATTGGAATGAACCAGAATGGAATGGAATAGAATGGAAAGAAATGGAGGCGAATGGAATGCAGTGGAATGGAATGGACCCGAATGGAGCGGAATGGAATTTAATGAAGTCCAATGGAATGGAATGGAACTGACACGAATGGAATGGGATCGATTGGAATGGAAACGAATGGAATGGAATGGAAAGGAATGAAATGGAATGGTAAGCTATGGAAAGGAAAGCACATGAATGGAATAGGATGGAATGGAATGGAAACGAATTGAATGGATTGGAAAGGACACGAATGCAATGGAATGCAATGGAATGGAATGGAATGGAAAGGATTGGAATGGTATGGAATGCAATGGAATGGAATGGACTTGAATGGAATAGAATGGAATGGAATGGAATGGACTCGAAAGGAATACAATAGAATTTAATGTAATGGACTCTAATGGAATGGAATGGAATGGACTCCAATGTAATAGAATGGAATAGACGCGGATGGAATGGAATGCAATGGAATGGAATCGAATGGAAAGGAATGGAATGGAATCCAATGGAATTGAATGGACTCGAAAGGAATGGAATGGAATGGACTCGAATGGAATGGAATGGAATGGACTCGAATTGAATGGAATGGAATGGAATGGACTCGAATGGAATGGAATGGAATTGACTCTAATGCAATTGAATGGAGTGAACCCGAGTGGAATGGATTGGAATGGAATGGACTCGAATTGAATGGAATGGAATGGTTTGGGCTCAAATGGAATGGAATGGAATGGAATGGAATGGATTCAAATGGAATGGAATGGAATGGACTCAAATGGAATACATTGGAATGGAATGGACTCGAATGCAATGGAATGGAATGGACTCGAATGGAATGGAATGGACTCGAACGGAATGGAGTGGAATGGACTCGAATGGAATGGAACGGAATTGAATTGACTCGAATGGAATGGAATGTAACAGAATGGAATGAACTCGAACGAAATGGAATGTAATGGAATGAAATGGACTCGATGGAATGGAATGGAATGGAATGGACTTGAACGGAATGGAAGGGATTGGAACGGAATGGAATGGAATGGAATGGTATGCAATCAAATGGAATGCATTTGAATTGAATGGACCCGAAAAGAATGGAAAGGAATGGAATGGAATGGAATGGAATGGAATGGAATGGAATGGAATCGAACGGAACTTAGTGGAATGAAGTGGACTTGAATGAAATGGAATGGAATGGACTCGAACGAACTGGAATGGACTCAAATGGAATGGAATAGATTGGAGTGGAATGGAATGGAATAGATTCGAATGAAAGGGAATGCAGTGGAATGAACTCGAATGGCATGCAATGTAATGGAATAGACTCGAATCGAATGGATTGGAGTGGACTTGAATGGAATGGAATGGAATGGAGCCAAAAGGAATAGAACGGAATGGAATGAAATGAAATGTAATGGAATGGAGAGGAATGGAATGGAATGGAATGGAATGGACTCAAATGGAATGGAATGGAATGCAATGGACTCAAGTGGAAATGAATGGAATTGAATGGAAGGGACTCAAATGAAATGGAATGGAATGGACTCGAATGTAATGGAATGGACTCGAATAGATTGGAATGGAATGGAATGATCTCGAATGGAATGGAATGGAATGGACTCAAGTGGAATGGAATGGAATGGACACGAATGGAGTTGAATTGAATGGAATGGACTCGAATGTTATGGAATGGAATGGACATGAATGGAATGGAATGGAATGGACTGTTATAGAATGGAATGGAAAGGAATTCACCAGAATGGAATGGACTCGAATAGAATGGAAAGGTCTCGAGTGGAAAGGAATGGAACGGAATGCACTCGAATGGAATGGAGAGGAGTGGATTCGAATGGAATGGAATGGAATGGAATGGATTTGAGTCGGAGGGAATGTAATGGTATGGAATGGACTCGAGTGGAATGGACTCGAATGGAATGGAATAGACTCGAATGGAATGGAATGGACTCGAATGGAATGGAATGCAATGGAATGGACTCGAATGGAATGGAATGGAATTGACTCGAGTGGGATTGAATGGATTGGACCTGAATGGAATGGATTGGAATGGAATGGACTCGAATTGAATGGAATGGAATGGATTGTGCTAAAATGGAATGGAATGGAATGGAATGGAATGGAATGGAATGGAATGGAATGGGTTCGAATTGAATGGAATGGAATGGACTCAAATGGAATAGCATGGAATGGAATGGACTCGAATGCAATGGAAAGGAATGCACTCGAATGGAATGGAATGGACTCAAAAGCAATGGAGTGGAATGGAATCGATTGGAATGGAATAGAATTGAATGGACTCGAATGGAATGGAATGTAACGGAATGGAATGAACTCGAATGGAATGGAATGTAGTGGAATGAAATGGACTCGAATGGAATGGAATGGAATGGACTCGAATGGAATCATCATCGAATGGAATCGAATGGAATCATCGAATGGAACAGAATGGAATCATCATCGAATGGAATCGAATGGAATTATTGAATGAAATCGAATTGAATCATCATCGAATGGAATTGAATGGAATCATCATCGAATGGAATTGAATGAAACCATCAACGAATGTAATCAAATGGAATCATCGAACAGAATCTAATGGAATCATCATCGAATGGGACAGAATGGAATCATCATCAAATGGAACCTAATGGAGTCACCACCGAATTGAATCGAATGGAGTCATCATCAAATGGAAACAAATGAATCGTCATCGAATGGAATCATCATCGAATGGAACTGAATGGAACGATCGACTGGAATAGAATAGAATGAACATCGAATGGAATCAATGGGAATAATCAAATGGAATCGAATGGTATCATCGAACAGAATTGAAAGGAATCATCAATTGGACTCGAATGGAATCATCACCAAATTGAATTGAAAGGAATCTTCGAATGAACTCTAATGGAATAATCATCGAATGGAATGGAATGGAATCATTGAATGGACTCTAATGGAAACATCATTGAATGAAATCGAATGGAATCATCAAACGGAAACGAATGGAATAATCATCATATGGAATCGAATGGAATTATCAAATGGAATCGAATGGAATCATCATTGAATGGAATAGAGTGGGATCACAGAATGGTATCGAATGGAATCATCATCAAATGGAATCAAATGGAATCTTCGAATGGACTCGAATGGAATCATCATTGAATGGAGTCGAATGGAATGATCATCGAATAGAATCGATTGGAATCACCGAATGGAATCGAATGGAATCATCATCAAAAGGAATCGAAGTGAATCATCAAATGGAATCGAAAGGAATCATCGAATGGAATCAAATGGAATCATCATCGAATGGAATCGAATAGAATAATCATCAATTAATGGAATTGAATGGAATCATCGAATGGAAACTAATGGAATCATCATCGAATGGAATCGAATGGAATCGTCATCAAATGTAATTGAATGGAATCATCAAATGGAATCGAATGGAATCATCATCAAATGGAATCGAAGTGAATCATCAAATGGAATCGAATGGAATCATCAAATGGAAACGAATGGAATCATCATCAAATTTACTCTAATGGAATCATCATCAAATGGAATCGTATGGAGTCATCGAATGGACTCGAATGAAATCATCAAATGGGCTTGAAAGGAATCATCAATGGAATCGAATAGAATCATCAAAAGTAATCGAATCTAATTATCATTGAATGGAATCGAATGGAATCATCATCGAATGGAAACGAATTGAATAATAGAATGGAATCGAATGAAATCATCGAATGGACTCGAATGGAATCATCATCGAACGGAATTAAATGGAATCATAGAATGGAATTGGAAGGAGTCATCATCAAATGCAATCGAATGGAGTCACCATTGAATGGAAACGAATGGAATCATCATCGAATGGAATCGAATGGACTCATCGAATGAACTCAAATGGAATAATCATCGAATGGACATGAATGGAATCATTGAATGGCATCGAATGGAATGATCATCGAATGGAATCGAATGGAATCATCATCGAGTAGAATCGAATGGAATCATTGAGTGGACTCGAATGGAATCATCATCAAATGGAATTGAATGGAATCATGGAATGGACTCGAATGGTATCATCATCTAATGGAAACTAACGGAATCTTTGAATGGACTCGAATGGAATGATTGAATGCAAGCGAATGGAATCATTAAACGGACTTGAGTGGAATCATCATCTAATGGAATTGAATGGAATCATCATCAAAATGAATCGAAGGGAATAATCATGGAATGGAATTGAATGGAATAATCATTGAAAGGAATCATCTAATGGAATTGAATGGAATCATCATTGAATGGAGTCATCATCGAATGGAATCGAATGGAAGCATCAACAAATGTAATCAAAAGGAGTCATCATCAAATGGAATGGAAAGGATTCATCAAGGAATGGCATTGAATGGAACAATCATCGAACGGAAATGAATGGAATTATGGAGTGCACTCAAATGGAATCATCATCGAATGGAATCAAATGGTATCATTGAATGGACTCAAAAGGAATCATCATTGAATGGAATCGAATGGAATCATTGAATGGACTTTAATGGAATCATCATCGAATGGAATCGAAAGGAATCATCAAATGGACTCGATTGGAATCATCATCGAATGGAATGGAATGGAATCATCGAATGGAATCATCAACAAATGGAATTGAATGGAATCATCGAATGGAATAGAATGGAATAATCATCAAATGGAATCGAATGGAATCATTGAATGGGCTCAAATGGAATCATCATCAAATGGAATTGAATGGAATCATCGAATGGCAGTGAATGTAACCATCATCTAATGCAATGGAATGGAATCATCGAATGGAATCATCGAATGGACTCGAATGGAAATATCATCGAATTGAATCGAATGGAATACTCATGGAATTGAATAGAATGGACTCATCATCAAATAGAATCGAATGCAATCATCAAATGGAATCAAATGGAAACATCAAATGAACTCAAATGGAATCATAGAATGGAATCGAATGGAATCATTGCATGGAATCATCATCGAATGGATTCGAATGGAATCATCGAATAGACTCGAATGCAATTGTCATCGAATGGAACTGAACAGAATCATTGAATGGACTCGAATGGAATCACCATCAAATGGAATCGAATGGAATCATCATTGAATGAAATCGAATGGAATCATCATTGAATGAAATCGAATGGAATCATTGAATGGCATCGGATGGAATCACCATTGAATGGAATCAAATGGAATCATCGAATGGCCTCGGATGGAATCATCATTGATTGGAATCACATGAAATCATCGAATGGAATCGAATGGAATGATCATCAAATGGAATCGAAGGGAATCATCGAATGGAATAGAATGGAATCATCGAATGGAATCTAATAGAATCATCGAATGGATCCGAATGGAATCATAATCTAATGGAATCGAATGGAATCTTTGAAAGGACTCGAAAGGAATAATCATTGAATGGAATCGAATGGAATCATCGATGGACTCGAATAAAAACATCATCGAATGAAATCGAATGGAAAAATCGAAAGGAATCAAATGAAATCATCATCGAATGGAATCATCTCATGAACTGGAATGGAATCTTCATTGAAAGGAATCGAATTGTGTCATAGAATGGACACGAATGGAATCCTCATGGAATAGAATCAAATGGAATCATCGAATGGACTCGAATGGAATACTCATCACATGGAATCGAATGCAATCATCGAATGGAATGCAATGCAATCATCATCGAATGGAAATTAATGGAATAATCGAATGGAATTGAATAGAGTCACCATCAAATGGATTCGAAAAGAATCATCATCCAAAGGAATCGAATGGAATCAACAAATGGAATCGAATGGAATCATCATCTAATGGAATCAAATGGAATTATCGAATGGAATCGAATGGAATCATCATCGAATTGAATAGAATGGAATCATCATCGAATGGAATTGAAAGGAATCATCATCTAAAGGAATCGAAGTGAATCATTGAATGGAATAGAAAGAAATCATCGAATGGAATCCAATGGAATCATCATCAAATGGACTTGAATGGAAACTTCATCGAATGGAATCATCAAATGGACTCGAATGGAATCATCAAATGGAATCATATAGAATCATCAAACGGAATCGAATGAACCATCATTGAATGGAATGGAATGGAAACGTCAAATGGACTCGAATGAAATCATCATCAAATGGAATCAAATGGAATCAGTGAATGGAATTGAATGCAATCATAATCGAATGGAATCATCGAATGGAATCGTATGGAATCATCATCGAATGGAATCAAATGGAATCATCAAATGGCATCGAATGAAATCATCATCGAATCGAATCGAATGGAGTCATCTAATGGATGCGAATGGAATCATCATCGAATGAAAATGAATGGAATAATCAAATGGACACGAATGGAATTTTCATTGAATGGAATTGAATGGAATCATCATCAAACGGAATTGATTTGAATCCTCATCGGATGGAATCGAATGGAATCATCAAATGGAATAGAAAGGAATCATCATCGAATGGAATTGAATAGAAACATTGAATGAAAACAAATGGAGTCATCATCGAATGGAATCAGAATCGAATGGAATATAATGGAATCATCAACAAATGGAATCAAATGGAATCATCATCGAATGGAATCGAATGGAATCATCAACAAATGGAATCCAATGGAATCATCATCAAACGGAATGGAATGGAATGATCAAATGGGCTCGAATGGAATCATTGAATGGACTCGAATGGAATCATCATCGAAAGGAATCTAATGGAAACATTGAATGGACTTGAATGGAATCATCATTGGATGGAATTGAATGGAATCATCAAATGGACTCAAATGGAATCATCGAATGGACTCTAATGGAATCATCGAATGGACTCGATTGGAATCAGCATTGAATGGAATCGAATGGAATCATCAAATGGACTTGAATGAAATCATCATCGAATGAAATGGAATGGAATCATCATCGAATGGAATCGAGTGGAATCATCATCGAATGGAATCAAATGGGATCATCATCGAATGGAATCAAATGGGATCATCATCGAATGGAGTTGAATGGAATTATCAAAGAATGGAATCCAGTGGTATCATCATCAAATGGAACCGAATGGAATCATCAAATGGACTCAAATGGAATCATTGAATAGATTCGAATGGAATCATCATCGAATGAAATCGAATGGAAAAATTGAATGGACTCGAATGGAACCATCATTGAATGGAAACCAAAGGAATCATCATCTAATGAAATGAAATGGAATCATAGAATGGACACAAATGGAATCATCATCGAATGGTATTGAATGGAATCATCGAAAAGAATCGACGGAATCATGATCAAATGGACTCGAATGGAATCATCATGGAATGGAATCAAATGGAATCATCAATGAATGGAATCCAATGGTATCATCATCAAATGGAACCGAAAGGAATCATCAAGTGGACTCAAATGGAATCATCGAATGGAATCGAATGGAATCATCATCGAATGGAATCGAATGGAAACATCGAATGGAATCGAATGGAAACATCATTGAATGGAATCATCATCAAACGGAATCTATTTGAATCCTCATTGGATAGAATCGAATGGAATCATCAAATGGAATAGAAAGGAATCATCATCGAATGCAATCGAATAGAATCATCAAATGAAAAGGAACGGAATCATCATCGAATGGAATCGAATGGAATCATCAACGAATGGAATCGAATGGAATCATCGTCTAATGGAATCAAATGGAATCATCAACGAATGGAATAGCATGGAATCATCGAATGGAATCTCATGGCATCATCATCACATGGAACCGAATGGAATCATCATGGAGTGTAATCTAATGGAATCATCATTGAATGGAATCCAATGGGATCACTGAATTGAATGGAATGATCATCGAATGGAATCAAAGGGAATCATCAAATGGGATAGAAGGGAATCATAGAATGGAATCGAATGGAATCATCGAATGGATTCAAATGGAATCACCATCAAATGGAAAAGAATGGAATCATCAAAAGGACTCGAATGGAATCATCAAGGAATAGAATCAAATGGAATAATTGAATAGACACGAATGGAATCATCATTTAATGGAATCAAATGGAATCATCGAATGGACTCAAATGGAATCATCATTGAATGGAATCGAATGGAATCATCGAATGACATTGAATAGAATAATCAATGAATGGAATCTTAAGGAATAATCGAATGGACTCGAATGGAATAATCGAATGGACTCGAGTGGAATCATCATCGAATGGAATCGAATGGAATCATCAAATGGACTCAAATGGAATCATCATTGAATGGAATGGAATGAAATCATCGAATGGACTCGAGTGGAATCATCATCGAATGGAATGGAATGGAATCATCGAATGGACTCAAATGGAATCATCATCGAATGGAATGGAATGGAATCATCGAATGGACTCGAATGGAATCATCATCAAATGGAATCTAATGGAATCATCGAAGGTACTGGAATGGAATCATAATCAAATGGAATCGAATGGAATCATTGAATGACATCGAATGGAATCCTCATTGAATGGAATGGAATGGAGTCATCAAATGGAATCCAATGGAATCATCATCGAATGGAATCAAATGGAATCATCAAATGGAATCGAATGGAACCATCGGATGGAATCGAATGGAATCATCATCGAATGGAATCGAATTGAATCATCGAATGGAATCGAATGCAATCATCTCAAACAGAATCAAATAGAACCATCCAATGAAATCAAATGGAATCATCATCGAATAGAATCAAATGGAACCATAGAATGGTATCGAATGGAATCATCATCAAATGGAATCAAAAGCAAAAATCGAATGGATTCGAAAAGAATCATCAAATGGACATGAATGGAATCATCATCCAATGGAATGAAATGGAATTAACGAATGGAATCGAATGGAATCATCATCAAATGGAATCAAATGGAATCATCTAATGGACAGTAATGGAATCCTCATTGAATGGAATCGAATGGAATAATCAAATGGAGACGAATGGAATCCCCATCGAATGGAAGTGAATGGAATCATCAAATGGACCCAAATGCAATCATCATCGAATGGAATTGAACAGAATCTTTGTTGAATAGACTCGAATGGAATCATCAAATGGACTCAAATTGAATCATTGAATGGAATTGAATGGTATCATCACAGAATGAATTGAATGGAATCATCGAATGGTCTCGAAAGGAATAATTATCAAATGCAATCGAATGTAATCACCGAATAGAATCGAATGGAATAATCATCGAATGGACTCGAATGGAATCATCATCAAATGGAATCGAATGGAATTATTGAATGGAATCGAATAGAATCATCGAATGGACTCTAATGGAATCATCGAATGGAATGTAATGGAATAATCAATGAACTCGAATGGAATCATCATTGAATGGAAACGAATGGAATCATTGAATGGAATTGAATGGAAACATCATCGAATGCAATCGAATGGAATCATCACCGACTTGAATAGAAAAGAATCATCAGCAAATGGAATCGAATGGAATCATCATGGAATGGAATCCAAAGGAATCATCATTGAATGCAACCAAATGGAATCGTCATCGAATGGACCGAAAGGAGTCATCATCGAATGGAATCGCATGGAATCATCATCAAATGGAATTGAATGGAACCATCATCAAATGGAATCTAATGGAATCATTGAATGGAATTGAACGGAATCATTATCAAATGAATTCAATGTAATCATTGAATGGTCTCGAATGGAATCATCATCAAATGGAATCACAAGGAATAATCGAATAGAATCGAATGGAATAATCATCGAATGTACTAGAATGGAATCTTCATTGAATGGAATCGAATGGAATCATTGAATGGACTCGAATGGAATCATCATCAAATGGAATCAAATGGAAACATCGAATGGACTCGAATGTAATCATCATCAAATGGAAACAAATGGAATCATTGAATGGACTCGAATGGAATCATTGAATGGACTCGAATGGAATCATGGAATGGACTCAAATGGAATCATCATCGAATGGTATCAAATGGAAAAATTGAATTTACTCGAATGGAATCATCAAATGGAATCGAATGGAATCATCATCAGATGGAAACGAATGGAATCATCATCGAATGGAATCAAATGGAATCATCGAATGGAATCAGATGGAATCATCATCGAATGGAATCAAATAGAATCATCATCGAAAGGAATCAAAGGTAATCATGGAATGGAATCGAAGGTAATCATGGAATGGAATCAAATGGAATTATCATCGAATGGGATGGAATGGAATCATCATCAAAAGGAATCGAAGAGAATCATGGAATGGAATCGATTGGAATCATCGAATGGAATCGAATGGAATCATCATCAAATGGACTCGACTGGAATTATCATCGAATGGATTCGAATGGAATCATTGAATGGACTCGAATGGAATAATCGAATGGAGAAGAATGGAATCATCGAATGGAATCAAATGGAATCATCAAATGGACTCGAATGGAAACATCATCGAATGGAATCAAATGGAATCATTGAATGGCATCGAATAGAATCATCAAGGAATGGAATCTAAGGGAATAATCGAACGGACTCAAATGGAATCATTGAATGGACTCGATTGGAATCATCATCGAATGGAATCAGCGAATGGACTCGAATGGAATCATCAAATGGAATCCAATGGAATCATCGAAAGGACTCAAATGGAATCATCATCGAATGGAATTAAATGGAGAAATCGAATGGAGTCCGTTGGAATCATCATCAAATAGAACCGAATGCAGTCATCATCAACTGGAATCGAATGGAATCATCATGATTGGAATCAAATGGAATCATCATGAATGGAATCGAATGGAATCATCATAGAAAGGAATCGAAGGGAATCATGGAATGGAATCGAATGGAATCATCGAATGGAATTGAATGGAATTATCATCGAATGGACTCGAATGGAATTATCATCGAATGGACTCAAATGGAATTATCATCAAATGGAATCAAATGGAATCATCGAATGGACTCGAATGGAATAATCGAATGGAGAAGAATGCAATCAACAAATGGAATCGAATGGAATCATCGAATGGACTCGAATGGAAACATCATCGAATGGAATCAAATGGAATCATTGAATGGCATCAAATAGAATCATCAAGGAATGGAATCTAAGGGAATAATCGAATGGACTTGAATGGAATCATTGAATGGGCTCGATTGGAATCCTCATCGAATGGAATCATCGAATAGACTCGAATGGAATCATCATCGAATGGAATCGATTGAAATCATCGAATGGACTCAAATGGAATCATCATCAAATGGAATCTAATAGAATCATCGAATGGACTCGAATGGAATCATCATTGAATGGAATCGAATGGAATCATCGAATGTCATTGAATGGAATCATCATCGAATGGAATGGAATGGAATCATCGAATGGACTCGAATGGAACAATCATCGAATGGAATTGAATGGAATCATGGAATGGACTTGATTGAAATCATCATCAGATGAAATCGAATGGAATCATCATCGAATGTAATCGAATGGAATCATCCTCAAATGGAATCGAATAGAATCATCATTGAATGGACTCGAATGAAATCATCGAATAGACTCGAATGGAATCATCGAATAGACTAGAATGCAATCGTCATCAATGGGATCGAATGTAGTTATCATCAAATGGAATCGAAAGGAATCATCTTCAAAAGGAAGTGAATGGAATCATCATCGAATGGAATCGAATGGAATCATTGAATGGAATTGAATGGAATCATCATCAAAAGGAATAGAACTGAATCATCGAATGGATTCGAATGGAATCACCGAATGGAATTGAATGGAATCAGCACCGAATGGACTCGAATGGAATCATCATCGAATGTAATAGAATGGAATCATCGAATGCACTCGAATGGAATCATCGAATGCACTCGAAGGGAATCATCTTTTGGAATCGAATGGTATCAGTGAATGGACTCGAATGGAAAATCATCGAATTGAATCAAATGGAATCATCATTGAAATGAGTAGACTGGACTCATCATCGAAGGGAATCGAATGAAATCATCGAATGGAATTCAATGGAATCATCAAATGGACACGGATGGAATCATCATCGAATGGAATCTAATGGAATCCTGGAATGGACACGAATGGAATAATCATCGAATGGAATTGAAAGGAGTCATCGAATGGACTCGAATGGAATCATCGTCAAATGGAATCAAATGGAATCATCGAATGGCATCAGATGGAATCATCATTGAATGGAATCGAATGGAATCATCAAATGGACTCGAATGGAATAATCAAATGGAATCGAAAGGAATAAACATCGAATGGAATCGAATGGAAACATCGATTGGATTCGAATGGAATCATCATGAATGGAATCAAAAGGAATCATCATCGAATGAAATCGAATGGAATCAATGACAGGATATGAATGGAATCATTGTCGAATGGAATCGAATGGAATCATCGAATGGACTCGAATGGAATCATCATCAAATGGAATAGAAAGGAATCATCAAAAGGAATTGAATGGAATCATCATCGAAAGAAATTGAATGGAATCATTAAATGGAATCGAGTACAATCATTGTTGAATGGACTCGAATGGAATCATCGAATGGACTCGAATGGAATCATCATCAAATGGATTCGAATGGAATCATTGAATGGAATCGAATGGAATCATCAAATAGACTCGAATGGAATTATCATTGCATGGAATCAAATGGAATCATTGAATGGAATCAAATGCAATCATAATCGAATGTAATCATATGGAATCATCAAATTGAATCAAATAGAGTCATCATCGAATGAAATCACATGGAATCATTGAAAGCATTCAAAAGGAATCATCATCGAATGGAATTGAATGGAAACAACGAATGGAATAGAATGGAAGCATCATCAAATGGAATCATCGAATGGACTCGGTTGGAATCATCGTTGAATTGAATCGAATGGAATCATCATCAAATGGAAACAAATGGAATCATCATTGAATGGAATCAAATGCAATCATCATCAAAAGGAATCGAATGGAATTATCATCGAATGGAATCAAATGGAATCATCTTTGAATAGAATCAAATGGAATCATCGAATGGAAACGAATGGAATCATAAACGAAGGGAATCCAATGGAATCATCATCAAATGGAACTGAATGGAATCATTGAATGGAATCGAATCAAATCATTGAATGGACTCAAATGGAATCATCATTGAATGGATTTGAATGGAAACATCGAATGGACTCTAATGGAATCATCATTGAATGGAATCAAAAGGAATCATCATCGAATGAAATCAAATGGAATCAATGAATGGACTCAAATGGAATCATCATCGAATGGAATCAAATGGAATCATGGAATTTACTCGAATGGAATCATCATCGAATTGAAATGAATGGAATCATCAAAATGAATCGAATGGAATCTTAATCAAATGAAACCGAATGGAATCATCGAGTGGCATCAAATGGAATCATCATCCACTGGAATCAAATAGAATCATCTAACAGACTCGAATCAAATCATCATCGAATTGAATCGAATGGAATTATCGAATGGAAACGAATGGAATCATCATGGAATGGAATCAAATGGAAACATCAGCGAATGGAATCGAATGGAATCATCAAAAGGAATAGAATGGAATCATTTTCGAATGGAATCGAATAGAATCATCGAATGAAATCGAATGGAATCATCATCAAAAGGAATCCAATGGAATCATCATCAAATGGAATCGAATGGGATCATCATCAAATGGAACCGAATACAATGATCATCAAGTGGAATAGAATAGAATCATGAATAAAGGGAATCAAATGGAATCATCGAATGGAATCTAATGGAATCATCATCAAATGGAACTGAATGGAATCATCATCAAATGGAACCTAAAGGGGTAATTTTCGAATGGATTCTAGTGGAATGATCATCGAAAGGCATTGAATGGAATTATGGAATGGAATCAAATGGAATCATCATCAAATGGAATCGAATGGAAACATCGAATGGACACGAATGGAATCCTCTTTGAATGGACTCGAATGGAATCATCCTCGAATGGAAACGAATAGAATCATCATTGAATGGACTCTAATGAAATCATCAAATAGACTCGAATAGAATCATTGAATGTACTAGAATGCAATCGTCATCACTGGGATCGTATGTAATTATCATCAAATGGAATCAAAAGGAATCACCTTCAAAAGGAATCGAAAGGAATCATCATCAAATGGAATCGAATGGAATCATTGAATGGAATCATCATCAAAAGGAATTGAAGTGAATCATCGAGAGGTATTGAATGGAATCATCTAATGGAATCAAATGGAATCATCATCGAATGGACTCGAATGGAATCATCATCGAATGGAATAGAATAGGAACATCGAATGCACTCGATTGGAATCATCAAATGGACTCGAAGGGAATCATCGATTGGAATCGAATGGAATCAGCAAATGGACTCGAATGGAATCATCAAATGGAATCGAATAGAATCATCTAATGGAATCGAATGGAATCATCATCAAATGGAATCAAATTAAATCATAGAATGGACACGAATGGAATCATCACTGAATGAAGTAGAATGGAATCATCATCGAATGGAATCAAAAGCAATCATCAAATGGATTCGAATAGAATCATCAAAGGGACACAAATGGAATCATCATCAAATGGAATCAGATGGAATCAACTAATGGAATCAACTGGTATCATCATCGAAATGAATCAAATGGAATCATCTAATGGACTGGAATTGAATCCTAATCAAATGGAATCGAATGGAATCATCAAATGGACAAGAATGGAATCCTTATGGAATGGAATCAAATGGAATTATCAAATGGACTCAAACGGAATCATCATCGAATAGAATCAAATTGAATCATCGTTGAATGGGCTCGAATGGAATCATCAAATGGACTGGAATGGAATCATCAAAAGGACTTGAATGCAATCATAATCAATAGAATCGAACGGAATCAGCATCGAACGGAATCAAATGGAATCATCATCAAATGGAATCAAATGGAATCATCGAATGAAATCGGATGTAATCATCATCGAATGGAATCGAATGGAATCATCATCAAATGGAATCCAATGGAATCACCATCAAATAGAACCAAACTGAATCATTGAATGGACTCGAAAGGAATCATCGAATGGACTCGAATGGAATCATCTTCAAATGGAATCGAATGGAAACATCGAATGGACTCGAATGGAATCATTGAACAGAGTTGAACGGAATCATCATCAAATGGAATCAAATGGAATCATTGAATAGTGTCAAATGGAATCATCATCGAATGGAGTCAAATGGAATCATCGAATGGAATCAAATGGAATCTTCATAGAATCGAACCGAATGGAATCATCTTCAAATGGAATCGGATGGAATCATTGAATGGACTCGAATAGAATCATCATCGAATGGAATCTAATGGAATCGTCATCGAATGGAATCGAATGGAATCATGGAATGGAATAGAATGGAATCATCATCGAATGGAATCGAATGGAATCATGGAATGGAATAGAATGGAATCATCATCGAACAGAATCGAATGGAATCATCATTGAATGGAATTGAATGGAAACATCATCGAAAGGAATTCAATGTAATCACCATAGAATGGAATCAAATGGATTCATCAACGAATGCAATCGAATGGAATCATCAACAGGAATCATCATCGAATGAAATTGAAAAAATCATCGAATGGAATTGAATGCAATCATCATCTAATGGAATTGAATGAAATCATCATTGAATGGAATTGAATGGAATCATCGAAAGGAATCGAATGGAATAAACATCAAATGCAATTGAATGAAATCTTCAAATGAAATCGAATGGAATCATTGAATGGAATTGAATGAAATCATCATCGAATGGAATTGAATGAAATCATCATCACATGGAATCAAATGGAATGATCGAATGGAATCGCACGGATTCATCATTGAATAGAAGTGAATGGAATCATCAAATGGAATCGAATGGAATCATCGAATGGAACCGAATGAAATCATCACTGAATTGAATCAAACGGAATCATCGAATGGAATCAAATGCTATCATCATCGAATGGAATCGAATGGAATCATCATCGAATGGAATTGAATGCTATAATCATTGAATGGAATCAAATGGAATCATCATCGAATGGATGTGAATGGAGTCATCCATTGGAATCGAATGGAATCATCATCAAAGGGAATCAAATGGAATCATCAAATGCAATCGAATGGAAACATCATTGCATGGAATCGTATGGAATCATCATCACATGGAATCAAATGGAATCATCATCAAATAGTATCGAAAGGAATCATCGAATGCAATCGAATGGAATAAATTGAATGGAATCGAATGGCATCATCATCGAATGGAATCGAAAGGAATCATCGAATGGAATCATCATTGAATCATATCAAAAAGAATCCTCGAATGGAAAGAAATGTAATCATCATAGAATGTAATAGAATGGAATTATCATCAAATGGAATCGAACGGAATCATCGAAAGGAATCGAATGGAATAATTATCAAATGGAATTGAATGGAATCATCGAATGGAATTGAATGGAATCATCGAATGGAATCGAATGGAATCATCATCGAATGGAATCGAATGGAATCATGGAATGGAATTGAATGGAATCATCATCACATGGAATCAAATGGAATCATCGAATGGAATCGAATGAAATCATCATCCCATGGAATCAAATGGAATCATCATCACATGGAATCGAATGGAATCATTATCGAATGGTATCAAAAGGAAACATCGAATGGAATTGAATGGAATAAATCTAATGGAATCGAATGGAGTCATCATCAAATGGAATCAAATGGAATCATTGAATGGAATCATCATAGAATGAAATCGAAAAGAATCATCGAATGGAATCGAATGCAATCATCATCAAATGGAATTGAATGGAATCATCAAATGGAATTGAATGGAATCATCATCAAATGGAATCGAAAATAATCATCAAATGGAATTAATGTAATTGTCTTCGAATGCAATCGAATCATTGAATGTAATTGAGTAGAATCATCATCACATGCAATCGAATAGAATAATCAAATGGAATTGAATGGAATCATCATCACATGGAATCGAATGGATTCATCATTGAATGATATTGAAAGGAATCATCAAATGGAATTGAATGGAATAAATCAAATGGAACAGAATGGAATAATCATCAAATGTAATCCAATGGAATCCTCGACTGGAATCATCATCGAATGAAATTCAAAAAAATCATCAAATGGAATTGAATGGAATCATCATTGAATCCAATCATCATCGAATGGAATCAAATGGAATCATCAAAAGGAAGTGAATGGAATAAATATCAAATGCAATTGAATAAAATCCTCGAAAGGAATCGAATGACATCATTGAATGGAATCAAATGGAATCATCATCGAATGGAATCAAACGCAGTCATTGAATGGAATCAAATGGAATCATCTTCACATGGAATCAAATGGAATGATCGAATGGAATTGCATGGAATCATCATCGAATGGAAGCGAATGGAATCATCAAATGCAATCATCTAATGGAAGCGAATGGAATCATCGAATGCAATCATCTAATGGAATCGAATGAAATCATCACTGAATGGAATCAAACGGAATCATTGAATGGAATTGAATGCAATCATCATCGAATGGAATCGAATGGAATCATCATTGAATGGAATCGAATGGAATCATAGAATGGAATTGAATGGAATCATCATCAAATGATGTGAATGCAGTCATCCAATGGAATCGAATGGAATCATCATCAAATGGAATCAAATCGAATCATCAAATGCAATCTAATGGAATCATCATCGCATGGAATCCAATGGACTCATCATCACATGGAATCGAATGGAGTCATCATCAAATGGTATCGAAAGGAATCATCGAGTGGAATCCAATGGAATAAATCGAATGGAATCAAATGGAATCATCATCGAATGTAATCGAATGGAATCATCGAATGGAATCATCATTGAATGAAATCAAAAAGAATCATTGAATGGAAAGGAACGCAATCATCATCGAATGGAATAGAATGGAATCATCATCGAATGGAATCGAACAGAATCATTGAAAGGAATCGAATGGAATAATCATTGAATGGAATCAAATGGAATCATCAAATGGAATCGAGTGGAATCATTGAATGGAATTGAATGGAACCATCATCGAATGGAATCGAATGGAATCATGGAGTGGAATCGAATGGAATCATCATCACATGAAATCAAATGGAATCATCAAATGGAATCGAACGGAATAATCATTGAATTGAATCGAATAGAATCATAAAATGGAATCGAATGGAATCATAATCTAATGGAATAGACTGGAATCATCATCGAATGGAATCAAATGGAATCATCATCGAATGGAATCGAATGGAGTCATCTGATGGAATCATCATCGAATGGAATCGAATGCAATCATGGAATGGAATCAAATGGAATCATCTTCACATGGAATCGAATGGAATCTTCATCACATGGAATCAAATGGAATCATCTAATGGAATTGAATGGAATAATCTTCGAATGGAATAGAATGGAATAATCGAATAGAATTGAATGGAATCATAGAATGGAAACGATTGGAATCATAATCGAATGGAATCGACTGGAATCATCATCGAATGGAATCGAATGGAATCATCGAATGGAATCGAATGGAATCATCAAATGGAATCGAATGGAGTCATCTGATGGAATTGAATGGAATCATCATCGAATGGAATCGAATGCAATCATGAAATGGTATTGAATGGAATCATCTTCACATGGAATCGAATAGAATCATCATCACATGGAATCTAATGGAATCATCATCGAATGGTATCAAAATGAAACATCGAATGGTATCGAATGGAATAAATCGAATGGAATTGAATGGAATCATCATGGAATGGAATCAAATGGAATCATGGAATGGAATCATCATCGAATGAAATTGAAAAGAATCATCGAATGGAATCAAATGCAACCATAATCGAATGGAATCGAATGGAATCATCATCGAATGGAATTGAACAGAATCATTGATAGGAATCGATTGGAATAATCATTGAATGGAATCGAATGATATCCTAGAATGGAATCGAATGGAATCATCGAATGGAATTGAATGGAATCATCATCGAAAGTAATTGAAAGGAATCATGGAATGGAATCGAATGAAATCATAATTGCATATAATCAAATGGAATCATTGAATGAAATCAAATGGAATCATCATCGAATGGAATCGAATGGAATGATTGAATGGAATCGAATGAAATCATCGAATGGAATTGAATGGAATCATTATCGAATGGAATCATCATAGAGTGGAATTGAATGGAATCATCGAAAGGAGTCGAATGGAATAATCATTGAATGGAATTGAATGGAATCCTCGAATGGAATCGAAAGGAATCAACAAATGGAATCAAATGGAATCATCATCAAATATAATCGAATGGAATCATTGAATGGAATCAAACAGAATCGTCATCGAATGGAATCAAATGGAATCATCATCTAATGGAATCAAATGGAATCATTGGAAGGAATCAAATGGAATAATCATGTAATGGAATCGAATGGAATCCTCGAATGGTGTCAAATGGAGTCACCAAATGGAACCGAATGGAATCATCATCGAATGGAATCGAATGGAATAATGGAATGGAATCAAAGAGAATCATCATCGCATGGAATCCAATGGAATCATTGAATGGAATCAAATGGAATAATCATTGAATGGAATCGAATGGAATCATTGAATGGAATCCAATGGAATCATGGAATGGATTCAACAAATGGAATCGAATGAAATCATCATCGAATGGAATTGAATGGAACCATCATCAAACGGAATGAAATGGAATCATCATCGAATTCAATCGAATGGAATCATCAAATTCAGTTGAATGGAATCATCATCGAATGGAATCACTGAATGGAATCGAATGGAATCATCATCAAATGGAATCGAGTAGAATCATCATCGAATGGAATCAAAAGGAATCATCAAAAGGAATCGAATGGAATCATCATTGAATGGAACCAAATGGAATAATCATCAAATGGAATAGTATGGAATCATCGAATTGAATCGAATGGAATCATCAAATGGAATCGAATGGAATCATCATCGAATGGAATCATCATCGAATGGAATCGAATGGAATCATTGAATGGAATCGAATGCAATCATCATCAAAAGGAATTGAATGGAATCATCATCGAATGGAATTGAATGGATTCATTGAAAGAAATCGAATGGAATAATCATCAAAGGGAATTGAATGATATCATCGAATGTAATCATCATCAAATGAAATCGAAAAGAATCATCAAATGGAATCGAATGCAATCATCATCAAATGGAATCAAATGGAATCCTCATCGAATGGAATCAAACGGAATCATCGAAAGGAGTCGAATGAAATAATCATCAAATGGAATCCAATGAAATCCTAGAATGGTATCGAATGGAATCATTGAATGGAATCATATGGAATCATCGAATGGAATCAAATGGAAATAACGTCAAATGGAATCATTGAATGGAATCGAATGGAATAATCATCAAATGGAATCATTGAATGGAATCAAATGGCATCAGCCAATGGAATCGAATGGAATCATCATCGAGTCGAATCGAATGGAATCATCCAATGAAGTCTAATGCAATCATCATCGAATGGAATCGAATGGAATCATCGAATGGACTCGAATGGAATCATCATTGAATGGAATCGAATGGAATCATCGAATGGACTCGAACGCAATCATCATCAAATGGAATCGAATGGAATCATGGATCGGAGTTGAATGGAATCATCATCAAATTGAATCGAATGGAATCATCGAATGGACTCGAATGGAATCAACATCGAATGGAATCAAATGGAATCATTGAATGGAATCAAATGGAATCATCCTCGAATGGAATCGAATGGAATCATCTAATGGAATCAAATGGAAACATCATCGAATGGAATCGAATGGAATCATCGAATGGGCTCTAAGGGAATCATCATCAAATGGAATTGAATGGAATCATCATAGAATGGAATTGAATGGAATCGAATGGAATCATCATCGAATGGAATCGAATGGAATCATTTAATGGAATCATCATCGAATGGAATGGAATGGAATCGTCATCGAATGGACACGAATGGAATCATCATGGAATGGAGTGGAATGGAAACATCATCGAATGTACTGGAATGGAATCATCATCGAATGGACTCGAAAGGAATAATCACCAAATGTAATCAAATGGAATCATCATCGAAAGGAATCAAATGGAATCATCATCAAATGGAATGTAATGGAGTCATCATTGAATGGAATTGAATTGAATCATCATCGAATGGAAATGAAAAGGAACATCATCGAATGGAATCGAATAGAATCATCGAATGGACTCGAATGGAATCATCATCGAATGGAATTGAATGAAATCATCGAATGGACTCGAATGGAATCATCATCAAATGGAATCGAGTGGAATCATCGAATGGACTCGAGTGTCTATTCTGACAGGTCTGGGGATATCTAAATGACTCATGAAAGGCTTTTTTTCCTGTGTTGCTAGAATACAGAACAGATAAGGAATGGACATTTTTAAGAAACTGCAAGGAAACCTAACAAGCCACAGATGCTTAGGGCAAAAATTAGAGTTTACACTTATAGTAGATCACCTTCAGCACAGCAAGAAAAGTTGGAGAAGAGTATTTCAAAAACTAAAACATACAAAATCATTCACGTACATGGGAGAGTATAGAAAGTCACATGTATTCATAGGTTAAGCCACATGCTGACAAATGTCATAAGAAGACCCTACACTTTTACCTTGGTCGATCCCTCCCCTCTGTGCAAGCTCTGTGCAAGAGTGAACTTGAACTTCACTCAGTGCAAGAGTGAACACACACTTTGTGCCAGCTTTAAAGAACCCATCACAAAGCCAGTCTGCATGGCCTAGAGACATATTTTGCTGGACAATGATTACTTGTTTTTCTTTTTGTTTTTCTTGTATTTGCCTGTTTGATTGGTTCCTGACATACAAGAAAATCACTGTCAAAACTTTAGCTTAACATTTGTTATGGAAACAAAAAGACTTCAGTGACACCTTATAAAGCAAACAGTTTTGTAAATCACTTTGGAAAATTTCACTTAAAAAAAATCCTTAACAATATAATAAGTAAAGAAAATTTAAAACCACAAAACATTACTGTGTTTGTAGGGGTGTCTGATTTACAGAGTAACCACATAGTAATTATAATTATTATAATGTACAGTTTTCAAAAAAAGTTTCAAGGCATACAAAGAATGGGAAAGTATGGCTCATTCAAAGGAACAAAACAAATTGACAGAGAATATCTCTAAGGGAACTCAGACATCAAACTTACTAGACAAAGACTTTAAAACAACTCTCTTAATTATACTCAAATGTCAAAAGGAAAACATAAACAAAGAAATAAAGGAATCAGAAAAAATATTAAAAATTAGGAATATCAACAGAGATAGCACAAATTCTGGAGTGGAAAACTACAATGATAAAAATTTAAAAATCACCAGAGGGATTTAAGAGTATATTTGCACATACAGAAGAAGTCATGAGCTTGAAGATAAGAAAATGGAAAATATTGACTCTGAGAAACAGATAAAAAATGAGCAGAGACTAAGGAATTTGTGAGACATCATCAAATAGACCAACATTCATATTCTAGAAGGATAAATTATGTTGTTGAAAACTTTAGCATTCTTTCTTTTCACCTTTCTTTCTTCTTCCCTCCCCCTCCTCCTCCTTTTTACTTTTCTTCCTCTTCCTTGCTCTTCTTCTGTCTCTCCTTCATTATCCCTTTCACTCTGTTTCTCTTTCTCCCTTTCTCTTTTTTCTTTTCTTTCAATTTTCTCAATTACTAAGAGATGTTTAAATACCCTTACCATGTGAGTTGATATGGTTATTTCTCCTTTAATTCTCTTTTGAGATTTATAGTCACTCTAAGTAAAGAGATAACCCAAACATAAGCCTCACAAACAGGCTTCCATACCATTCTTAATTTGGTCCTGTAATTCTTCATTGCTGTATTAACTTTCTGATGCTTTTAAGGATGTTTTATAACAAATTGTTTAGTTTTTTCCACTGGAATGTTTATTCTGAATTATCTAATTCATATTGTAAGTATAGAGGGAGTTTAATATAAAATTATTAAACTGATATTTGTGAAAGAATGTATTTGTGCATTTAACAAATATGTTAAACCTCAGACTGTTATTGGGCAGCTGAGCATACAGCAATAAAAATAACATAATTTTTATGTGTACAATATTTATGGAATACGTTACTGGAACAAATAAATAATTTAGTTAATAACATGACAAAGAACAGAAATTGTATAGACTATAGAGCATAGTAATGGAATAATGAATGATTAAAGTTATTAATATTAGGTAGAAAATGAAGGGTATCTTTGAGAGCAGAACTCAAGGAAGCAAGCAATTTGCCTTATGTGGAAAGAGTTACCTGTGGATAAAGGAGAAACTGAAAAATTTACAAGTCAAGACTTTTTGAGCAAAAACAAAAATATGACTATTAGTCACCAATTCAGTACAGTGAAAAAAAAGTAGAAGAGATATCTTGGAAGTAAACCATGTTGTGGAAGAGCATGTAGGGTTTTGATAATCATGGGATTATTCTGAATTAATTTTAAATGCGATAGGAATATATGAGATAATTTCACCAGAGAATAACATGATTGTGTTTGCATTTCAAAGGGGTGTATCTGGTGCACTGTGTAGAATAAATAGGTTATGTGAGCAAATAAATTGGGAGGCTACTGTAATCCAGAGAAAACAGGTAGTGACTTAGGTGAGAATACTGTGAGGATGAGTGGTAGTAGTGGTGAGAAGTCGTTAGGCCATGGATGTATTTCATAGGACTATCCAAGAGAACTGCAGCTGAATTGGAGTGTAGGGAGTGAAATGGAGAACTCAAAGATGACTCTCAGCACTGGAAGGTGACAGCTGTCACTGAAGCATGCTGATGCCTCTCATTAAGAGAGTTACTTGGGAATGGCAAGATCAAAACTTCTCACTTTCAAATTTATGAAAAATATTGTTTTCAGAACGAATGACTTTGGGATCAGAAAGCCACCATTCTAATTGATGGTTCCACGACTACACGGGCTCACACTCCCAAGAGCAAAAGTAAATCATCACAAAGGTGCTTCCTGATAATTCTAGAGAATGGAGAATTACTGTAACATCTTTCTGATCTTAGGAGAGGTAGCAGTTCCCTTTTTAGCCTAAATGCTATATTTTTTAAAGCTCAGCCAAGAGACTCCATTATAATTTTCAAATGTGTGTAACTTAAATTCTCATATGAAATACCACTATGCTTAAATTAGTCAAAACATTTTCCCCATCTACAACTCTATCTTGTCATCGCAATCATTTTCACAAAAGTGACTGCAGCTCACAGACCCTAAAAGGAGAAAAACCAGGGTAGGTTATCTGATCTAGTTAGTTTCGAAGACAGGATCTAGAGATTATTTAATATGAAATAGGTCACCTGAAATGTTTACTGAAAACAGCTTGGATCAGCCCAGTTTTCTACCACTGAACCATGCATTTGGTTTAAAAAACACAATTCTGGGGAATATCGGCTGCTTCCAACTGTGTTGAAGGTGTTAAAGAAAAGAGCATAAAATTAAAAATGATCATCTGAGGCCTTTATAGTCTCTGCTCAAGAGACTAGAGTCTTCCATTCTTAACGAAACACCCAAATATCTTAATAATTGGGCAAAATCTAAATATCAGAGATAATTTTATCTTGAAGATTGTTAAATTATAATGGTGATTCACTACCTTGCCACGTCTCTGAGTCAAAAATTAGGTCTTTGTTTAAGAATCAATGGTGCTCTGCAACTTGGAAATAGGAAGATTTTAGAAGACTCAAACACTGACTTTCTTGTGTGCAAAAAAAGACGTATTGAGATAAGACAAGTCTTTCCTTGCAAGGATACCTCTAATGCTCATACACCACCTCCCCTAACGTTAATATAGCTTCCAGGTCACTAACCAGTGTCAGAGAGCAGCCCATGCAACTACAAATTCAAAAGATGTCGAACACAGGGTCAAGCCTAGAATAAGAAGTCTTAGCTAATTAAGTATGCTTTTTTCCCCAAATTCATATTAACAAAACTTGGATATGTCAGAGAATGCATTCTAAGTTCACTCAACCTAGGAGGGAGAAACATAATTTTAAATTAAGAGCTGAATTATTCTTGTCCTATCAGAAAGCAAGGAAAACGAAATATCACACCACAGGAGGGATTTCACAAATTAGTGTCAACATCAAAACCTTAAAACAGTCAAGGAGAATGCAGATTCACAATGAACTCTTGTACTTGTTTTGTTCAGAGAAGAGATGGTTCTGAGAGAATGACAGTGAACTAACCCCAGCTGGTTTAGTTGGTGCTTTCAAATGCTGCTTCTGATAAACTCCTTTAGCTAGAATAAATTGATGAGGATTTTGGCATGCGGTATTAGAGATGGTTATTAATTTTGTCCTCTTATTTGCATTGTTCAATATAGTAAATACTAGCTGTATACGGCTACTTCAATTCAAATTAATTACAATGAAATATACTTAAATATTGAATTTTTTAGTCACTGTTGGTTCATTATTGAATACGTTCAGCTAAGATTTCCCATCTAAATACACTAAAAGGTGGCTTAGTTAAATGGTCGTCCACAAATATTGAAGCTGTTGTTAACTCCTGATATATTCTCTGCGAAGAGAATATTCACGAGCCTCCTCCTGAAATCAGCAGCCTAGAGATAGTTTTATAAATTGGATACAAGTTGGAAATCTATACTCTTTAAGTTTTTGAAATATTAGCTTCCCAGGGAAGAAAATCAAATTCATAAGATATGTTAGAACAATTTAACTCAAGACGTTCAAAACTGAAATGACATATTCTACAATATGTGATAAAACCACCCCCTAACAACTTAAAGCAAAACAGGGATTGACCTTAAAGACCTGCCTTTTCCTCATCCACCAGCCTATCAGTTTTCAAATCTTGCATTTTATTTTGAAAGGTCATTATCCCCCTAGTCTCTTGTTTCTAGACTTGGCACATATTTAAGTTTATTACCTCTATCTACTGACTTTTCTCTTTTCAAACAGTATCTATGCCTGCCAAATGTGAACATACAAAAAACAAATCAGAATGTGCCATTCTGATTTAAACTGCTTATTAGTTAATACCCTCAAGATAACATCTGGGTTCTTAGCTGCAATGAGTCAAGCCTACTTACATCTTTTTTTGTGTTTGGCTGCACATTTCCTATCACATCACACTCCAGCAATGCCAAGCTGTGCCGGCCTTCTACCCCATCTCCACTATTTTGCCCTCCGCCGCCGCGGCTTTTTGCCTGCCCCGGCTTTTTGCTCCGCCGCCGCCGCGGCTTTTTGCCCCCCACCCCCGCCGCCGCGGCTTTTTACCCGCCGCGGCTTTTTGCCCCCCCGCCGCCGTGGTTTTTTCCCCCCATCTCACCTCCGCTTTTTGCCCGCCGCGGCTTTTTGCCCCCACCCCGCCTCGGCTTTTTGCCAGCCACGGCTTTTTGCCCCCCGCCACCGCGGCTTTTTGTCCCCCGCCGCCGCGACTTTTTGCCTGCCGCGGCTTTTTACCCCCTGCCGCCGTGGCTTTTTGCCCCCACCCCGCCTCGGCTTTTTGCCCCCACCCCGCCTCGGCTTTTTGCCCGCCTCGGCTTTTGGCCCCCCGCCGCCGCTGCTTTTTGTCCCCCGCCGACGCGACTTTTTGCTGGCCGCGGCTTTTTACCCCCCGCCGCGGCTTTTTGCCCCCCACCACGCCGCGGCTTTTTACAACCCCCCCACCCCCCGCTCCCGCGGCTTTTTGCGTCCCCGCCACCTCCGCTTTTTGCCCCTCCGCCGCCGCGGCTTTTTGTCGCCGCGGATTTTTGCACACCCGCCGCCGTGGCTTTTTGCGCCCCCGCCGCTGCGGCTTTTTGGCCGCCCCAGGTTTTTGCCACCCCGCCGCTGCGGCTTTTTCCCCGCGGTGGCTTTTTACCCCCTGCCCCCGCGGCTTTTTACCCGCCTCGGCTGTTTGCCCCCACCCCGCCTCGGCTTTTTGCCCGACACGGCTTTTTGCACCCCCCCCTCCTTTGCAACCTTAATTTCACTTGAAATCTAATTTCCCACTGCCAAGCCACCTAACATATTTGTATGTTAGACTCTGGGAATTAGGACATGAACATTTTTCGGGGGCCATTATTTTGTCTACAGCAGACAGAATCTACACTGCCTGGGAGGCGCAGAGTGTCCTGGGGGAGGCAGGGCCGGCCCTTCCCTCCATGGACACCCAGCTTTCCCACAGGCCCTACATGTCTGTGGGTTCCCTGCATGACCAGGTGATCTACCCGGACTCAGTGGAGGACATGCGAAGGAACGGCTACTCGGAGCAGGACCTGGAAGCCATCCTGGACATCGTGCACCCGCACCACACCCTGCAGCGGGAGGGAGGTAGGAGGCCTGGGGCTGGCAGCCGCCCTTTGTCCCACCCTGGCCTCTCCCTTGGCCTCCAGGGAGTGAAGATTATCTCAACATCCAGGAGTCTAAAGTGCCAGGTGCCACAGGGGCAGGGCAGAGGGTGCTACCTCTGAGGCCCGCCTACCAGGGAGGACCAACACCACACAGATGGCCCCAGGTGGCATGGGTGCTCTAGGGAAGGGGGCACCTAGCAGGGATGTGCACCTCATTGGGGGACCCAGGATACCCTCTCCCAGAGAAAAGGGGTCTGAGCTGAGCCCTGCAGAATGCTGAGTGGTTACCCCGTCCAGGAGCCAGGGGCAGCAGGGCAGAGTGCGGCCTGCAGGCTTGGAGGTGTGAGAGGCTGGCTCACAGAGGGCCCTCTGGACCAGGCGGGAGCCTAGGCTTTCCCTGAGCGGGATCAGACGCTCTTGGAAGGACCGTGGGGTGGTGGGCAGGGGCAGCCTGGGAGGAGCAGACACATGTGTGCAGTGATGGCTACTGTCAGGAGGTCTGTGCAGATGCTTGGAGGGGGCTGGGGCCAGCAGAGTCGGGTGGATTCAGAGATGAGTTCACTGAAAAGGAGGCCAGACTGAGCTGTTTTCTTGTCCTGGGCTTATCAAGGAATACTGCGTGTCCACAGTGTCTGTCGGGCCGGGAGAGCTGAGGAGGAGAGGGGGGTGCAGCTACAGGGACACAGTAGACGGAGCGTTCAGTTCTGTCTTTGAATTCTGAGCCTCTGGGTTCTGCTTCCAGCCCCCACTGCTGGGTGCGAGATGGCCCTGGGCAAGGACCTCGCCTTGCTGGGGCTCCCCTTCATGGTTCAAGGGCATGGGCACCCAAGCCCTCCCTCGGTGGCAACATGAGAAGAAGTGGCTCCTGCAGGAAATGACCAGGGTGTTGTCACCTGCCTGTGGAGGAAGCGGGAACGCAGGTGGCGATGGTGGTGGAGCAGCCGCTGGCCTGGCCCTGCCTCTTGCTCCTGCTGCCCTCGGCCTGGGAGCACATGGCCCCTCCCGCCTCTGTGGCAGCCTGAATGCCCAGGGCCTGTGGCTGGCCAGCTTGAGCCGTTAGGATGGAGTTGAGCTGCAAGGAACAGAACCGGCCTCCCCGCAGTAGTGGCTAAGATCATCTGTGAGTTTATCCTACTGAGCTGTTAGGTCCCAAGAGAGCCAGGCCACAGTTGCCAGGGCTGGCCCTGCTCTGTGAAGGCCCCAAGTCTCTAGGATTTTCTACCATGTCACTCTGCTGTGTGTGGCCTCCATTCCCAAAGTCACCTCATGATCCAGGAGGGCTGCTACAGCCCTCACATCACGTCCCAGGCTGTAGAATGGAGGAAGTAGAAGGGAAGGGGCAAAAGGTATGTGCCTTCTATCTTTTAAGGAAGTTTCCAGAAGCCACCATATTGAATACTTACAGTTATATCTCATTGGCCACAACTTAGTCTCATGCTCACACCTCACCACAAGACCACCTGGGAAGCATAATCTCTACTCTGGGTGGCCATATACCCTGTCGCCACTTCCAGCCCTGGGCCGCTGGGGAAGGCAGCATGGGCGAGAAGACAGGAGGGGCCACTTCTGCCGCAGCGCCCCGGCCCAATGGAGCAGCCGGCTCACCTGCTTGTTCAAGCAGCCCACTCGAGCCTTGCCAAAGTGCTGGCACGGGGCAGTGACAGGAGGCCCAACCCCTGTGGGTGACAAGCCCCCGGTCTGGGGAGATCACTCAGGCCGCTCTGGAGCTCTGTGCCAAGGAACTGTATGGGTGTCCTGGGGCTGCCATAAACCGCAGGGGTGGATCATCTCCTGGGTCCAGCAGTCCTAGATCCTGGTACCAGCAGGTTGGGTTCCTTCCGGGTGCCATGACAGAAGTATGTGTTCCAGGCCTCTGTCCTCGGCTCGCAGATGGTCCACTTCTCCCTGTATATCTTCACCTCGTGTTCCCCTGTGCACGTCCTCTACCCGCACACCCCCTTTTTATGAGGACACATTCATATTGAATTAGGGTCCGCTCTGATGACCTCATCTTAGTGTGATCACCTCTGCGAAGGCCCTGTCTCCAAATAAGGTCACACTGAAGTGTTGGGGCTTGGACTCCACCATGTCTCTTCTGGGGGAAGGCACGATTCCAGTCCCCACTCCTCCATGATTAATGCCTGTCAGACAAGGACGCAGAGGCACAGGGGCCCTGTCCTCACAGCTAGCTCATTCCCGCAGCTCCCCCAGCTCCCCGGCTGGCCCCCAGGTCTGGGTACTGGTGGAACTGAGCCAAGACCATTGCCCCTGCCTAGGTTGGGAGGCTATGTGTGACTGGAAGGACGTCCTGCCGGGTGGCAAGAAGCAGAGAATCGGCATGGCCTGCATGTTCTACCACAGGTGAGCACTCCAGGCTGGCAGGCTCCCTGGGGTCCCCTGGAAGGAGAAGTAGCAGCTGTGGGGAGGCCTGGGCTCAGTGGAGCCTGAGCCGGGTTGGGGTGTTGGGCCCTGGAGGGTGCACAGACTCTCCTCTCGGCCCGGACCCCCAGGCCCAAGTACACCCTCCTGGATGAATGCACCAGTGCCATGAGCATCGACGTGGAAGGCAAGATCTTCCAGGCGGCCAAGGACGCAGGCATTGCCCTGCTCTCCATCACCCACCGGCCCTCCCTGTGGTAGGTGCCCTGTCTCCCTTCCTGGGGTGAGTGGGAGTGGCTGCCTGAGGGGAGGAGGTGGCCTGTTGGGCCAGGCGGCAGCAGCAGGCGGCTGTCATCAGCAGCCCTCGTGCCGTGCCCCTGACCCTGTCCCTCTCCTGGCCAGGGAGTACCACACACACTTGCTACAGTTCGATGGGGAGGGCGGCTGGAAGTTCGAGAAGCTGGACTCAGCGGCCAGCCTGAGTCTGACAGAGGAGAAACAGCGGCTGGAGCAGCAGCTGGCAGGCATTCCCAAGATGCAGCGGCACCTCCAGGAGCTCTGCCAAATCCTGGGCGAGGCCGTGGCCCCAGCGCATGTGCCGGCACCTAGCCCGCAAGGCCCTGGTGGCCTCCAGGGTGCCTCCACCTGACGCCACCCTCCCCAGCCCCTGCCCCGCCCCCAAGCTCGAATCACATGAAGGAGACGGCAGTGCCCACCTGCGCACGCACCCCGCCCCTGCATGCCAGGCCCCTCGTCCTAGAAGACCCTTCCCGACCTCGGGAAAGTAGATGTGGAGGGTGGCGCCCTGCGTAACCCTCACCCTGTCCCTCCCACTCCCTGGGGGGTCTGTTCCACAGTGACTGGGCCCAGTCCAGGGCAGTGAGTCCTCTACTTTGCTCCGTGGAGGAAGCTGGGGTACAAGGGCCCAGTGCTGGCCACGCAGCAGCGCAGCCGAGCCCCAGGAGCCCCTCAGGCCACAGCCCCTGACACAGCAGGTGGCCTCCCTCCTCGTCAGTCTCTCAAAGACCCCACGGTCCATCTCCTGAGGGTGGCCAGCCAAGGCTCCCATCCCATGCGATGCCATAAAAGCCGCCCAGTGGTACCCATGGTCACACAGAGCGCCTCACCTGCATCCTCTCCCCCACAGAAGCCCCGAAGATCCCACGGGAGAGGGACGCACAGCACTGCCTGCAGAGTGAGAATGTAGGCCCCGCCCCCTCGGCCCCTCACCTCCTCTTTCTACAGCCTAATTTATTGGATTCCCTATTCGTAGCCATCTCCGTGGCCAATGTGACTACCCTGCCAGCAGCAGGGGCGGCCCAGCCTCTGAGTCCCCTGGGGCCCCGGCTCCCACTGGTGCCAAACCCAGCCCCTGTGGCCGTCACCCCGCCAGCCTACACTGTCAGCCGCCACCTGGCCACACGGACCTCTGCTTGCTAGCTGGGAGTGCGGACACCATGTTCCCAGCTCAGTGCCAAACAGGGGTCACCAGGGGGAGCTGTCTGCAGAGCCAGCGCCTGCCCGAGAGAGAGCGCCTACCCACCGCCACCGTGTGCCTTTCCCGGGCCCTCAGCCCTCAGGCCGGGTGCCATCCCGAGTCCCCCCAGTAAAAGCCTCCATTGGCAAATGCAGTCCTTCCTCCCTGCCTCAGAGTCTGGTGGTGTCTGCTGCGGGTCTTAGGGAGAGATGGAGGAGAGGGAGTGGGTTGCCTGTGGGGGAAAGAGTGAGTTTGGGAAAGGAGTGGGCCTGACCCCCAAGCCCCTCCGTGGGGGAAAGTCACCAGAAGACATGGTCCAACATGCCCTCCACCGAGCATCACGCCAATGCTCTTAGGATTCCTGTGATGGTGGCGGGGCAGAACCTGCAACAACATTGCACAGAAATAATGGCTGAGCCCAAATAGGACTAGGGGAGGGGATCATGCTGGTCCCTGTGGGAGAAGCACGAAGGCAAGAGAAGGGATGTCTAAGCTGCCACACAGGGTGCTGCTGGCCCTTCTAGGGAGAGGAGGCCACTTGTGCAGGGGCCTGGGGGGGGAACTGGGAGCACAGTGCAGGGTGTTCGTGCTGCATGCAGGGGAAGGGAGGGCAGGGGAAGGGAGGGCTGCGGCTGGTGGGCCTTGGAGGACACACTACAGAGACAGGACTTAGCCCAGAGTCCACCGAGGAGCTTTCGACAACAGGGAAGCAGTGTCGAGTACTGCAGGCCACGTGGCTGCATGTGAGGGTGGCTGGTGGGAATAGAGTGCAGCAGCCCATCTGGCCTCAGAGGCATGAGAACTGAGAACAGCTGTGCGGCCATACCTTTATGCATGGATGGCCATAGCCTCCCAAAGGTGGGACAGCCTGAGTGTTCATCAACAGACAAATGGACAAACAGCCTGTCCATAAGGCACAGTGCCATTCCACCATAACACGACAGATAGACCTCAAAGAGTTCATGCTGGGTGAAAGAAGCCAGACACAAATGTCCAGAATAGGCTCATCAGGACAGAAAGCAGATGAGTGGGTGTCAGGGGCTGGGGCAGGGGAAGGAAAATGGGGCAGGAGCAGTCCTTTTCAAAACATTTTCTATTTATTTTTTATTTTTTAATGAGACAGACTGGGTCTCACCCTGTCACCCAGGCTGGAGTGCAGTGGTGCATTCATAACTCACTGCAGCCTTGATCTCCCGGGCTCAAGCAATCCTGCCCCAGCCTCCTGAGTAGCTGGAACCACAGGCGTGTGCCACCATACCCTGCTAATTTTGTGATTTTTTTTTTTTTTTTTGTAGACAGGATCTCACTATGTTGCCCAGGCTGGTCTCAAACTGCTGAGCTCAAGCGATCGTCCTGCCTCAGCCTCCCACAGTGCTGGATTACAGGCATGAGCCACCACACCCAGCCTCGGGTTTCTTTTTATTTCGAAGAAAATGTTCTGGAACTATAGAGCATACTAAATGCCACTGAATTGTGCACTTTAAAGGGATTGATTGTATATTTTGTGAATATCACCTCGAAAACAGACAGATAGATGATTGATGGATAAATTGATACATAGATATATAGATATATAGACATGATGTAGATAATTGATAGATGATGGATGATTCATAGGTGCTAAGTGATAGATAAAATACATGATAGATACATGGATAGATAGATGAATAGAGAGAGATGATAGATGATTTAAAAATTTTTTTTAGAGATGAGATCTCACTATCTTGCCCAGTCTGGACTTGATCTGCTAGCATCAAGCAGTCCTCCTGCCTCAGCCTCCTGAGTTACTGGGACTACAGGCACATGCTACTGTGCCTGGTGATAGATAAATTATTGAAAGATAAACATGATAGAGGCATAAATGATAGATAGATGGATAGACATGATAAAGGGTAGATAGGAAGATACATGGGATAGATCAATGATTGATTATAGAAGTAAATTATATAGATTAACAGATTATTGATTATAGATTAATAGGTGGATAGCTGATTGATAGATGATTGATCGATTGATTGGTTGACTGATTGATGGAGAGAGACAGAGAAGCAAGCATAGCCATTGCAGCCACCCAGACAAGACATGCTGAGGCCTGGAGTTCCAGAAGGTTCGAGCAGTTGGAAGAACTTGACAGGCATGGGGGCAGCTTCTTCAGGGAGTGGAGGGGGCAGCAAGGTACCACTGAGTTCTGGTTGGAAGGTTAGGTGAGCGACAGCACCCTTGGTGGACAGAGGCAGCTCCAAAGGGGGGGAAGGCCTGGGGAGCAGGTGCAGCCCGAGGGGATGGTGCGTAGGCAGTTTGTTCAGAGCTTGGGGCTCCTCAGTGGGACATGGGTCAGCAGGGAGGCCAGTGGTCATTGAAGCTTGGATGGAGACAGCCTGGCTGAGGGGAGGGGCATGCTTGGCATCTCATTTAGGGGACAGGAGGTAGACTGTTTACCTGTATTTTGAGATTACGATTTATTCCTGATCCCAGGAGGTGGCCGATTCGGAGGGCTGGGAGTTGTTCCTCCATTTCTTTTGATGATTGTGTAAGTCACCCATGCTTGATCATAAACCCCTTTTGTTTATTTTTGACACATAGCTGGAATGGCTCTAATTACTACAGATAGAAGGAGACACATCTGGCAAAGACCATCCAAAAGGAAGCTAGTGGAGAGAAGCTCATATCGCACAAAGTAGGCTCCAGGGCAAAATCATTATTAGGATTAAAAGTGGTTGCAGCATACTGATGAGTATTCATTCCAAAGCATTAACTGGTGGGGGAGGGGTGGGGGAAAAAGGATAAATACATAAATAATTTAATTATTTTCAAAGAAGTATTAGCGGCCAGGCATGGTGGCTCACGCCTGTAATCCCAGCATTTTGGGAGGCCAAGGCAGGCAGATCACCTGAGGTCAGGAGTTCGAGACCAGCCTGAACAACATGGTGAAACCCCATCTCTACTGCAGTACAAAATTAGCCAGGCCTGGTGGCCCATGCCTGTAGTCCCAGCTACTAGAGAGGCTGAGGCAGAACTGCTTCAACCTGGGAGGCGAAGTTTGCAGTGAGCCAAGGTCAAGCCATTGCACTCCAGCCTGGGCGACAGGGAAAAAAAGAAAAAAAAAAAAAAAGAAGCATTAGCCATTCTGATCTTGTGTGCACCTGCATAATGATAGAGCCTCAAATGACTACAAAACAAAAAAGTGTCAAGAAAAGGAAAAATTAATAAATGAGCAAATTCTCCACGCAGGAAATTATACTACTTCTCACTGGAACTGCTGGTTTAAGCAGGCTCAATTAGGAAGAATATAGAAAAATTGGGCCAGGCATAGTGTTTCATGCTTGTAATCCCAACACTTTGGGAGGCGAAAGCAGGCAGATTACTTGAGGTCAGGAGTTTGAGACCAGCTTGGCCAACATGCTGAAAATAAAATAAAAAATACAAAAATGAGCCAGATGTGGTGGCTCATGCCTGTAATCCCAGCTACTCGGGTGGCTAAGGCAGGAGAATCACTTGAACTTGAGGTTTCAGTGAGCTGAGATCATGCCCCTGCACTCCAGCCTGGGCAACAGAGTGAGACTCTGTCAAAAAATAAAAATAAAAAAAAGAATATGGAAAAGTTGAACAAACTTGATTTAGTGGGCACCCAAAAACTACAGACCACACATTGTTTTCAAGTTCACCTTGGACATTTACTAACACTCACCATGTCCTAGGCTGCAAAACAAGACTCAACAAATAGCAAAAGAACTTGCATCACACCAGCCATGTTCTTGATGCAACAGAATAAAGGCATAAATTGGCAACCAAACTAAAATTAAGGGCTCCCCTATGTTTGGAAATTTAAAGATACACTACTGGCCAGGCACGGTGGCTCACACCTATAATCCCAGAGTTTTGGGAGGCCAAGGTAGGAGGATCCCTTGAGCCCAGGAGTTCAAGACCAGCCTGGGCAACATAGTGAGACCCCCCATCTCTATAAAACTAAATTAAATTATTTTTTAAATTAAAAAAATAAAAAATAATGCACTGGTCCGAGAAGAATTAGAATGAAAATCTAAAAGCATTTAGAACCGAACAATGAAAACTATGTACAAAAGCTTAAGCCATGTAGCCCAAGCAGTACTGCAAGGAAATTTTTTTAAAAAAAAGTGTGGCCAGACGCAGTGGCTCACGCATGTATTCCCAGCACCTCGGGAGGCCAAGGCGAGCGGATCAACTGAGGTCAGGAGTTAGAGACCATCCTGGCCAACATGAAGAAACCCCATCTCTACTAAAAATACAAAAATTAACTGGGCGTGGTGGTGAGCACCTGTAATCCCAGCTACCTGGGAGGCTGAGGCAGGAGAATTGCTTGAAACTGGAAGGTGGAGGTCGCATTGAGCTGAGATCGTACCGCTGCACTCCAGCCTGGGCGAGAAGAGTGAAACTCCATCTCAAAAAAAAAAGTGTAAAAAATAGAAATAATATTATGAAGTACAGAGGGATCTCCCTGCAGGCACCACTGGGAGCTGAAACATCAGGGGCACCTGGGGGGTGAAAGACATGAGTGGGAACAACTTCAGCCCTTGCTTCTCCTCCAAACACCTCTAAAAGGAATGCAAAGGGATTGCAGATGTAAAAGGGAAGAGTTCACAGCAGAGAGTGAGAGGAGCGCCTGCCAGGAACATCACAGAAGCTGGAAAACAAGTGGGGGAGTGACAACTGATTCAAGGGATCAGCGTGAACTTGGAAAAAAGTGGTGGGAAGCACCAAGGGCACGTGCCCACAGAGGAAAGGCCACATGAGGCCACCACCCAGAATAGAGGCCTTGGAAGAAACCAACCCTGCTGGCACCGTGATCCTGGGCTTCCAGGCTGCAGGACTGTCAGACCATTACGGTGTTGGACCGACACTGTAATGAAAGAAGTAGTGATAGCACACATGGCTGTTTCGCTCCAGTTCTAAAAGGGGGAAGGATGCCAGGTGTGGTGGTCTCCAGAAGGCCCTTCCATGTTTCTCTGTGGCACCCGCAGTGCCTGGATGTCAGCACTGGGAGAAACCGCCTCCAGATTCATCTGTAAAATCCGAGCATCAGTGAGCTCAACTCTCCCGCTTTCTCAGCTCTCTGTTTCCATTAGGTTTGGTTGATCTGGGTGAGGGCCAGCATCAGAGGTAAACCCAAATCTGTTCTCTGTGGACTGACCTCTTCTCCCTTCTCTTACATGTCTGCCATGTCCACTAGCCTGTGAGCTTCAGGAGACAAAGCAGCATGTTACTTCTTCCTGATACCCCCGAAACTTGCACAGTACATGCTATAAAATGCAGATTCATTGAGGGCTCTTTGCATTACAATTTTGAGAAAGAATCATGAACCATGATTTAACGTCTCTTTCCATCAAACCCCAGGCCCATAGAGCAATTGTCTTTACCTGTGATGCACACCTCCTACCTGTCCTCCCACCTGTCCTCCCCGCAGCCCGGCATCTCTGTCCTGCAGACCAAACACAAAACTCATTGCCATCCCTCTTCAACCTGGCTTCCTTTCTGACTTCCCTTCAGGTGCCCCAGGCAGAACCATGGGGATCATCTGACCCTCTGTCTCCCTCATCCTTCCCTATCCCACCAGCCCGTGTCCTACTGACTCAGTCCTTAAAGTCCCTCTGGCTCCCCACCGGATCCTCAGTGTCTGGTAGTACGGTGCCTGACGTGGGAGGTACACAGCGACCACTAGGTGAATACAAGAATGATGTGATTGGCCAGGCGCTGTGGCTCATGCCTGTAATCCCAGCACTTTAGGAGGCCGAGGCAGGCGGATCACGAGGTCAGGAGATCGAGACCATCCTGGCTAACAGGGTGAAACCCCGTATCTACTAAAAATACAATTCTGGTCATGCGCAGGTACTATTCATCAAGAAAGGTATTACAACTTCAGAAATGTGTTCAAAATGTATCCATACTTTGACATATTAATGAAGTAATCACATTCTACACAAAACTACTCCATATGGAATATTGGGGAGGGGGTGTTCCAAATAAAGAGACTGAGGATTTCTCATGAGAACTCAGTGTCTGCTAGAAAATATCTAAGTAAAATATTTTACTTATGCAGAAAGTGTGGATGTTTGTGCATCAAAAGTTTCAAGAATCCCTAAAATGTACAATGGAGATGAGGAGAAAATATCAGAATTTCCCAGCACCAGAAATGAGGCAAGAAAAAATTCAGAGGAGTTGTAAATGTGAAAAGCCAATGGCTGGTCACACAGCAACATTGATAACCTTGTGCCAGGACAACTAGAATAAATACATAAACATACAGATTGAAAATATTTCCAATATTAGATCTCCCTCATGTGAGAACTAAATTATAAAGATTGAAGCATATAAGAAAATAAGCTACCAGAATTTAGGCTACCAGAATAAATTCAATTACACATAAATTTCTGACATTGAAATTGTCACAAATGTTTAAGTTGGTAGTGGAAGACAAAGGACATATAATCTTGGGAGTCCTAGGGCCCTGCCCACTGCCAGTGCCTCCACACTACTACAGCTGATGCTTTCTGGAAAGCACCACCTCCTGGCAGTAGGCCAACCAGCACGAATATAGAGCATTAAACCACTAAAGCTAAGGACCCTCACAGAGTCTATTGCACCCTTCACCACATCCACTGGAACAGGCGCTGGTATCCATGTCTGAGAGACCCATAGATGGTTCACATCACAGGGCTCTATGCAGACAACCCCTAGTACCAGCCCAAAGCCAGGTAGACCTGCTGGGTGGCTAGACCCAGAAGAGAGACAACAATCAATGCACTTCGGCTCACAGGAAGCCATGCCCATAGGAAAAGGGGGAGAGTACTACGTCAAGGGAACACTCCGTGCGACAAAAGAGTCTGAACAACAGTCTTCAGCCCTAGACCTTTCCTCTGACAGAGTCTACCAAAATGAGAAGGAACCAGAAAACCAACCCTGGTAATCTGACAAAACAAGACTCTTCAATACCCCCCAAAGAATCACACCAGTTCATCACCAATGGATCCAAACAAAGAAGAAATCACTGATTTATCTGAAAAAGAATTCAGGTTAGTTATTAAACTAATCAGGGAGGGGCCAGAGAAAGGTGAAGCAAGAAAATCCAAAAAATGATACAATAAGTGAAGGGAGAAACATTCAAGGAAATAGATAGCTTAAATTAAAAAAAAATCAGGAAACTTTGGATGCACTTTTAGAAATGTGAAATGCTCTGGAAAGTATCAGCAATAGAACTGAACAAGTAGAAGAAAGAAATTCAGAATTTGAAGACACGGTCTTTGATTTAACCCAATCCAATAAAGACAAAGAAAAAAGAATAAGAAAATATGAGCAAAGCCTCCAAGGAGTCTGGCATTCTGTTAAACGATGAAACCTAAGACTAATTTGTGTACCTGAGGAAGAAGTGAATTCTAAAAGCCAGGAAAACATATTTGGGGGAATAATCAATGAAAATTTCCATGGCCTTGTGAGAGACCTAGACATCCAAATACAAGAAGCACAAATAACACCTGGGAAATTCATCACAAAAAGATCTTAGCCTAGGCACATTGTCATTAGGTTATCCAAAGTTAAGACAAAGGAAAGAATCTTAAGAGCTGTGAGACAGAAGCACTAGGTAACCTATAAAGGAAGACCTATCAAACTAACCACAGATTTCGCAGCAGAAACCTTACAAGCTAGATGGGATTGGGGTCCTTTCTTCAGCCTCCTCAAACGAAACAATTATCTGCCAAGAATTTTGTATCCAGCAAAACTAAACATCATATATGAAGGAAAGATACAGTCATTTGCAGACAAACAAATGCTGACAGAATTTGCCATTACCAAACCAGCACTGTAAAAACTGCTAAAAGGAGCTCTAAATCGTGAAACAAATCCTGGAAACACATCAAAACAGAACTTCATTAAAGCATAAATCACACAAGACCTACAAAACAAAAATACAAGTTAAAAAGCAAAAACAGAAAACAAAAACAATGTACAGAGGCAACAAAGAGCATGATGAAAGCAATGGTACCTCACTTTTTAATAGTAATGTTGGTTGTAAATGGCTTAAATGCTCCACTTACAAGATACAGAACCACAGAATAAAGAACTCACCAACTAACTATCTGCTGCCTTCAGGAGACTCACCTAACACATAACAACTTACATAAACTTAAGGAAAGTGGTAGAAAAAGGCATTTCATGCAAATGGACACCAAAAGCGAGCAGTGATAGCTATTCTCATATGAGAAAAAACAAACTTTAAAGCAACAGTAGCTAAAAGAGACAAAGACAGACAGTATAAAACGGTAAAGGCCTCATCCAACAGAAAAATATGACAATCCTGAACATACATGAACCTAATACTGGAGCTTCCAAATTTATAAAACAATTACTAGTAGACATAAGAAATGAGATAGACAGCAACACAATAATAGTGGGGGCCTTCAATACTCCACTGACAGCACTAGACAGGTCATCAAGACAGAAAGTCAACAAAGAAACACTGGATTTAAACTATACTTTGGAACAAATGGACTTAACAGATATATACAGAACATTTCATCCAACAACCACAGAATACACATTCTATTCCACAGCACATGGAATTTTCTCCAAGATAGACCATATGATAGGCCATAAAATGAGTCTCAATAAATTTAAGAAAATTGAAATTGTATCACGCACTCTCTCAGATCACAGTGGAATAAAACTGAAAATCAACTCCAAAAGGAATCTTCAAAACCATGCAAATACATAGAAATTAAATAACCTGCTCCTGAATGAGCATTGGGTGAAAAATGAAATCAAGATGGAAATGTAAAAAATTTCTTTGAACTGGATGACACAACCTATCAAGACCTCTGGGATACAGCAAAGGCAGTGCTAGGAGGAAAGTTTGTAGCCCTAAACACCTATGTCAAAAAGTCTGAAAGAGCACAGACAATCTAAGTTCACATCTCAGGGAACTAGAGAAGCAGGAACAAGCCAAACCCAATCCCAGCAAACAAAGGAAATAACCAAGATCAGAGCAGAACTAAATGAAATTGACACAACAACAACAACAAAAAATACAAAACATAAATAAAACAAAAAGTTGGTTATTTGAAAAGATAAATAAAATTGATAGACCGTTAGCAAGATTAACCAAGAAAAGAAGAGAGAAAATCCAAATAACCTCACTAAGAAATGAAACAGGGGATATTACAACTGACACCACTGAAATATTAAAGATTATTCAAGGGTACTATGAACACCTTTTGGCACATAAACTAGAAAACCTAGGAGAGTTGGACAAATTCCTGGAAAAATACAACCCTCCTAGCTTAAATCAGGAAGAATTAGATACCTCAAGCAGACCAATAAAGCAAGCAGAAAGATCGAAATGGTAATATTAAAATTACCAACAAAAAAAGCCGAGGACTAGACAGATTCACAGCAGAATTCTACCAGACATTCAAAGGATGTCTTCTTTCATTCAAAGAAGAAATGATACCAATCCTTTCACACTATTCCACAAGACAGAAAAAGAAGAAACCCTCCCTGATTCATTCTATGAAGCCAGCATCACCCTAATACCAAAACCATGGAAGGACATAACCAAAAAAGAAAACTACAGACCAACATCCTTGAACGCAGATGCCAAAATCCTTAACAAAATACTATCTAACTGAATCCAACAACATATCAAAAAGATGATCCACCATGATCAAGTGGGTTTCATACCAGTGATACAGGAATGGTTTAACATACGCAAGTCAATAAATGTGATACACCAAATAAACAGAATTAAAAAAAAACTCACATGATTATATCAACAGATGCAGAAGAAGCATTCGACAAAATCTAGCATTGCTTTATGATTAAAGCTCTCAGCAAAATAGGCATACAAGGGACATACCTTAATGTAATAAAAGCCATCTGTGACAAACCCACAGCCAACATAATACTGAATGGGGAAAAGGTGAAAGCATTCACTTTGAGAACTGGAACAAGACGAGGAGCCTACTCTCACCACTCCTCTTCAACATAGTACTGGAAGTCCTAGCCAGAGCAATCAGAAAAAAGAAGGAAATAGAGGAAATCCAAATTGGTAAAGAGGAAGCCAAACTGTCACTGGTTGCTGACGATATGATCTTTCGCCTTGAAAACCCTATGGACTCCTCTAGAAAGCTCCTAGAACTGATAAAAGAATTCAGCAAAGTTTCCAGATACACGATTAATGTACACAAATCAGTAGCTCTTCTATACATCAACAGCTACCAAGCAGAGAATCACATCAAGAACTCAACCCCTTTTACAATAGCTGCAAAAAACAAAAAAGCAAACAAAAAAAACTTAGGAATATACCTAACAAAGGAATCAAAAGACCTCTACAATGAAAATTACAAAACACTGCTGAAAGAAATCACAGATGGAGCCAAGCACGGTGGTGCATGCCTATAATCCCAGCTACTCGGGAAGCTGAGGCAGGAGAATTGCTTGAACCCGGGAGGCAGAAGTTGTAGTGAGCTGAGATCACACCAATGCACTCCCACCTCAGCGACAAGAGCGAAACTCCCTCTGAAAAAAAAAAAAAAGACCAAGAAAGAAAAGAAATCTTAGATGACACAAACAAATGGAAATGCATCCCCATGCTCATGGATAGGTAGAACCAATATTGTGAAAATTACCATTCTGTTAAAGGCAATCTACAAATTCAATGCAATCCCCATCTGAATACCATCATCATTCTTCAGAGAATTACAAAAACAATTCTAAAATTAATATGGAACCAAAAGAGAGCCATGTAGCCCAACCAAGGCTAAGCAAAAAGAACAAACCTGGAGGCATCACACTACTTGATTTCAAACTGTACAATAAGGCCATAGTTACCAAAACAGCATGGTACTGGTTTAAAAATAGGCACATAGACCAATGGAACAGAAGAGAGAACACAGAAATTAACCCAAATACTTACAGCCAACTGATCTTCGACAAAGTAAACAAAAACATAAAGTGGGGAAAGGACACCCTTTTCAACACATGATGTTGGGATAATTGGCGAGCCACATGTAGGGGAATAAAACTGGATTCTCATCTCTCACCTTATACAAAAATCTACTCAAGATGTATTAAGGACTTAAACCTAATTCCTGAACTATAAAAATTCTAGAAGGTAACACTGGATAAACCCTTCTAGACATTGGCATAGGCAAGGATATCATGACCAAGAACCCAAATGCAAATGCAATAAAAACAAAGCTAAATAGCTGGGACTTAATTAAACTAAATAGCTTTTGCATGGCAAAGGGAACAGTCAGCAGAGTAAATAGACAAATAACAGAGAGGGAACCCTGACCCTGACCCCTGACCCTGACCCCGACCCCTGACCCTGACCCCTAACCCCTGACCCTGACCCCTAACCCCTGACCATAACCCTAACCCCTAACCCTAACCCTAACACCTAACCCCAACCCTCACCCTCACCCTAACCCAACCCTAACACCTAATCCCTAACCCCTAACCTCTCTTAACCCCTCACTCTAAACGTTGACTCCTAACCCCTAACTCTGACCCCAACTTCTATCTCCAACCCCTAACCGTAAACTTAACCCCTAACCCCTAACCCTAACACCAACCTTAACCCTAGGTTCATTACTACGTTTGTATTGACTATGTCAATGTTGATTATTATGATCGCTGTCTTAGGACTGCACGGCAGCGAGGGGATTGTGGATCTTATATTAATGTTTTTGTATTGAGGCAGTGCATTAGCACTACAGGTGCTTGTTACATGAGCAATGGGGGTGTCATATTTTGGGTGTCATGTCTGCATTAGGAATGCTGCATTTGTCTTCCGAGACTGCGGTGTGGATCTCGCACTGCGGCCACCTCGCCTTGGCAGGGGAGAAACTCAGTGGGCAGGATTCAGAGGGGCTATTGGTTTCCCGTTTTCCACACTGAACCCGTCTGACTGGTCTCTGACCCTGATTATTCAGGGCTGCAAACAGGAAGGATTTTATTCACCGTCGATGCGGCCCCGAGTTGTCCCAAAGCGAGGCAGTGCCCCCAAGGTCTGTGCTGAGGAGAACGCTGCTCTGCCTTTGCGGTGGCCCCCCAGGTCTGTGCTGAGCAGAACACACCTCATCCTGTGCTGAGGAGAAGGCAGCTCCGCCCTCCCAAAGGCACACAGCGCCAGCGCAGGGCGCCGAGAAGCGCACCCGAACCCGAATCCTAACCCTAACGCCGTCCTAAGAGCCCTGGGGAGACCTTAGGGAACAAGCATTAAACTGACACTCGAGTCTGTAGCCGGATCTGCCAAAAGACTTGGGGTTGGGGTGATATGAGGGCAAGGGTCAGGGAAGAAAGCGTTCTTGTTTTAGACCCACAGGAAGATCTGTGAAGTGCACTTGGGTAGAGCATATGTTGCCTGGCGTGCGCTTGAAAAGAGCCTAAGAAGAGGGGGCGTCTGGAAGGAACTGCAACGCCAAGGGAGGGTGTCCAGCCTTCCCGCTTCAACACCTGGACACATTCCGGAAAGTTTCCTCAGAAAGCCAGAAAAATTAAAAAAAAAAAAAAAAAAATCCAGAGGGCGGGGGGTGGGGGAGGGGCTAATGGGGCTTTACTGGGACTATCTGTCTTAGTCCTCCAAAGAACCCTACCATAGCAGCCCATCAGTCCTCTGAGACAGGTGAGGAACCTGAGATCACAGGGGGACACCCAGAAGGTCCAAGCAGAGCACCCTAGGCCCCCCACACCTCCCCTCGTGGCAGCTCCAACCCCAGCTTTTTCACTGGTAAGGCACGTCGGCTGCTGGGCCACGCCCACTCCCCCAAGCGGGAGTTTGATAAACAAACTGTTAATTATTATTACCTATATCTGGATGGGTTATGAGTGAATTTTTTTAAATTTATTTTTATTTATTCTTTATTTATTTTTGCGGGGACAGAGTCTTGCTCTGTCACTCAGGCTGGAGTGCGATGGCATGATCTCAGCTTACTGCAACCTCCACCTCCTGGGTTCAAGGAATTCTCCCACCTCAGCCTCCCAAGTACCTGAGACACAGGCGTATGCCACCACTCCCAGCTAACTTTTGTATTTTTAGTTAGAGATGGGGTTTTGCCATGTTGGCCAGACTAGGCTTGAACTCCCGATGTCACGTGATTTGTCCATCTCTGCCTCCCAAAGTGTTGGGATTACAGGCGTAAGCTACCGCACCCAGCCTAAAGTATATTTTTGTTTTCAAAAATTGTGTGGTATGCATGAGTTTTATAGCAAGAAAAAATTATAACTTATTTTGAATTAAATTCCATTGTTTTAAAATTAAGCAATAGGTGAGCTCGAATTTTAAGCTCCAAAAATGACCAAGAACTTCTTTGATTCCCTTTTAAACCTGTTGTCTGTTTTAGTCACTCATATGGAATCATTCATAGGTTTTTACTTAAAATCTAAACCAAATAATGAAGTAACTGTTTAAATTGTTAGATTGTGAATATGGCTCAGTTGGATGTAAAATGTAACTATTACTTAGGAAAACGATCTGATTTTTTTTAGCAAGCGATATTCTTTCTTTCTGAGAGCATTTCACAAATGTTTCTACCTAATGAATCATACTTTAAAAATAACACTTGTAATTCTTTTTTCTTTTTAGTTTCCTGCCTGCGATGGTTCACATAATAAACACAATGAATTGACAGGAGATAATGTGGGTCCACTAATACTGAAGAAGAAAGAAGTATAATAATAATAACAATATTTTCTCATTCTTTGTGTATAGAAAATTTTAAAATGGTGGTCTTAATTATTACTACTGGTTGAAAAATTATTTCTTCCAATTTATTTTCTTCCTGCACTACTGTTTGTATTTGATCCTTTGTCTATTCAGTCACTTAATTAGAAATTAAATTGTCAAGCCTCTTATTCTGACTTCAAAGGATTAATGTATCTTCCAACAATAAAATCACTTCTGATTTTAATCTAGGAAAACCTAAATTGTGGCTATGGATCCAAAGCTGTTTGTTTCTTTGAATATCAATATTTTCAACAGGATCTTGTTTTTAAAATTCCCGCTTACATTGTTAAATATGTTATTTTTTCATATCTCTTTTGGTTTTGATAATCTGAAGTGTTTTTTTCTCCTTTTGGCCTTCCAAACTGCATTTGTTTAGGTGAATTAAGAAAAATATTGCCATCAAGAATTACTTGTGTTTTCACAGAGATAGACTCTTTGCTTTACAGAGATTGTTGGGTATTTAATATGAATATCCCAGCTTTAGAAAAGAAGTAAACTGGATACAAAAAGTTCCATTGAGGAACAGTTATTTACAGTATAAAAGATTTGTTTACTTTACAAAAGGCTTGTGTCTGTTTGTGTGTGTGTATATTTTAAACTGTTTGACTCAGTGGCAGCTGGGGTGGAATGGCAAGAACACTTACAACCAAGCTCATGGGCTGCTGCAATTTGAAGATCAATTGGTAATAAATATAAGACATATTAATTCATATTAAAATAGTTCTGTGTTCAAAATTGTGGTTATGTGGACATTTTTCTCTTTTTAACAATATAAACCATTAAAATACAGTCATCCCTTGTATACACTGGGGACTAGTTCCAGGGCCACACATATACTAAAATCTGCCCATACTCAAGTCTCACAGAAAGTCTTGCAGAACCCATATGTAGAAAAGTTGGCCCTCCAATTGAACCTCCGTACACATGAGTTTCACATCCCATGCACAAATGCTGATCTGTGTGATCTCACCTGCATTTGACTGAAAAAAGTATGCGCATAAGTGTACCCACCCAGTTCAAACCCATGTGTAAGTGTCAACTGTACAAAAAAGTTTATGAAATAAACGTATCGGAGAATCTTTAAAATTTTTGTGCTTTTTAATCCTACTATTATGAGCCTTTTTAGTTTCATCTTACATTACTACTCTCATAATAGCTATCCTTAGCCAGGTGTCATGGCACAGGCCTGTAGTCCCAACTGCTGGGAAGATTGAGGTGGGAGGATGGCTGCAGGGCCGGATCCCAGGAGTTCAAGGCCAGGCTGGGCAAAATAGTGCTCTGCCTCTGCTGGGCTCTGTAGGGAATCCTTTCTGTTCTGAAAGAGTTACCATTTAACCCTCTTCACTGAGTGCATTTCTGAGACCTTGCTAGGCACTATGGAAACTGCTTAGTTGAGAAAAGACAAATACAAAAGCTTTTCTTTAGTCTATTTAAGATACAATTTATTCAGTTCACTTTGCTTTCTTTTTATAAGAAGGTACAAGAGGCAGAGGTAATCCTTCTAGAAATAAAACTAACTGTTATTGAGAACTTGTATGTACCAGACGCTACAATAAGCATGGTACTTGGGTTTTTAATTTATTACATGTAATGTCAGTAGGTTAAATTATATGATCAGAACAACTTCATGACCAGCAGCATGTATTTTAGAGTTAGAAATGTAGTCTGGTTTTTGAGAAGTTTTACAAGGTGTATGTCCAAAATTATTGTTCTTTCCTCACATGTCAGTGGGGGATAAATACAGCATTGCTCTCACTTCTTTGACTCTGGGTACTTTTTCATATACATTTTCTTCAACACTGTTAAGGGGCCTCACTGTCAGATTAACCAATTATTTTTCCACAGTTGGTCACCAGACTTTGGAAAAAATCCACCTCACCAAAATTTTGGATATCCTGGTCTGTGGTCATGAAATGCTTTTCTTTTTGTAAAATCTGTCACTGCGTCTCACAGCAACTTGTTTTCACACATGTTCTAGTGGTTCCCATAACTTAGATTTTACAGGAGGCAAATACGCTAAAAATGAGGAGACTAAAATGAATGACCAACTTTGAATTTTGTCAAATAACATTGAAAATGAATTATCTCATAAAAGGTAATTTGAATACCCCAAAAGTAAGATGGTTATACTCTCAGAATAAAGACTTTTTCCCTGCCACATTTTCAGTTGTTAAAATATGCTAAGAGCTATGCCCATATCTTTTCCCACCTGTGCAAATTTTTCAGAAGCCTAGGGTTGGTAGTAAGCTGTTGCTTTAATAACTCTTTTAAATAAGCATTATTAGCAGTTTCCATTACTTCTTGTAAATTTACACAATTTTATCTTGTCCATCTTTAAAAAATAGCCATCTAATAACCAAATGTATTTCAATTGATACAGTATAACTAACTTGTAGAACTTGAGGATAAGTGGTAAAGGGAAAAAAAAGTAACTTGGCTTTTGAAATACGTCTTGGGTTTCTAGAGCCTTCAAAATACAGCCCTGTTGTTACTGTGTCACATTATGATTGTTTTGAGGGCTACTTCTGCTTACCTAGGAAACTACTCATGCCTTACTCAGCAAATGAACACCACCATTACATAAACATCAGGTATCCAAAAGTGTTAGCAGGCTTGAGGTATGAATGATTCATTCATATGGGTAATTAAGCAAGTTGAATTATGAAAAGCACCTCACAATTCACACAATTCAGCTTTGAGTTCAAGGCCAAATATGATGATTCATTAAGTTGCCTTTGTATTTTGTAACCTAATTTGTTAATAAGTTACAGGAAGCCAATTAAGCCAGCTGCTCATCTATATAGTACTACCTTCCTCATTGTGATTCCATAGTCTTCCAATAGAAATGTGCTATCAGAATCTGTATAAAGAGTTTGTAAATTCCACTATTTAACAAGGTTCTTAAGAATTTAGGTGGATGTTTTGTTTGATACCTACCAAAGAAACTTAACTAATTGTATAACACTTAACCCATTTAGAATTCAGTTGTGGCAGCATAACCAATCTGGAGAGACCAGGGGAGATGTTACTAATGCTTGTACTTTATTCAGAAGTGAGTGCCTCATTGGCTTGGTGCAGTGACTACACACCTGTAATCTCAGCACTTTGGGAGGCTGAGGTGGGTGGAGTACTTGATCTCAGGAGTTCCGTACCAGCCTGGGCAACATGGTGAGATCTCATCTCTACAAAAAAATACGAAAATTTACCGGGCACCAGTGGTGCACCCATAGTCCCAGTTACTCGGGAGGCTGAGGCACAAGAATCTCTTGAGTTGAGGAGGCCAAGGTTGCAGTGAGCCAAGATTGTGCCACTGTGCTCCAGCCTGGGCAACAGAAGTGAAACCCTATCTTAAAAAAAAAAAAGTCTTTTTTTATTCATCTAATCAAATTTATTGGGGCAGAAATCAGTACGAAGTTCATAGGACAGGAGGAAACCAATATAAACATCTCAGCATTGTAGGAAATTTAACCCATGGAAAGCAGGGCTGAATTAAAGACCACTTTGAAGGCCAGGAAAAGCAGATAATTTAGATATAGTCAAAGTATGAAATCCAGAACAAGGGAATGATGTATGTGTTTACATATTAGATCTACTTTATTAACAATTTTCCCTCTGTTAAACTAATATTGACTAATAGTAGTCTAGGTAAGTCAAGTTCAAATTAAATGGTGATTGAAAAGTCTTCTTTTTTAAAAATTTTTAATGGTAGAGGCAGCAGCTACCCAGAGTCTACTTATTCTTACTTCACATTGAATTCTAACAAGTTAGGTTATCTGATTTCTGCTTCCTAACAAATCACAAGTATCGAAAGGGTCTTGCAGAAGGGGTGAACTATAAAATGTGACAGCTGACAGCAAGGCAGGGGAACAAAAATAAATTTAAGGTGAACATTAAAAGCATAGCAGCTTGAGACAATTCATAGGATTCCGCATGCAACCGTCTCTGAGGACATCACTGTGATCAAATTATACAAGTGATGTTTAGTGATGAATTGGAATCAAGATAAGTAGTATGTGTTATTTAAAAAGGCAGGATATGTGTTGCATTCGGTGGCAACAATTTCCCCTTAGCTATTTAGTTAAAAGCTTAGTGCTTAACATGTTGGAAAACTTATGCATGAAATATATTGACTTATTCCTTGATGACTGGAGGCTTTATCACAGGAAGTTTTCCCATTCAATTGAAACATTTTTCAAGCTTAATGACTATAATTTACTACATAATTTATTTTGTTAAAGTTTGAGGAAAACTAAATAAAGAAGTAGCAATTTAAGTCATAATAAATTTTGTTAGATGACTTCTTCCACTTTAGGGGGAATTAAAAATCTTGTTTAAAAACCACATGTGCAGCAGTTCTGTGACTGCCTCAACACCTAGTTGGCCATATAGTCCCTTTGCACCACAGAGGTTGGAGTATAGAATATGCCCAAAGCTGTTTTGTTTTGTTTTAACTATGCTGCATCATCTGAGGTTGTGTTAACATAGTTTGTCCTAATAGTCTTTTACTGGAAAGTTGCTATATTTGATTATGTTCAGCAAGTAAACTAATTTTATCTACTTTCATATATTTTGAGACAAAGTCTGGCCCTGTCACCCAGGCTGGAGTGCGGGGGAGTGATCGTACCTCACCGCAGCCTCAGCCTCTTGTGCTCAAGCGATCCTCCCACCTCAGCCTCCCAAGTAGCTGAGACTACAGTCATGCTTCATCATGCCCGGTTAATTTTTTACTTTTCTAAGAGACAGAGTCTCACTATGTTACCCAGGCTGGTCTCGAAGTCCTGGACTCAAGTGATCCTCCCTGCCTCAGCACTCCCAAAGTGCTGGGATTGCAGGTGTGAGCAACGATGCCTGGTGTTTTATCTTTTGCAGAAATCCAATTTAGTAAAGTCATGTTGTAGCAAGCATCATTTTCATATAAAAAGTGTACAGTTCATATTATTAGCAAATGTATTGTGTAATTTTATATTAGTTATGGTCTTCAAGGACATTGAAAATCTCTTCAGAAAGACTGTGTTTTTCAACCAGAGATGATATCACTCTAACTTTCCTTTGGTTTAAATGCTTGATTCTTTGCTTACAAAATTTCTGTTTTGAACAATTATGGTGAGAAAGTATATTTGTGATACTGTTTTCTTAGAACATTGTTGTCAGATAGATCAGCCATAATGTTAACACATTTCTGATCTCTATTATAAGGCTGTAATTTTCCAAAATAATATAGAAAAGGAGAAAAGGGTAGTACATTTCATAATTACTGAGATGAACCCTGTACTAGTGAGAAAATAAAAATGCCAACAATTTATTAAATTTTCAGATTTCCTGTAATTTTCCATCACTATCCCTCATACATTTCTCTGCATGATCACACTAAAGATATAAATTAATCACATCCATTCAACAAATCAAGAAACTCAAAACTCACAAGTACAATCTTCAACTCTGTAGAATGCTACCAAGAAGTAAAATAAGATGAAGGTAGAAAGATTCTCTTTGAGGGCCAGGTGCGGTGGCTCACACCTGTAATTAATTCCAGCACTTTGAGAGGTCAAGGTGGGCAGATTGCCTAAGGTGAGGAGTTCAAGACCAGCCTGGCCAACATTGTGAAAACTCGTCTCTACAAAAATACAAAAATTAACTGGGCATGATGGTGGATGTCTGTAATCCCAGCTACTCGGGAGGCTGAGGTGGAAGAATCGCTTGAATCCAGGAGGCAGAGGTTGCAGAGTGCCAAGGTCATGCCATTGCATTCCAGCCTGGGCCACAGAGCAAGACTCCATCTCAAAAAAAAAAAAAAAAGAAAAGAAAAAAGAAAGATTCACTTTGAAATGCTGCATGCAACTATATGGCCACACATTGGAAAATCTAGAGAAAATGGGTAATTTTCTGGAAAAATATAAATGACCAAAACTAATCCAAGAAGAAATTTAAAATGTTATTAGACCAGTTACAAAGAAGAGAATGTAAAGTGATTTTTTAAATCCATAATTTAAAAAGTACTAGGGTTGCAAGAAGGATAATTCCAATGTTATTTAAAGTATCCCAAATTTTTTTAAAAAAGAAAAACCAATTCATTTCACATAGGTAGTGCAGCATTAATATGAAAACCTTATAAACATAAGACAAAACTATAGGCCAGGTGCCATGGCTTACACCTGTAATCCCAGCACTTTGGGAAGCCAAGGCAGGTGGATCACTTAAGGTCAGTAGTTCAAGACCAGCCTGGACAATATGGTGAAACCCCGTCTCTACTAAAAATACAAAAATTAGCCCGGCATGGTGGTGCATGTCTGTAATCCCAGCTTGAACCCAGGAGGCAGAGGTTGCAGTGAGCCAAGATCACGCCACTGCACTCCAGCCTGGGTGACAGAGCAAGTCTCCGTCTCAAAAAAAAAAACAAACAAAAAAACCAAAACTATAGACCAATCTGACTTATACATATGAATGAATATTCTAAATAAAAACCCAGCACTTTTATCAATAATTGCAACAACAAAAAAGAGTGATACAGTATGCAAAGAGCATTGTATTTCAGGAATTCACGGGTATTTCAATATCAGTTAAGTATATTAACACAATTACATAATTGACATCAAAGAAGAGGAAAATGTGATTATATCAGTAGATGCTGAGAGGGCTATTGTTAAGATTAAACATCCACTCGTAATGAAGATTCTTGAGTAAAATAGAAATTGAAGGAAAGTGTCTAAACATAACCTTTATTTATGAAATGCCTACAAAACAAGTATTTTAAATCATAAAGGAACATTTCAATTAAAACAAGGAACCAGTAGGAATAGCTGCTGTCATTATTTGTTATTAAAAATTATCTTGGAGGATCCATGAATGTAACAAGATTTTTAAATGAAATAATCAGTATAAATATATAGAAAACTTTTTTTGGATATGATTATATGCCTAGGAAATCATAGAGATTAGGAAAAACAGAACTTTCAAATATTTTAAAGAGGAATATTGGTAAGGTATTTGGAAATAAGATCATAATACAAAATATATTAGCAATAAGCACCTTGAAATGCTAATGGTAAAAATATTCACAATAACAAAAATAATAAAGGTAAAATAAATTTGCCAAGAAAGAAGATCTATAAGAAAAAAACTATAAAAATGTTACCAAAAGCTATTGAATGAGAAACACATGAGGCTAGGTGCAGTGGCTCATACCTGTAATCCCAGCACTTTGGGAGGCTGAGGCAGAAGGACTGCTTGAGCCCAGGAGTTCAAGACGAGCTTCGGCAAATTGTGAAACACTATCTCTAAACAAAACAAAACAAAAAACTAGTTGGGCTTGGCGCATGCTTATAGAACCAGGTACTTGGGAGGCTGAGGTGGGAGGTTGGGGCTTCAGTGAGCTGAGATCCCACAACTGCACTCCTGCCTGGGTGACAAAGTGAGACCCTGTCTCAAAAAAACAAACAAAACTCTTGTAAAAACATAAATCTCCTAAAATTATATATAAATTCAATTAAATTCACATTAGAATCACAAAAGCATTTTACAATTGGATTAAATTATCTTAAAGTTCATGTAGAAGAATAGTCAGAAAATTGTACCAAAAAAAAGACTATTGAGAGGAACTTTTCTCACCAGATATCAGCACCTACTAAAGAACTATTGGAATTGATCAATTAAGAAAAACAATTGTATTAATTAAGAATAAGCAAGAGTGGTAAAAAATTGAGAATCTACATGTAGATGAAAAATTAATATATGAAAATAAACAATTCAAAGAAAACAAAATTGGACCCTCAATTTACACTGAAGGCTTTGAAGTGATACATAAAATGATTTTTAAAATGATTTAAATACGTACATAAATGGAGAGAGGAAGGGTGGGAGAGAAGCGGGAGAGAGAGAAAATAGAAGACTAAAGACGGGAACACCTATGTGGAAAAAGATAACACTTAATGACAAAATATGTTTTATGTGAATATCAGTTATACATAATAAATATTGGGGACATTGCGTTGTGGGTTACAGCAAAGCATTAAGAAACAGAGTAAGTGAACAAAAAAAGGAAAGAAAACTACCAAATTCCATGTATGATACCCCGTTTTGAAATTCCATAAATTAAACATGTGTACACATAAGAAAATTTAAAACATTAAAATTTTGTTAACAAAATGGATTTGATAACACGAAGGCCATTGATGACCTTACCCACAGCAGCTTTGTTTAAATGGGGATTAAGGATGGAGCAAAATTTATTAGAACACTTTGAATAATGAATTAGCAAACTACAATAAACTGAAATCTTATCTACCAAATAATCACAGTAAAGTAAACAAATCTAAAAGAAATGAATAAAACAATTGTGAGCAAAAAAGGATAGAGTCACTGCATATAATGTAAATGAGACAAGGATGGCCTCTGTGTATTGGCACCTAGGTTATTTCTTCACAGCAAGTTGAAACCCATTAGCTCAAAACCAACTGGCACCAAACTCAAATTTTTAAATATCCAATTGTGTTAAACATAGCCCAGACATGCAGATTTGTAGGCATTTAGAGCCTGCCAGATTTACATGCCCTGGGAAACTACGTCCAAAATCTGCTTGCCACAGATAAACTCTAGGCTGTAAAGACCCCAAACTGCTTCTGCTCTTTGGAACTCTGTGAACTACAGACTCCATGCCATGCTGCTGAGTGATATCACTGAGATATGAAAGCCTCCTCTCTGATCCTTTCCTCCCTCAGGAGTTCCTTTGCCCTCCTCCCCTTCTGAGTGGTGGCCCCCTTGTCTCAATCCTCTGGTCCATCTCTTGCTGTGAAGGCCTTCCCCAGGATACAAACCTGAGAAGAGATCATCCAGATAAAGCCCATGTGTGCTTCTGTCACATCTTTTTCTATATTTTTCTAATTTTTTTCTAAACTTTTCTAATTTTTTCTTAATTTTTATAGAATTGTGGATACCTAATAATGTAGTCTCAAAATAAATAAAGCCAAAATTAGAATTGGAAACAGCAATAAAAAAAATCTACACAGTGAGAGATTTTAACATTTCATTTTTAGTAATTGAATAAATAAAAATAAAATTAGTAAGGCTAATCAACAGTTAAAGAATTTCTATTCTTTTCAAGCACACTTGGAGTATTTACAAAAATTGACCAGATATTAGACCTAAAGGTAGTATCAAATGTTTACAGTGGTATAACAAATGTGTAATAGCACTATTAGAAATCAATAACAAAAACTTATCCAAAAGTAATCCATGAATTTTAGAAACTACAAACAGCTTCCAAATGATTCATGGAAGCAAGAAGAAATTATAATAAAAATTAGAACATGCTTAAAATTGAATTAAAATGAAAACATTACCGATCAATATATATGTAAAATAACCGAAGCAGTACTTAGAGTGAAATTTACCAGAAGCAATTCACATTCATGGGAAGGACAACAGCATGCATTTACCAGTTAAAATAGACTGGGTAAGAAATAACATGTTGGATGGCCTAGAGAGACACAAGCATCCCTGAGAGAGAAAATCATCTGAAGATTTAAGGACCTGTGACATCAGTTGCAGAAGATTTTAGGGGGCCCATTGGTCCCCCTATACTAAGGAATACTGTTCTGACACATTTGATGAGTGACACAGAAGGCTTCCACCTTTGACAAAAGCTTAGGGCACAAAAGGCCTCTGCAGCAGGTCCAGGATCCAGGGCAAGCAGCCCTACTGTTTGAGCCATACAATCTAGTAGGCTCTATGGTATTAGAAGTATATGCAGTTGGAAAAAGCACCATGTAGAGTTTATAGCAAACCCTAATAGACGATTCACACATAGTCTTGTGGGGTTCACTAGCATGGTCATGCTATCTGCAATTGTATATTGTATAAATATATAGCATAATTGTGTACTTTAATAGCTCCTAGCATGCTACTGCACCTAGGTAGAGATGGACTATCTGACAACAAATATTAAGTGACCATGTGGCTAAAAGTTCCCACCGTAAGTTTGGTTTTGTTAGATCTACCAGATCATAAGGACAGGTTGGCCCAGCAACAAATCATAATAAAATAGAAGTAGCACATTGAATTAGTCCATTTTCACGTTGCTATAAAGAACTACCCAAGACTGGGTAATTAATAAACAAAAGAGGTTTATTGACTCACAGTTCCGTATGGCTAGAGAGGTCTCAGGAAACTTACACTTATGACTAAAGGCAAAGGTGAAGCAGGCACCTTCTTCACAAGGAAGCAGGAGAGACAGAGAGCAAAGGGGGATGTGCCAAACACTTTTAAACCATCCGCTTTCATGAGAACTCACTCAATATCATGAGAACAGCATGAGGGAAACTGCAACCATGATCCAGTCACCTCCCACCAGGTCCCTCTCTCTACATGTGGGGATTATAATTTGAGATGAGATTTTGTGGGGACACAGAGCCAAACCATATCACATCAAGGATTGGGCATGAGAAAGACTAGAGGACACAAGTAAGCAGTATGATCAGGTGATCCAGGTCCCCACATTATCCAAATTGTGACACTAGATTCTCTCCCTCAGCTGGCAACTGCCTACGTAGGAGTTCCAATATTGCTAAAGGAGGAAAAAAGCTAAGCTTGTTCATTGGAAGATCAACTCAGGATGCGGATGTAAGTAAAAAATGATAGCAGCCTACTTCAGCTATGGAAAGATAGCAGTAGATTAAATCCTCCCAAGGACGATTCAACATATACGAATCAATAAGTGTGATATACACATTAACAGAATGAAGGACAAAAACTATATGAATATCTCCATGGATGCAGAGAAAGCATTTGACAAAATTCAACATCTTTCTGTAATAAAAACTTTCAACAAATTAGGTATCAATGTCCACATAACACAATAAAGGCATATATGATAGGCCCACATCTAACATCATACTCAATGGTAAAAAGCTGAAAGCTTTTTCTCTAAGATCAGAAACAAGATGGATGCCCATTTTCACCACTTCTATTCAAGTTCTAGCAATTAGTCAAGAAGAAGAAATAAAGGCATTAAAGTCAGAAAGGAAGAAGTGAAATTGTCTCTGCAGACAACATGATCTTAAATGTAGAAAACCCTAAAGAGTCCACCAAAAAAAACTGTTGGAACTAGTAAATTAATTCAGTAAAGTTGCAGGATACAAAATCAACATAAAAAAACGAGTAGCATCTGTATACACTACCAATGAACTATCTGAAAAAGAAATCAAGAAAACGATTTCATTTATAATGGCTACACAAATACTTAGGAATTAATTTAACCAAGGAGGTGAAAGACCTGTACACTGAAAACTATAAAACATTGGTGAAAGAAATTGAAGAAGACACAAATAAATGGAAATATATCCCATCTTCATGGATTAGAAGAATTCATACTGTTAAAATGTTCTTAGTACCCAAAGTGATCTACAGATTCTTATGTAATCTCTATCAAAATTCCAATGATATTTTTTACATAAACAGAAAAAAGTCCCCAAATTCACTTGAAACCACAAAATACTCCAAATAGCAAATTGTGAGCAAAAAGAACAAAGTAGGAGGCATCACATTATCCAGTTTCAAAATATACTATGATGCTATAGTAATCAAAAATATAACATGATACTGGCATACAAACAGACTGGTAGACCAATGGAATAGAATAGAGAGCCTCAAAATACATCCACGTTTATGGCCAATTGATTTTCAGTAAATATGCCAAGAATACACAATGGGGAAAGGACAATCTTTTCAATAAATGGTGTTGGGAGAACTCCACATGCAGAGAAATGAAATTAGACCCTTATCTCACACCATATATAAAAAAATAACACAAATGGACTAAAGACTTAAATATAAAACCTGAAACCATAAAACTACTAGAAGAAAACATACAGGAAAAGCTCCATGAGACTGGTCTGGGCAATGATTTTCTGGATATGACCCCCAAAGCACAGGCAACAAAAGCAAAAATAGACAAACGGGATTATATCAAACTAAAAAGCTGTGCAAGCAAAGGGAGCAATCAATAGAGTAAAGAGGTAGCCTACAAAAAGGGAGAAAATATTTGCAAACCATACATCTGATAAAGGATTAATATCCAGAATATATAAAGTATTCATACATCTCAATAGCATGAAAACATATAACCTGATTAATGAAAGGGAGGCAAAGTACCTGAAGAAACATTTTTCCAAAGAAGACATACAAATGGCCAACAGGAATATGAAAAAATAACAAACATCACCAGTCGTCAGGGAAACGCAAATCAAAACCACAATGAGACATCCCTTTTAGAATGGCTACTATGAAAAAGACAAAAGATAACGTGTTGGTGAGGATGTGGAGAAAAGGGAGCCTTTGTATACTGTTGGCAGGAATGTAAATTAGTACAGCCATTATGAAAAATAATATAGAGGTTTCTCAGAAAGTTAAAAATAAAACTACCATATGATCCAGCAATCCTAGTACTATTTATATACCCAAATAAAATGATTCAATATGTCAAAGAAAAATCTGTACCTCATGTTCATTGCAACATTATTCACAATAGACAAGATACGAAATCAACCTAAGTATCCTTTAACAGATGAATGATTAAAGAAAATGTGGTGTATATATACCTAATGAAATATTGTTCAGCCTTAAAGAAGGAAATCCTGTCCTTTGTAATAACATGAATGAAACTGGAGGACATTATATTAAGTGAAATAAGCCAGGCACAGAGAGATAAATGCCATGTAATCTCACTTATATGTGGAATCTAAAAAAGTCAAACACATAGAAGCAGAAAATAGAATAATGGTTATTAGGGGCAGGGGGAGGAGGGTAGAACTGGGGAGATGTTGGTCAAAGGATACAAAAATTAAGATAAGCAGGAAGAACAAGTTCAAGAGACCTATTGTACAACATGGTGACTACAGTTAATAACAATGTATTGCATACTTGAAAATTGCTAGGACAGTAGATTTTAAGTGTTCTCACCACAAAAGAAATGATAAATATGTGAGGTAACACATGTATTAATTAGCTTGAGTTAGCCATTTCACAGTGTATCCATATTTCAAAACATCAGGTTGTACACTACAAATATATACAATTTTTGTTTGTATATTTAAAATTTTTTAATATTTAAAAATTCAACTCAAAAATAAATTCTTGGCCAGGCACAGTGGCTCACACCTGTAATCTCAGCACTTTGGGAGGCCAAGGCAGTGGATCATGAGGTCAGGAGATCGAGACCATTCTGGCTAACATGGTGAAACCCCGTCTCTACTAAAAAAATACAAAAAAAAATTAGCCGGGCGTGGTGGCGGGCGCCTGTAGTCCCACCTACTCAGGAGGCTGAGGCAGGAGAATGGCGTGAACCCAGGAGGCAGAGCTTATAGTGAGCCGAGATCACGCCACTGTACTCCAGCCTGGTGACAGAGCAAGACTCTGTCTCAAAAAATAAAAAAAATTTAAAAAAAAATTTCAGTTGGCAGAACTTTGCACTACGCACCTTGTCATTCACTTTGCATGGAAAGAGAAGAGACTCAAAGTAAGAATGTACTGACTCATGGTCAAATGGCTTGGCTACAGGTCAGGGGGATGGGAGGAGAAAATTTGGAAGACTGGAGAAAAAGACATCTGAGAAAAGGGCATATGGGTGGACTTATGGGGATGTACAAAAAGTATGAAGATCTTTGTTTCACATGTTAACACCTACAAGAGGTATCTATCAACAACCAAGGAGAAAAGCGACTCAGCCAGATGATGTTAGCCAACCTCTTCCATTGGCCAGCTCAGTACTGGTACTGGCACAATTGGTGAATAAATATAGTGACAAGGATGGAGCCTATGCAGAGGCCCAAACAGCAGAAGTCTCCACTGACTAAGTCTTATCTAGCTACTGCTGCTTCTGAATGTCAAAGTTGTCATCAAGACAGAGCAACACTGAGGCCTCAAGATAGCATCATCCCTCAAGGACACCAAGTAGCCACCTGGTGGCAAGCTGAATGCACTGGATTCTTTCCATCACAGGAAGGGTAATGATTCATCTTGGCTGGAACTGATACTTATTCTGAGTATGGATTTATCTTTCCTACTTACATGGCCTCAACCAGCACCACTATCCAAGGGTTGACAGAATGTTTAATCCTCCAATATGGAATCCTATACATCCTTGCATTGTACTTTATAGCACCGTATAAAGGGAATGTACTTTGTAGCACTGTAGTTGCAGTGGTGGACACATGAAAATGCAATTCAGTGATCCTATTACAAATCATGAAATCACAACAACTAAAAGCTGTCAAACTGATGGAGTGATGGAACATCCTCCAGTAGCCCTTTGAAGCTGCAGGGATGGGATACAAGCATATATCCTAGATCAGTAACCATTGTATGGTCCCATGTCGCTAATAGAAGGAGGACCATGGATTGAAGAAAGAGTAGCACTATTTACCGTCACCCCGAGGGATTCACTTGGGAAATTTCTGCTTCTTATCTCTGCAATTCAATGCTGTTACACAACGGAAGTAGCCAGGAATGTGTTTGGCAGCCAAGGGATGTTTAAGTAGTACCTTACTAAATTTTGATTGCTCAATTTAAAAGGACAAGTCTAGTAGCCATGGCTACTACACCCCCCTCTCCTATCACCAGGTAAGTGACCTAGACCAGGGGAGGTGCTAGCTGAGGGTAAGAATGTAAACCTGATAGTACCTGTATAGTAGGAAAGGCAGATGATCAGTTTAGGGTGAAAGACCAGTTGAAGAGCCAAGGAGCTATTGTTCCCTCCATGAATGTTACTTTCACGTTTCCCCAGCAAAAGAAACCAACCAAAATCCTGGAGGAGCTATTCCTAGATGGAGAGAAGTTATATGAAGTCATGGATCCAAATGACACGAGGGATGGACAGAGTAGTGTCTTCTGTGGTTTGTAGTCCAGGCCTCCCTGCAGAATGGAGACCCTCATTCCCCAGCTTCCTTAGAGTGCTGTCTGTTGAGGGCACATGACTAAGTTCATGCCCTAGGAATTGCCCTCAGGCCAAAAGAAACTGTGTAGTAGAAGTCACATCCTTGGGGCAAGAACTTAATTTGAATTCATATTGATTGTTGTCAACAGAATTTTAAGTACTGTATGGTATGTGCGTGAAAGGAAAAGAACATTTGAAATGAGCTAATGTAGAGCGGATCTATTGGGGAACTATTGGTGAATAATGATGATGTGGTCAGTGAGGGTCACTGAAGTTCACAGGGTTATTTGAACAGAAAACAACTGGGAGAGGTGGATTTGACACTCAGATTGGGGGACTGCACAAATAATAAGGTATCTGGGCTTCAGTTTTCTCATCTAGAACATGAGGGACTAAATGACTGCCAAGTATCTTCCAGCTTCTATATTCTGTAATGCTTAAGTACTCTGCAGAATATTAAAACGACCAGCACTGGGAGATAGCCCATGGGCTTGAAAAGTGAGGAAAAACAGAAGCTGCCAGAAAGAGTTTGTTAAAACCTTAAAAACCTGCGCATGGCTGTTTATAACAGTTGTATTCATAACTGCCAAAACTTGGAAGCAACCAAGATATCCTTCAGTAGGTTAATGGCTACGCAAACTGTGATACATCCATACAAGGGAATATTATACAGCACTAAAAAGAAATCAGATATTAAGCTAAGAAAAGACATGGAGAAGACTTAAATGCATATTGCTAAGTAAAAGAAGCCAGCATGAGAAGGTAATATATTGTATGGTTCTAAGTGTATGACAATCTGGAAAAGGCAATACTATAATGTAGAAACATCAGTGGTTTTCAGCAATTTGAGGAAAGTAAGAGAGGGATACATAGGTGGAACACGGAGGATTTTTATGGTGATGAAACTATTCTGTATGATACTGGTGGATATCTGTCATTATACAGTTGTCAAAATTCACAGAACTTTACAACACAAAGAGTGAATGCTAATGTAAACTATGGACTTCAGTTATAGTAATGTATCAATATGTATCAATTGTAACCAATATACCACATTAATACATGGTGTTAATAATAGGGTAAATTGTGTACAGAGGTAGGGATTGGGTGGAGAGTGGGATAGGAAGGTAGTGTTACATGGGAACTCTGTGTACTTTCTGCTCATTGGTTTCTGTAAACCTAAAATTGCTCTAAAAAACAAAGTCTACTAATTTTGAGAAATTTGATGAAGAATGAATATTCATGTAGTACCAAGGTATAACCTCAGAGATCACTGGCTAATTACAGAGGAAATCATACCATTACGATATAGACATCTGGCAATCACCACCTTAATTTAGGAATGAAAATTAGCATCACTGGCAGTGGGACAACCAGACATAAACTTCGTAATGTGCCGCTATTGGAAGTATACGACATCACCTTTGAATAATTCTGGCCAAAAAAGTTTAACCTGAATGTAACCAAGTCTTTAAATTTAACTTCAAATTTCAGAAAATTGAGGGGATAGACAAACAAACTAAATGAAACCATGAACAGTCCCACAAATCCAGAATGTGAGATATTCTACGTGATAACTAGCATGGTTCCTTTAAAGTGTCAATACCGACTGGGCACGGTGGCTCGCACCTGTAATCCCAGCACTTTGGGAGGCTGAGGAGGGTGGATCATGAGGTCAGGAGATCGAGACCATCCTGGCTAACATGGTGAAACCCTGTCTCTAGTAAAAATACAAAAAATTATCCGGCCGTGGTGGCAGGCACCTGTAATCCCAGCTACTCAGGAGGGTGAGGCAAGAGTATCTCTTGAACCCAGGAGGCAGAGGTTGCAGTGAGCCAAGATCACGCCACTGCACTCCAGCCCGGTGACAAAGCAAGACTCCGTCTCAAAAAAAAAAAAAAAGTCTATGCCATTTAGCAAGGGATTAAGTATGGAGAAATGTGCTGGATTACAAAATAAGAGACAAAAACAAAATGTAGTGTCCAGTTCTCGATTGGATCCTGGCTTTTAAAAATTGCTATAATTGGGAAACAATTAAGAAAATGTGAATCATAGGGTGTAATTATGCAAACCTAGATGGTATATATACGTATATTTTTGAGACAGAGTCTCACTATGTCACCCAGCCTGGAGTGCTGGTGCGATCTCAGCTCACTGCAACCTCAGCCTCCCAGGTTCAAGCAATTCTCGTGCCTCAGCCTCCTGAGTAGCTGGGATTACAGGCACCTGCCACTGCACCAGGCTAATTATATTTTCAGTAGAGACGGGGTTTCACCATGTTGGCCAGGCTGGTCTCAAACTCCTGACCTCAGATGATCTGCCCACCTTGGCCTCCCAAAGCACTGGGATTACAGGCATGAACCACTACATCCAGCCCTATATATTTTCACTTATTTATTTTTTATAAGGAAAATTAAATGTTACAGCACCACTGCTGAGCATCAGTCATTTCCTCTACTTGATATTGGCAATGCCAATATCAAGGGCCATATACTGTTTATCAAGTTTCTATATATGTTCCAGTTTAATCTTATGAGACCACCACAGTGTAGATGGTCGACTAGTTGACTGAAATGTGTTACTTGGGGCATGACTGTTTATATTTGAAAATATTTGGGAGTTGAATAATTGTAAGGAATTACTGATAACTTGGTGTGAAAGGATAAGGGAATTGTGGTTATGCAAGAAAATGGCTTTAGTTTTTGAATATGCAGGCTTAAGTGTACAGAGGCAAATTAGCATGATGCCTATAATTTACTTTTAATTCAAATTGAAAAATTACATAAAGAAAACTTGACAAAATATTAACAATTAATTGGATTTAGGTGGTGGTTATGTGGGTGCCCATTTTTTCTACCTTTCTGTAGGCTCCAATGTTTCATAATTAAAAGGGAAAAAACGGGGCCACAAGAGAAGGTACAATTAAACATTAATGGATCCCTTCTCCCAAGCAGTTAGCGCTGAGAGTGTGGAGTGTGCTCTCCAGGATCAGCACATATGTATTATCTTGAAAAATACATTCCCCTGAAAAAAATCCCATGAAAAAAACTTAAAAAAAAAAAAAGGTTTCTGTTTTAACACCCGTCACCCCTGCAAAACACTTTACAAAAAAATCCTTGTCTTCACTACCAGAGACATTTTCCTTTTCTTCTTATATAAGATTACCCGGTGAGGCAGCCGAGAGTGACCCACCCGCCCCCTCGCAGCTCCGAAGCAGCTTCAAGAAGGAACAGGATCCCGAGGCCTGGATGCTGGACCCTACACCGCCACCCTCATCCCAGCCCGCTGCGGGCAGCAGTTCCTCGGCCGTGGAGTAGTTTTGGATTCCAGGTGATTTTGTCTCTCTGCGCTGGCCAAGGCTTCCGCCCCAGCCCTTACTCTCCTTTCACGGAAAGGTCGCAGCCTGTGGCCCTACCGGCAGACAGGTGCAGAGGTGAGCCCAGCGTCCCAGCCATCCTCTGTCCTCGCACCGCACGTGACCAGGCCTGCTGGCCAGTCTTCTCTATCCCGGGCTACAGGAACCACATCACCGGCGCTCCTTGGGAAACGCAGGATGTGGAATGTGCTTAAGACCCCATGAATTTTGATGTTATAAAAGACTAGCCAATACACACTAAGTGGTCTCGGTGTGATCCATCACTCCGCAAAAATGGAGTGGGCAACATGTTCATTAAAAAAATTGGACAAATCTATTGATTATAAAGCATTGCATGATACATCTGCTTCTGGTAACATCTTTTTGTTGCAGAAAAAACCAGGTTCTTGTCACACCACCAGGAAAAGGCACGCAAACACTTGAAGGGTGAGGGGAAATGGAGTTTATTGGGTGGAAAGGAAAAAGGAAAAATAACTCTCAGCAAAGAGAGAAAGAGTCCTGCTAGCGGGTTTCCCGCCTCATAGATTAAATCCTAGGTCACTACATGGGAACAGGCCAGACTCCTCTCCACTGCACACTGCACAAACTTCCCGAGGCTCCACCCCGTAATCCCAGTGCGCAGGTGGGCATTATTCAGAATCAGTGAGGAAAGGGCGGCTCCAACCAGGACCTGCAGTCCAGTTTATCAGCCTTCAGGCTGTTTTAGTCTTGAAGGTGGGGTTTTACCAGGGGACCCTTGGCTGCCTCCTGTCTCTATCACTTTCACATTAGGTGCTCTGTGGTGAAAACGGTTTCAAAGGTGATGGCATTGTACATTTTGAGACACAGAAGCAGCTGAAAGATCTATTCAAAAATGAAATGGATGCTTCTAAATGATAGCAAAGTCTGTTGGATTAAGTCTTGTAAACAATGAGAAGCAGAACTCAGAGCTAAAAAGTTCACCAATGTTTACAGGAAGATTTTTGGAGAAGACATGGATGGTAGGTGCCTTAAAGATCCTTTGGCAAGTTGGGATCTGTCTTAAGTGTGATAGTAGTGGTTAATGAAAGTGGAAAACCCAGAGGTTTTGGATTTGTCAGCTTTGAAAGGCATAAAGATGCGCAGATGAGATGAACAAAAGAAGCTCAATGGAAAGTAAATTGATGTTGGTCAAGCTCAGAAAGAAGTAGAATGGCAGATGGAACTTGTGTGCAAATTTGAAAAGATCAAGCAGTATAGGATCATCAGATAACAAAGTGTTAACATTTATGCAAAAAATCTTGATGGTATTGATGAATGTCTCTGGAAAGAACTTTCTCCACTTGGTACAATCACCAATGCAAAGGTTATGAAGGATGGTTGTCATAACAAAGGGTTTGATTTGTGTATGTTTCTCCTCTCCAGAGGAAGCAACTAAAGCACTTTCAGAAATGAATGGTAGAATTGTGGGCACTGAGCCATTGTATATATATAGTGTTAACTCCATGGGAAGAAAAGCAATGAAGAGCACCAGGCTCAGCTCATTAACCAGTACAGTATGTGCAAAGAATGGCAAGTGTAAAAACTATGCTCAACCTGGGAATCAGTCCCTATCAGCCAGCACCTTCTTCAATTGACTTCATGGCAGTTATCCCACAGAGTGAGAGCCATGCTGCAAAGTATTCTCCTAGCCAAACTGCTCAACTAAGATCAAATCCTCCCTAAATTGCTCAGGGTGCCAGACCTCATCCATTGAAAAATATGTCTAAGCCACTCCTAGCTCACTACATTTAGTAGTAAGAGAACAGCTTCTTCACAGCTTCCACAAATCATGTCAACACAGCTGTTGTAACACATCGACACAGAAAATAGGAGCACATCCTGCAGTTGCCGCTATGGCTACTACAGATACTCCTGCTGTTTGTACCATTTCACAGTATAAATATGCTATGGAAGCTCACAATCCTCAATGGCATTTTCATGCACAGCCCCAGATTACCATGCAGCAGCCTGCTGTTCATGTAGAAGGTCAAGAACCTTTGACTTCCATGATGGCATCTGCTCCTCCTCAAAAGCAAAAGGAAATGAGTGAATGGCTGTTTCCTCTTCTTCAAGCCATGCCCTAGTCGTGCTGGTAAAATCATTGGCAAGTTGTTGCAGATTGGTAATTTAGAACTCCTTCATATGCTTGAATCTCCAGAGCCTCTCTATACTAAGGTTGACAAAGGTATAGCTGTACTACAAGACCACCAAGCTAAAGAGGCTGCCCAGAAAGCAGTTAATGGTGCCACTGGTGTTCCAATTGTTTAAAACTGATCAGGGACCACAGAAAGAAACTTGAGCATCACTGAAGAAAAATATCTCAATATCAAAAACCTTAAATACTATGGAAAAAATTTGTAAAGTATAAAATAAATTTAAAAAGGAAACTTTGAACTTTACATACCAAGCAAATGTCAGATCTAACAAATGCAATGATAGTCCTAGATTACTTATTGATTTGAAAAGAAAAAATCCTCCCAAAATAATAAAATATAAAAACACTGTAATGCTTTTCAGACTCTGTGATAAATAATTTTCAGCAAAGTATAAAAATTTAAAGCATTCCTTTAATTTTGTAATTCATTAGTGTGGAATAGCTAAGAATGTCACTTCTGTTTTAAGTAACAGAATTGATAACTGAGCAAGGAAAGGTAATTTGGATTATAAAATTTTGCTTTAATAAAAATTCCTTAAACAGTGAAAAAAATAGGCAAAGATACAAAAAAAATTTATAAGAAGCAACAATCTTGTATTTATTTGTTATTTTATTTTATTTTATTTTATTTTATTTTTTTGAGATGGAGTTTCGCTCTGTCACCCAGGCTGGAGTGCAGTGGTGTGATCTTGGCTCACTGCAACCTCTGCCTCCCAGGTTCAAGTGATTCTCCTGCCTCAGCCTCCCGAGTAGCCGGGACTACAGGCACCTGCCACCATGCCTGTCTAGTTTTTTGTATTTTTAGTCGAGACAGGTTTTCACCATGTTAGCCAGGATGGTCTCCTTCTCCTGACCTTCTGATCCACCCTCCTTGGCTTCCCAAAGTACTGGGATGGTGTGAGCCACTGTGCTCAGCCTTATTTGTTTAAATACTATAAACACTAATATCATACACATGGTTAACTGGTTGTAATTTTTAAATTATATTAATAAATTTTTATAAAAACTTTTTATAAATAAAAACTTATAATTTCAAATAAATAACAACATCTGCCACACTACCTTAAAATGGCGACTATTTCAGTATAATAAACATATATCACAGACACTTAGAGAAAGTTCAATAAATAAAGAATAAAAAGAATAGGTACAACAATTTTCCTCCTAATCAAAAACACAATTCCTCATTTTGAAAATTATTTCTTATCTCTCTTTTATTAAAATAAACTTTCTACTTTGAAATCTAATACTCTTGTGAATGTAAAATACTATCTTGTAAATAAATATATATATATATATATATATACATATATTTTATTTTTTTTTTTTTTGAGGCAGAGTCTTGCTCTGTCTCCCAGGCTGGAGTGCAGTGGTGTGATCTCAGCTCACTGCAACTTCTGCCTCCTGGGTTCAAGCAATTCTCCTGCCTCAGCCTTCTGAGTAGCTGGGATTACAGGTGCGTGCCACCACACCTGACAATTTTTGTATTTTTAGTAGAGACGGGGTTTCACTATGTTGGTCAGGTTGGTCTCGAACTCCTGACCTCGTGATCTGCACGCATTGGCCTCTCAAAGTGCTGGGATTACAGGCATGAGCCACAACAACCTGCCTATATTTTTATTTTTTTATAAGTGACAATGAGATGTCCTCATGATTTAAATAGTAGTCAAAACACTGGCACAGTTTAAATTTTTAGAATTTGAGTACTAGAATTACAATATTTGAAAATGGAGTCTGTACTTTGTTGTAAAACTATAAAGAGAAAATGTCACTAAAACAGGAGCTATTTTATCTTTTCCCAGAGTTATTCTCCCAGAGTGTATTTTCTAAGAGTTTTTTCCCAGATGGTTTTAGAACGTTTGGCAGTTTCGGTGATATATTCTGTAAAAGCCCTTAGTCTTAATAGGAATAACACATAGTTTTGATTGCCTTAAATTTTAATTGCTTCACTTGGCAAATTTATGTGTAAATTTCATATTCTGTGGTATTTTAATATCTTGCTTGTGGAGAAGAGGAAAAAGAGGAATGAGAGTAATATTCAGTCCTTGCATTGAGCTTTTGCCAAAGAAGTCTAAACAATTTCTAAAATGCCATTCAATAAGGCCATTTTAGAAGTGTTTATATGACTCTTATAACTTTAAAATAAAGAGTCTTGAAGTTAATTAAAACTCACTTTGCTTGTGATGGGTTCTACATAAACATGGCAGATTTAATCAGCCAGAATTAAAAAGTAATTCTATATTACTAAGGAGAAGAAACTGCCACATGACAGTAGTCTCCAAATCTTTCATTTTTGGAGTCTGCCTTTTATGCCTAGATTTTAAAATACTAATTGAAAAAAATATAGTTTACTTCCATTTGTGATTTAATTTTATTTCTAGAAATAAAAATATAGATAGTGTTTCATCTAAAAACTGCTAAACCAGACTTTCATTTTAAGGGCATGGCAGAAATAAGGAAAGACTAACTTGGTTCTATTACTTAACATATTATTTATTCAGGTAGTCACCAAGACCAGAATTTAAAATCTATTCAGTTAACCCATTTAAAGTTGATGTGTTTTACTCCTTTTTTTTTTCTTTTTGTAGTGATCTTTTTAACTGAATTACTGGACATCATGGGGAGTTCTACTCCTCCTATATGGAAACTTAGGCTATCTTACCAAGTTCAATATTCAAAGTTTTTCTTTCTGCCATTAAGTTTGTTTAATTTTATATTAAGCTCAGTTTGTATTATGATATCAAATTCAGCCTGAGGGATTACTTTAAACTTTCCTAGGGTATTTGCAGATTTAATTTGTTCTTACAGTATGTAAATACCAAGAGAGCATTCCATTTAATATTATTTTTATTAAATTAACTTTGGAGTAAAAAGTCCAAGAAAAGCCCTGTACTGAAATCACATGTTTACTAAATCCTGGATTTTCTGTACAGTCCCTACATATTTCTACTTTAAAATTCTTCTGTCTTGTGAAATAATTCATTAAAAGCAGCAGGCAGATGATGACAGGTAAACTTTTTAATGATGTTCTAATGTTGACAATTGCAGTTTTATTTTGCTTGGATCATAATGGCGTGTAAGCAGTTTAGGCCCCAGAATGCCCATAAGTAGAGCTCCATTTGGAGCTGTGATCAAGATGGCTAAAAATGCTACTGTCATCACATCCTTCACATATGGTTCCAAGTGGGGTGCGGAGACTCTTGCTGTTTCTAGAGCCAGAGGACCTAACACAGCCTACATTTAGGGGTAAAAATGGGGCATAAAGAAAAATATTAAACTGAGTTAATATATAATGTAAATGGCTCTGTCAAAATAAACAAAATCTAGTACTAGACTATTAGAAAAAAAAGTACTCAGTAATTTTCATAAGTTACTCATCAGTTCCATGTTCTTCCTAGCAAATATATGTGGAGGAAGAGTACAATAGTGACAAATCAGCATGCAAACATTTTTGGGCTGATTTTGCACTCTTGTCCTCTCAGTGTTCCTCTATTCAAATATCTCTTTTGAGTGTTGCCCTCATAACACCAGGAGTTCTAACGAAACTGGTTTTGCTTAGTTGCCTTTATCGTGTACCAGTGGTTTTTGACTACAAGAAGATAAAATAAAATATTAAGTTTTCTTATGGTTCTCTAGGATTTGTTGCCCTTCTTATCATTGTTCTCCTTATTCAGGGGGCACTGGGTTATAGCAGAACTGACAGCAGGCTTGGAATTTAGCAAACTGAGTTTGAATTCTATTTTTGCTGCAACCAAGCTAGTGACCTTGTACAAATGACTCACACTCTCTAACCTTCTACTTACTTCCGTGTAAAACGAAGAACAAAATACTTATGTTACTGGACGGTTGTGAAAATTAAATATGAGAATGTGAAGAATACCTGGCACAGAGTAGATATTCAGATAGTAGTAAGTTTCTTTCTCCTTCACTCCTCATCCCCTGCCAGGTCAGAGAATGAGTTCCTTTGAAGTTTTTGTTTTAGAATGACTACTGGGTCACAAGTTTTTTCCCTAGTTACCTTCTACCACATTATTTTTAATAACATAAAGCAAATTTCTTGCTAACTCTCTTTCCTTGTGTTTAATAACTAGGCATGAAATTGCCTTAAAATTTGGGGGAATTAAATACCAATATGTAACATATTTTCTATGGAGTTGCAAAGTGACAACATAATGGTAGAAACATTACCTCTGATATGGAAAATTATGGCAAAAGAAGTCCTCAATTTAAGATCAATTTCTATATCCTAAATCAATAATTTAAAATGGTATTATTTTTATATCATAACTTTTAATGTACTGAACATGATCCAGTGTGCTGGAGGATGCTAGGGTGAAAAAAAAAAATCATGCAGAAAACCACCTTGAAAGAATCTTACAGTTTAGAAGAGGATTTGAACATAAAAGAACTGCCAACAGAAAAAAACAAAAACAAAAACCAAACCCATTGATTTTTAAGAGATGATGACGATAATGGTGAAACTAGAAATAATATTTTTATAGTTATATGGCATTCATCATATGTCAGGTATCATTCTTAAAGCTTTCCATTTATCAATTCATTTAATTCTTATGACAACCTTATTATGTGAGAACTTTTATTAGATGATAAATGATTTCCTCCTAGTGACTGAGATTTAATATTATTTCTTTAAAAAAATCCAATTGCCAAGCTGATCTTACATTTGTAAACTAAATTATTTATTTACTCTCCTAGTAGCTTCTATTTTTCCAGTCTAATTTTTATCAGTAACTCGAAACTAAGGAACAAGAGAAAGCTGAACCTTAGCCAATTTTATTTTAGCAGCAGAGAACGGTGGAAGAGGATAAAGGTGAAAATAATTTAAAATTGAAATTTAAATATTTGTTGATCGTATTTACTTGTGACATTATTGTTATCTATTATCGCTGTTGTGACTCTACTTGTATAAATAATTAATTTTTTATGTCTTGCCAGTTCCTGGAACCAGCTTGATATTCTTTGTGTAGAAGCTAGCCTGGAGCCAGCAGACATGAATAGGCAGAAGCAGAATAATACTGCAGGACTCGAGTGAGTGGTCTCTTTCCTCATACCTGCTTTTCTTTTTTCCCTGCTTTATGAAAATTATGAAATAATGAAACAAAATTGCAAGAGTATTGTTGGAAGGAGAGAGAACAGATAAGCCTTTTGTAGATTTATTATTCCCTACAGTAGATATTAAAAATAAAAAGTTATTATTTATATTACTTGAAGGTAAGATAAAATAACAACATTGTTTGTTAACTGAGCACCACCATATGCCAGAGAGAGTGCTAAGCACTTTAAGTGGATTATCTCATTGAATCCTGACAACACTGCTAAGAAACAGATACAGTCATAGACTTCATTGTAAGATGAGAACACTGAAGGACTGAGAGACTAGAAAATAATTTTCCTGAGGTTATAGGCAAGTAACATGGTATTCAAAACAGGTAGTCTGGCCCTAAGAACCTGCTTTTCTAACATGATAATAGGGGTTTTTTTGCATGAAAATTTAGGAGCTTCTGTTTTGGAATAACAACTAAGAAAAGAGCCACAGGAAATTAAGGTATATTATGCTGCCAAGTTAAACAGTCTAACAAGAAGTAGCAATATATTTTAGTAGGAGGAGAATATCCTTGAATAACAGGGCAAAATTACAAGGTTTCCCTTTCCGTTCATTCATCCTTGCAGGCATGCAATACGTATTTGCCTCTTGCATGTCAGGCACTGTGTTAAGTGCCAGGGAGAAATAATGAAAAACAACTGCAACAACCAGACACTGTCCCTGTCCTTACATAGCCTATCAAGGGGGCGGGGGCAGGGATTTAGCCATTAACCAAATAGTATACAAATAAATGTGTAATAAAAAAATATATGTGCATTTGTGTGATGGAGTGAGTGGCAAGGTAGGAAAAGTATTTTTTAAAAAATCAATGTGTCTCTATTTTACTTTACTTTTTTTTGCGACAGGATCTCACTTTGTCACCCAAGCTGGAGTGAAGTGGCATGACCTCAGCTCACTGCAGCCTCAACCTCCCGAGTTCAAGAAATCCTCCTGCCTCAGCCCCCAAGTAGCTGTGACTACAGGTGCGTGCCACCACACCTGACTAATTTTTTTGTATTTCTTGTAGAGACAGGGGTTTTACCATGTTGCCCAGGCTGGTCTTGAACTCCTGAGCTCAAGTGATCTGTCTGCCTCAGCCTCCCGAAGTGCTAGGATTACAGGCATGAGCCACCATGCCTGGCCTGTGTCTCTACTTTTTAAAATCATAACATTTAGCTTTGTTATATTCAGCAAAATATAAAAACTCCAATTTTCAGATATATTCTTATTATATATTTTAGGAAAATAAAAAACATATTTTCATAAACTTAGGAAGTACTTATTGAAAGAATGCTTTTTGATTTCAAAATAATTGCTTTTAAAACTGAGATTTCAAAAGGTTACATTGGCTAGGCCCAGTGGGTTATGCTTGTAATCCCAGAACTTTAGGAGGCTGAGGCAGGAAGATCACTTGAACCTAGGAGTTCAAGATCAGCCTGGGCAACATAGCAAGACCTCCTCTTTACAAAAAAATCAGAAAGAAAAGGCCAGGCGCAGTAGCTCATGCCTGTAATCCCAGCACTTTGGGAGGCTGAGACAGGTGGATCACTTGAGGTCAGGAGTTTGAGACTAGCCTGGCCAACATGGTGAGACCCCATATCTACTAAAAATACAAAAATTAGCTGGGCGTGGTGGTGTGCACCTGTAATCCCAGCTACTGAGGAGGCTGAGGCAGGAGAATCGCTTGAACCTGGGAGGTGGAGGTTGCATTGAGCTGAGATCATGCCACTGCACTCCAGCCTGGACAACAGAGTAAGACTGTCTCAAAAAAAAAAAATCTGAAAAAAAGCAGTTGGGTGTGGTGGCAGGTGACTGTGATCCTAGCTACTCAGGAGGCTGATGTGAGAGGATTGTTTGAGCCCAGGAGGTTGAGGCTGCAGTGAGCCGTGATCATGCCACTGCACTCCAGTTTGGGTGACAGAGTGAGACCTGGTCTCAAAATGAAAATAAAAATAAAAATAGAAAAAGGTTACATTGAGTTTCTTTGTTTGTTTTTGTTTATTTATTTATTTATTTATTTGAGATTGAGTCTTGCTCTGTTGCCAGACTGGAGTACAGTTGTGCCATCTCAACTTACTGCAACCTCTGCCTCCTGGGTTCAAGTGATTCTCCCATCTCAGCCTCCTGAGTAGCTGGGACTGGTTACGTTAATTTTAATGAATAGTTATGATCAATCAAACATTTAAAAAGTAAGGATAATAACTCATATTTTGTGATTGGAGTAACATTTTTCATTTTAAATTTTAAAAGCATCAAAACGAAAGCATTAAGCAATAGGCTTAATATGTTCTTACCTGTACTGTAGCTTTGGGCATCCATGCTAAAGCAATAAATATTTTCTCCTTAAAACTAAAACCAGCAAAGCACATCAATAGATATGTGGTTAAAATTCGAACACATAATGCCAAACTCAGAGTAGCAACAGATATGCCTACAACAGATGAAAACAAACATAAATAACAAAATATTTGTGAAGAAGTGTTCTTTATGCCCAGGAATATGATTTCTAAAACTTTTGAAAGCATTTTAAGGCTATTGTCTCTTCATGTGTTTAATTTTTACATAAAACAATGATAATAAAAAATGAATATGATGGAGGATTCTCTGTAAAGTGCAAGACAGTATCTGATGGTGGAGGTACCATGAAAAATAAGACAGATGACATTTATACAATTCTGAACTAATAGACTTTTTTTGAATATTTTTATTATTATTAATAATAATTTACTTTTTGAGAAGGATTCTTGCTCTGTCGCCCAGGCTGGAGTGCAGTGGTACAATCTCAGCTCACTGCAACTTCCGACTCCCGGGTTCACGTGATTCTCCTGCCTCAGCCTCCTGAGTAGCTGGGATTACAGGCGTGCACTACCACACCTGGCTAATTTTTGTATTTCTAGGAGAGATGGGGTTCCCCATGTTAGCCAGGCAGGTCTTGAACTCCTAACTTCAAGAAATCTGCCCGCTTCAGCCTCCCAAAGTGCTAAGATTACAGGCATGAGCCACCACACCCAGCCAATAGTTTTAAATGAAAGTACTCAAAAAGTGCTGATCGTATCAAATATATTCCCTCAGGAAAGAAATCTTATATTTATTTCCTTAGATAACTCAGGGAAGATATTCAGGGCTGTCCTTGGTTGGTTTAAAAAAAAAAGAGCACACAGTGTAAAGGGAGAGCAATATGAAAATATGATACTGTATCAACATGTGTTTCTGAAGAAGGTCCTTGTAGCCATTCAAAGATATATTGTAAATAAAAATAAATGTATTTATAATTTTCTTAAATATTTTTGAATTTCATATTTTTTGTGCTGTAATTATTCTTACCAAAAATATTTGATTCAAGTGATGAAACAGATACTTCTGCTCCAACTAAACCAAAAAGAAGTGGTTGAAAAATATCCCATACATTTGTAATAATCTTTTGGACTTTCATCTATAGAAAAGAGAAATACATTTATAATTATTTTGGCACATAAATATATTTCAGAAAGTTAAAGTCTCCCTCACCATTTTTTTTTTTTTCACTTTTTAAGTATTTTAGAGATGGGGTCTTGCTCTGTTGCCCAGGCTGGAGTGTAGTGGCATAATCATAGCTCACTGTAGCCTTGAACTCCTGGGCTCAAGTGATCCTCTCACAGTCTCCCAAGTAGAACTACAGTTGTGTACCACCATGCTGGGCTAATTTTTAAATTGTTTATAGAGACGGGGTCTCGCTATATTGCCCAGGATGGTCTAGAACTCCTGTCTTCAAGTGGTCTCTGGCTGTGGCCTCCCAAAGCACTGGCATTATAGACATGAGCCACCATGCCTGGCCTAAAGTCACTTAGCTTTTAATAAATTTAAGACGCTTTATTTTAATAAAAATGTTAAACTTAAATAATAAAAACTGAGCACTTCAATAGTTTTACTCAAACAGGTAGAATTTGATTAAAAGAGACTCACAAAGCAATAAAATAATACTATTTGGCCATTTTGTCACAGAATAAGTGATGTCCTTAGGGTTCTAGCCATGTTTCGTATGAGTTCCAGATTTTGTCTCTAAGTTAACTGAACAGAGATAGAACTACATCATGCCTGATGAGAACATACCGAGTTCATGCAAACATTTGGGTTCTCAGAAGGGGGTTGGGAAGCCTTCCACTAACAACCATCCTGGAACTCAATCCCATTAAAGTGAATCCTGATATATATAGCATATACTACTAGGAAAAACAATTTGGAAGTCTGTAAGGCCTGCTTCCAAAGAACCCATGTTGAATACTTTAAAGTTACTTTTTCCTTAAAACAAAACCAAAATATATATTAGATTCTCATTTAGCTGCCTACCCAGCTTCCCTTTCTGGAAACGAATGCCTCCCAGTGCTACTTCCCCAGTTAAAAGGTTACAGGAAAGGCCCCTATTGGCCTACATTACTCTGGCTCTTCTCCAGGAATTTGGATGAAGAGATTAAACCCAGTCTCAGTCTGGGTTTAATTTTTTTTTAAACAGAAGATACATAAGAACTTTGATGTCTCTTCCTTGAGGCATAAACTATCTTCATAACTATTTCCCTTATGACTGTGTTTTCTGATCCCCACTTATTATAGTTTAAAAAAAGAAAAACAAAGAAAAACGATGTTACTACTCTTTACAGCATAATTATCCTATTTGTTACTTTTAATCTTTAAAACTTGTTTTAGTTCTGTTTCTTTTACCATTTAAAAAAATTCTAGCAGTTTTAATTTTATTTATTGATTTGCATTTCATTCATTTCATTTCTTTTTTAATTATGATTATATAAGAATACTAAGCAAAATGCCACTATGATTTTTGATTAGGGAACTTCTCAAGCTGATTCTAAAATTTATCTAAGAAAGAATATGTGTAGGAACAGCCAAAAAATACTTTAAAAAGAAGAATAATCTATATTAGATTTTGACACATAAAACTGCAGTGATTTAAAACAGTGGTATTGGCATAGAAATAGAGAAGTAGGATTAAATAGACTTCAGAGTTAATATATATGGGAGAATTTAGTTCATGTTAAAAAACTGAATTATTAATGAATTGGTCAATAAATAAACAATTTGGCAAAAAATGACTGTCTAGTTTATGTGCATATATCTGTATGTACATATTCATCACATGCAAGTATATATGTGTGTCTGAATATGTATATATATTATGTGTGTGTATATATACATATATACACACACACATCAGGCATGATGTAGTACTATCTCTGTTCAGTTAACTTACAAACTGTATGTGTGTATGTGTATATATATATATATAGTTTGTAAGATACACATATGTATATATGTATAACCTTACCTTACAGCATTCACAAAGATAAATTCCAGATAGATTAAAAGACTAAATGAAAAAACAAATTAAACAAACAAAAACTACCAAAATATTAAATGATAATACACAAAATAGTATATCTTTGTAATGTTTATATGTTATAATCTTCAGTGAGAAAGTCCTTCTTAAATGAGATGCAGAATCCAAAACCAAAAAAGGAAAACCCAATAGGTTTGGTCATAGGAAATTTTACTTTCATACACCAGACACCATAAACAAAGTTGAAGATAAGCAAAAATTATATCAATATATACATAACAAAGGATCAGTAGCCCTAACACTAAGAGAAACTATAAATTAGAAACAAAAAAATAAATAACCCAATAAAAATGGTCAAAGAAGATCATAGGTATTTTAAAAAGAATATATGAAGAGAAGCTGACTATACTACCAATCAGAGAAATGTAAATAAAGAATAACAACATCACATAATTGTAAGAAACTATAAGAATTGGATGGTGAGGTCATTTAATAGTAAAAAGAATAGAACTAGTGATAATATCAAGTGCTGTTGATGAGTTAAGGTATTAGATATTTTTGTGCACTGTTGGCAGAGTGTAAATAACCAAAATTTTTGGAGGGATAATTTAGCAGTGTCCATCAAAATAAAACACAGATCATTTCCAGCCAGGTGTGGTAGCTCATGCTTGTAATCCTAGCACTTTGCAATGTCAAGTTGGGAGGATCCCTTGAGCTCAGGATTTTGAGACCAGCCTGGGCAACACAGACAGAGACTCTGTCTCAAAAAAAAAAAAAAAAAATCATGTCTGGGACTCTATTCCTACAGATGTACCTGTAATCCCAACACTTTGGGAGGCCGAGGCAGGAGTATCACCTGAGGTCAGGAGGTCAAGACCTGCCTGGCCAACATGGTGAAACCCCGTCTCTACTAAAAATACAAAAATTTGCTGGGCCTGGTGGTGCGCGCCTGTAATCCCAGCTACTAGGGAGGCTGAAATAGAAGAATCACTTGAATCCAGGAGGTGGAGGTTGCAGTGAGCCAAGATTATGCTACTGCACTCCAGCCTGGGTGACAAGAGTGAAACTGTGTCTCAAAAAAAAAAAAAAAAGACATGAACAACACTGTTTATGACAGCACTGTTTGTAAATAACAAAAAGTGGAAACGATCTTAATGTCTATAAATAGAATACTGGTTACTTAAAAAAATGTAAGGGGGTTAGATATTTGACAGTGGTAGGGAATAAAGAAATCTTTTATGTTTTATTCTATATGTTTTATGCTTTTACAAGCATTTCTATTTTTATTATTTATTTGTTTGTTTATTTTTTTGTGTGTGTGTGTGATGGAGTTTTGCACTTGTTGCCCAGGCTGGAGTGCAATGGCATGATCTCGACTCACTGCAGCCTCCACCTCCTGGGTTCAAGCAATGCTCCTGCCTCAGCCTCCTGAGTAGCTGGAATTACAGGTGCCCACCACCAAGCCACCATGCCCAGCTAATTTTTGTATTTTTAGTAGAGATGGAGTTTCAACATGTTGGCCACGCTGGTCTCAAACTCCTGACCCCAGGTGATCTGTCCACCTCGACCTCCCAAAGTCCTGGGATTACAGGCATGAGCCACCGTGCCTGGCCTTTTACAAACATTCTTCATGGATTAATTGTATAATTAAAATTTCAATGAATAAAATAATTAGATTGATATAAGTAATATAATAATATTATATAAAACTTGGGAAAAAGAGAAGCCTGATGTGATTAACTGAACTTCTGATTCCATATTAGTATATTTCTACCTGCTTTTCCTAAATATTTTATTTCCTCAATTGATTCATACACTTTCTTGAGGATAGCAAACCTTTTGGAATATTTTCCAACCAGAATGAGGGGATTTCCTAAATATATGCAAAAAAATTCAGTTGTCTTAGCTTTTAAAATATAGCATATTAAAAATATTCACCTTTTCTTGGGACCATTTTGTCCCTGCAATGAAACTCAACACTAGTGTGCATAATCCTCCAGATCCATGTAAACCAATACGTTGGCTGCCTAAGACAGCAGAAACACACGTAGTCAAAACAAGGAATCCTCTCTTCAATGTAAGTTTTTTCTAGAATTAGATAGATATTTAGAAATTAGTTTATATTAAATATATAAGATTTGACATTATCTATTATATATGTTTGACCCTTTGATATTATGTCTTTAAATGTTATATTAAATGTCTAAAATTTCGATTTTCTTTCTCACCATACATTTTAGCAGACTTACTACCAAGTAACAAAATTTCCGACTAGTAACGTTTCATCTTCTGCCACATCTCTGATACTAGTATCAGTAAAATGGTTAAAGTATTACTTTAAGTGAAGAAGAAAAGAGACCCATAAAATCTCCAGTTTCATATAACATACCCAATGAATTCTTAAAAAATATTTGAATATCTCTTTGGTCAATATGTTACAGCTAAATTTGGATGGAAATTACAGAAATACAAAAGTAATGGCATGTTTTCCTTTAAGGCAGGAAATGGCTAAGTTTGAGTGTTGCCTTTGTCAAAGGATAGCAGGAGTGAATTTCAGTCAGAAAATATGAAGAAATAAATGGGAACCTATCTCCCCCTAAAATGTTTAAGGGAAAATTTGGGGGAAATTATCAAACATCAATAGGCAATTTAGTAGAGAAAGGGAAAGTATAATTCAGAGGGATACTCTGCATTAAGTATATTTTTTGACATTCCTTATTTGCCAAATCAGGAAGCAGAGACTTTAATCAAAGCCATTGACCTGTATCAATCACTGCTGTGCTCAGTTTTAAATACAGAGTAGGCATTGGAGGCTAGTTTTAGAAAAATAGGGTTAAGTATTAAATTTCATGGATCTTACCAAAGTTTAATATTTTGAAAAAAATGTCTAATACTATACTTCTATAAAATAGATTTTGTGTTCACCTGGTCTTCACTTGGAAAATATCGAACAAAAAAATCCCAAAACAATTCCTGCCAGCAGACTAATACATACGTTCCTTATAGAGGCTATGGCGTTATTAAGCATACCACCTGTAGGGGCACACAATAAAAAAAAAAATTCACAAAGAAACATTTTCACATACACTACACATCAGAAAAACAAATCTAGGTGGTTCATGAAGAAAAGTAAGCATTTTATAGAACAAATATATGCAAATGGTCTTTTTATAATGACATGTATGAAAACATGTAGATCTATTTAGTACATTAAAAATATGCTCTCAAATAATTTAATATATACACACAACTCAGAAATGTCCATTATATAAATAGGCAAGAAAACAAAGACTTAACAAGCACAAGATGCTCCCCTTACATTAGCCAATTTAAAAGACAGAGTGAGGTAGTCCGGGTGCAGTGGCTCATGTCTGTAATCCCAGCGCTTTGGGAGGCTGAGGAGGGTGGATTACTTGAGGTCAGGAGTTGAAGACCAGCCTGGCCAACATAATGAAACCCCATCTCTACTAAAAATACAAAAATTAGGTGGGCCTGGTGGCACACAACTGTGGTCCCAGGTACTCAGGAGGCTGAGGGAGGAGAATCACTTGAACCTGGGAGGCAGAGGTTGCGTGAGCTGAGATCGTGCCACCACACTCCAGCCTGGGTGAAAGATGAAGGCTACACCTCCAAAAGAAAAAAAAAAAAAGACCAAGTGAGGTACAAGAATGGAGAGAGACCGAAACACTTGTGGCACTTAGCATATGGCTGGTAAGGGCTATATTAACAATTCTTCTTTGATGTACTATATGAAAAAGAAACAAATGATTTTAACATGAAAAGAACAATGTAATAACAACATGAAAAATTTTGTTCCAGGGTCAGTCCTAGAAACACTCAAGGGTCATTTAAGATTTCAGTGTATTTAAGTTTCTGCTTTTGGTGAAGAAAAAAGGAAAAAAAATACAAAAGATTCCAGTATATTTTATATTAATTAATATTAATATATCCATACTTGTAGTTCATTGTAATAAGTAAAAAGCAAAAAACAAAAAAACAGAATGAGTCACAAAAATAGTTCAGTTAAGCTCTGGGTAGTGGATTCAATATAGTACGTAAGTATATTTTTAGATATATTTTCTACTAAATATAACAGGCAGCGCATGGTGGGCTCACACCTTTAATCCCAGCACTTTGGGAGGCCAAGGCAGAAGGATTGCTTGAGCCCAAGAGTTGAGACCAACTTGGGCAACAGAGTGAAACCCCATCTTCACAACAAAATAAGAAATTAGCCCGGTATGTGGTGTGTGCCTATAGTCCAAGTACTCAGTAGCCTGAGGGAGGAGGTCCCTTGAGCTCAGGAGTTCGAGGCTGCACTCTAGCCTGGCTGACAGAGTAAGATCCTGTCTCAAGAAAATAAAATATAATAAAAATAAAAAATAATATAAACAGAGTGATGTCAGCCAGGTGGTGGAATGGGAAGCTCCAAACCTTGATTCTCCATAAAGATACCAACTGAAAAACTACATATGGTCTAAAAGCCTTTATGGAGTTCCATAAACCATTAAGAAGTTGTAGTAGCACAGACAAGTGCAAAGCCAAGAATAGTGGCATTGAACAAATAAGAAAAGCTGTTGCATTATACTCATGATACCCCTTCCCCAAGCTCGAACAGGTTGGTTTGGCTGGGAAGCACTGAACTTGCAGCTTCTCCGTTAGCAGGGAAAGAGAAGACTGGAATGGAATAGTTTTATGAGGTTACCTGAAGCTCTCTCTCTCTCTAACTTGACGCCCAACTGGCATACTTTGGATGCATGGGAGCCACTGGGAATAAAGGAGAGGTCAGAGATGATGCAGCACCAGGGAACCTGCAGTACCACAGACAGATACCAGAGGGAGCAACAGCTCCAGAAAAAGAAACTGGCAAACCTCTACTTGGGATGTTGCAATGTATAAACCCAAAGAAGATGCATTCCCAGAAAAAGTTTGAGAGGCTGCTGGAACCTATAGCCATGCTGATTCAGGTATGAAGGTCTTCCATATGAAGCCAGCTGAGAAAAACTGGGATAAGTGGCAGTTTTTTCAAACACCCAAATCTGGGCAAAAATAAATAAAAAATAACAAGACATAAGAAGAAACAGAGAAACCCGATGACTAAATTAAAGGAGCAAAATAAATCTCCAGAAACCAACCCTAAAGGAATAGATAAATGAGTTACCTGACAAAGAATCCAAATTAACTCTCTTAATGAAGCCCAGTGACAACAGAAATAGACAACTAAGTGAAAGCAGGAAATAATTCAGAACAAAATGAAAATATTAACAGAGATAGAAACTAAAAAAAAAAAAAAAGGAACCATACAGAGACTCTGGAGCTAAGGAATGCAATAGCTCAATTGAAAAATTCACTATCGGAAATCATCAATAGACTGTGTAACTGCCCAATGGGTTCACCTCATGCCCTGCTTAGACAGAGCTGATTTATCAAGACAGGGGAATTGCAATGGAGAAAGAGTAATTCAGGTAGAGCCGGCTGTGCGGGAGATCAGAGTTTTATTATTCCTCAAATCAGTCTCCCTGAGCATTCGGGGATCAGAACTTTTAAAGATAATTTGGCAGGTAGGGGCTTGGGAAGTGGGGACTGCTTATTCATCAGGTTGGAGATGAAATCATACAGGGTTGAAGTGATGTTTTCTTGCTGTCTTCTGTTTGTGGGTGGGGTGGCAGAACTAGTTGAGCCATATTACCAGTCTGGGTGGTGTCAGCTGATTCATCCAGTGCAGGGTCTGCAAAATATCTCAAGCACTGATTTTAGGTTTTACAATAGTGATGTTATCCCCAGGAGCAATTTGGAGAGGTTCAGACTCTTGGAGCCAAGGCTGCATAACCCCTCAACTGTAATTTCTAATGTTGTAGCTAATTTGTTTATCCTGCAAAGGCAAACTGGTTCCAGGCAAGAAGGGGATCTTTTTGGGAAATGGCTATTATCAACTTTGTTTCAGAGTCAAACCATGAACTGAATATCTTCCCAAAATTAGTTCATCCTACTGCCAGGAATGAACAAGGACAGTTTAAACGCTAGAAGCAAGATGCAGTTGATTAAGTCTGATGTCTTTTGCTGTCATAATTTCTTCAGTTATAATTTTTGCAAAGGCAGTTTCAATAACATCAAGCAGAAGAAAGAATCAGTGAAATGGAAGACTAGTCATTTGAAATTATGGAGTCAGAGGAGCAAAAGGGAAAAGGAGTGAAGAGTGAAGACAGCCTAAGAGACTTACAGGATGCCATCAAGCAGACCAATGTATGCATTATGAAAGTGCCAGAAGGAGAAGAGAAAAATAAAGGGGCAGAGAGCCAGTTAAAAAAATAATGACCAAAAACTTCTCAAACTTAAAGAAGGAAATGGACATACAAATCCAAGAGGCTCAAAGAACTCCAAGTTGGATAATTTGCAAAAGACCTACAATGAGACACATTACAATCAAACTGTCAAAAGTCAAAGACAAAGAGAGAATTTTGAAAGGAACAGGATCAAAGCAACTTGTCACATACAAGGGAGATGCCATATGGTTATCAATGGAATTCTCAGCAAAAACTCTACAGGCCAGAAGAGAATGGGATGATATATTAAAAGGGCTGAAAGAAAAAAAAAAAACTGTCAGCCAAGAACTGTATAGCCAGTAAAACTGTATTTCAAAAATGAAAGACAAACAAAGAGTTCCCCAGAGAAGTAAAAGGTGAGGGAGTTGATCACCACTAGACCTACCTTACAAAACATGTTAAAGGGAGTCCTCCAAGTGGAAATGAAAAGGCATTGGATAGAAATGCAAAAGCATACAAAATATAAACTTCTTTGGTAAAGGTAAATATATGAGTGAACATAGAATCCTTTAATACCCTAATGGTGGTAAGCAAAACACTTTTTTTCCTTTACTTTTTTTTTTTGAGACAAAGTCTTGCTCTGTTGCCCAGGCTGGAGTGCAGTGGTTTGATCACGGCTCACTGCAGCCTTGCAGTCCTGGGCTAAAGTAATCCTCCCACCTCAGCCTCCCGAGTGGCTGGGACTACAGACATGCACCACCACACTCAGATAATATTTTTAAATTTTTAGCAGAGATAAGGCCTTGCTGGTCTCAAACTCCTAGGATCAAGTGATCCTCCCATTTGGCCTCTCAAAGTGCTGGGACTACAGGTATGAGACACCACACCCAGCCTGTAATTCACTTTTAATTGAAGCATAGAATTTAAAAGGTAAAAGCATAATATTACTGTATTAAATGATGTGAATAAACAATATAAAATATATAGTGTGACATTGATAACAAAGTGAGAAGGAGGTGTAAAGACGTAGAGTTTTTGTATGTGATTAAAGTTAAGTTGTTGTCAATTTAAAATAGATTATTATAACTATAAGATGTTTTCATGTAATTCTACAGTAACCACAAAGAAAAGACCTACAGAAGATACACAAATAAAAATGAGAAAGGAACCAAAGCAAGTCCCTACCAAAAAAAGAAATCAGTGAAACATAAAGGGAGGCAGAAAGAGAGGAAAAGTGGAAAAAAATATCTGCAAGACATGTATAAAACAATGAACAAAATGACAATAGTAAGCCCCTCCCTATCAGTAACTACTTTAAATGCAAATAGGCTAATTTTCCAATCAAAAGACAGAGAATTGGCCGAATGGATTAAAAAAATCTAAATATATACTATATGCAAGAGACTTATGTTAGATCTAAATATGCACAAAGGTTGAAAGTGAAAAGATGGAAAAAGATATTCAATGCCTTTGGTAACCAAAAGAGAACAAGGATGGCCATACTTAGACAAAATAGAGTTTAAGTCAAATAATAGCACAAGAGACAAGGATATTACATAATAATAAAACGGCCAATTGACCAAGAAGATATAGCAATTATAAATGTATATGCAACTAACAGTACAGCATCTAAATGTATGAAGCTAACATAGACAGAATTGAGGGGTAACATAGATAACAACATCATAATAACAGAAAACTTCAATATTCCACTTTCAATTATGGATACAATAACCAGACAGATCAACTGGAAAACACAGAACTTGAACAACATTGTAGACCAATTGGACCTGTCTGACATATACAGAACACTTCACCCAATAATAGCAAAATATGCTTTCTTCTCAAGTACATACCAAGACTTTTCCAGCATAGATGGCATGCTAGTCCACAAACAAGTTTTTAAAAATTTAAGAAAACTGAACTCATACCAAATATCTTTTCTGACCACATTAAATGAAATTACAAATTCATAGCAGAAGGAAAAAGGAAAAGTAATAAATATGTGGAAATTACAAAAATATACTCTCTTAACCAATTGGCCTGTGTGGTTAATATTAATTGTCAATTTGATTGAGGGATGCTTAGATGCCTGATGAAGCACTGTGTGTGGGTATATCTGTGAGGGTGCTGCCACAGGAGAATGATGGATGAGTTAGTGGACTGAGAGAGAAAAACCCATCCTCACTGTGGGTAGGCATCATGCAATTGGTTGCAAGTGTGACTAGAACAAAAAGGCAGAAGAATGGGAACATTCAGCTTGCTTGGATTTCTTTTTTATGCACTTTCTCTCCCTTCCAGAGCAGTAAGCCTTTTTCTCCTCTTGCCCTTGCACATCAAACTCTAGGTTCTTTGGCCTTTGGACCCTGGAACTTACATCAGCAGCCTTTTGGGAGCTCTCAGGCCTTGGGCCTCAGACTAGTGGCTGCACTGTCAGCTTCCCTGGTTTTGAGACTTTCAGATTTGGACTGAGCCATGTCACTGGCTTCCTTGGGAGCCATGCTGTAGGCTTCTCTCATTTTCCAGCTTATAGATGGCCTATTGTGGGACTTTGCCTTTGTAATTATGTGAGCCAATTCTCCTTAATAAATTATATTTCATATATATGTAAATATATTCTCTTTTAGATGCATGTATATGTATCTATATCTATTATCTATATCTATATCTATATCTATATTTCCTATTAGATCTGACCCTCTGGAGAACTCTGATTAATACATAGTCAAAGAATAAGTCACAAGGAAAATTGGAAAATGTCTTGAGACAAATAAAAATGGAAACACAACATTCCAAAGCTTGTGGGATGCAGCAAAATTAATATGAAGAGGACAGTTTATATATCTAACTACCTACCTTAAAAAAGAAGATCTAAAATCAGCAACTTAGCTTTACACCTCAAGAAACTGGAAAAAGAAGAACTCAACCCAATGTTAGCAAAAGGAAGGAAATAATAAAGTCTAGAGCAGAAGGCCGGGTGCAGTGGCTCACGACTGTAATCCGAGCACTTTGGGAGGCCGAGTCAGGTGGATCACCTGACGTTGGGAGTTCGAGACAAGCCTCAGCAACATGGAGAAACCTGTCTCTACTAAAAAATACAAAATTAGCCGGGCATGGTGGTGCATGCCTGTAATCCCAGCTACTCTGGAGGCTGAGGCGGGAGAGTCACTTGAACTGGGAGGCGGAGGTTGCAGCGAGCGGCGATCACGCCTTTGCACTACAGCCTGGGCAATAAGAGCGAAACTCCTTCTCAAAAAAAAAAAGGCTAGAGAATAGAAAAAAAACCCAATGAAACTAGTAGTTGTTTCAAAGTTCAACAAAACTGACAAATCATTATCTAGAATATTTAAGAAAAAAAATAAAGAAGACTCAACTTCTTTTAGGATCAAAGAGAAGACACTGCAACAGATATTACAGAAATAAAAAGGATTCTAAGAGTCTACTATGAATGATTATATACTGACAAGTTGGATAACCTAGGAGAAATGAACAGATTCCTAGTAACATGCAAGTTACGAAGACTAAGTCACAAAATAAAAAATCTTAATAAACCTATAACTAGTAACTGAATCAGGAATCAAAAACCTCCCAGCAAACCAAATACCTGATAAGGGGTTAATATCTAAAATATTTACAGAACAACAACTCAATAACAAAACAACCTAAATGGGAAATGGTCAGTTGACTTTGCTATGGTCCAAATGTTCTCCCAATATTCATATGCTGGAGCCTAATATTCAATGTGATAATATTAAGAGGTGGGGCATTTTGGAGATGATTAGTTCATGAAGTCATAGCCCTCAGAAATGGGACTAGGGCCTTTATAAAAGAGGCTTAAGGGAGTTTGTTTTCCCTTTTGAACATGTGAGGACACAGAGAAGGTGCTATGTATAGTGAATATAGTGACCTCACCAGTCACTGAGTCTGTTGTAGCCTAAATCTTGGACTTCTCACACTCCAGAACGCAATAAATAAATTTCTGTTGTTTATAAATTACCAGCCTAAGGTGTTTTGTTATAGCAGCAGGAGTGGACTAAGATAGACTTGAATAGACATTTTTTCCAAAAAAAAAATACAAATGGCCAACTAGCATATCAACCCAACACTACATGGAAGCTGCCAAGGCTTGGGGATTGAACTCTGAAGCAATAGCCTGAGCTGCACGTTGGCTCCTTTTAACCATGGCTGGGACACAGGACACCAAGTCCCAAGACTGCACAGAGCAGCAAAGTTCTGGGCCTGGCCCACAAAACCATTTTTTCCCTCCTAGGCCTCCAACTCTGTGACGGGAGGGGCTGTCATGAAGAACTCTGACATGCCCTGGAGACAATTTCCCCATTATCTTGTCAATCAACATTTGGCTCCTTGTTACTTCTGCAAATTTCTGCAGTCAGCTTGAATTTCTCCCCAGAAAATGGGTTTTCTTTTCTATCACATCATCAGGCTGCAAATCTTCCAAACTTTTATGCTCAGCTCCCTTTTAAACATAAGTTCTAATTCAAAACCATATTTTTGTGAATGCATAAAACTGCACACTTTTAAGAGCACTCAGGTCATAAATTGAACACTTTGCTGCTTACAAATTTCTTCTACCAGATGTCCTGGATGAGTTCCAAGATGGCCAAATAGGAACAGTTCCGGTCTGCAGCTCCCAGCATGATCGACAGAGAAGATGGGTGATTTCTGCACTTCCAACTGAGGTAACTGGTTCATCTCATTGGGACTGGTTGGAGAGTGGGTGCAGGCCCACAGAGGGTGAGCTGAAGCAGGATGGGGCGTCGCCTCACCTGGGAAGCACAAGGGGTTGGGGGATTTCCCTTACCTAGCCAAGGGAAGCTGTGACAGACTACCTGGAAAAACAGGGCACTCCCGCCCAAATACTGCACTTTTCCCAAGGTCTTAGCAACTAGCAGACAAGGTGATTCTCTCCTGTGCCTGGCTCAGTGGGTCCCACACCCATGGAGCCTTGCTCACTGCTAGCGAAACAGTCTGAAATCCATCTGCGAGGTGGCAGCCTGGCTGGGGGAGGGGCGTCCACCATTGCTGAGGCTTAAGTAGGTAAACAAAGCGGCCAGGGAAGCCTGAACTGGGTGGAGCCCACCACAGCTTGACAAGGCCCGTTGCCTCTAGACTCCACGTCTGTGGGTGGGGATAGCTGAACAAAAGGCAGCAACTTCTGCAGACTTAAATATCCCTGTCTGACAGCTCTGAAGAGAGCAGTGGTTTTCCCAGCATGGCGTTTGAGTTCTGAGAATGGACAGACTGCCTCCTCAAGTGGGTCCCTGACCCCTGTGTAGCCTAACTGGGACACACCTCCCAGTAGGAGCTGACAGACACCTCATATAGGCGGCTGCCCCTCTTGGACGAAGCTTCCAGACGAAGGATCAGGCAGCAATATTTGCTGTTCTGCAATATTTGCTGTTTTGCAGCCTCCACTGGTGATACCGAGGCAAACAGTGTCTGGAGTGGAACTCCAGCAAACTCCAACAGATCTGCAGCTGAGGGTCCTGACTGTTAGAAGGAAAACTAAAAAACAGAAAGGAATAGTGTCAACATTAACAAAAGATCATCTACACCAAAACCCCATCTGTAGGTCAACAATATCAAAGACCAAAGGTAGATAAAACCAAAAGGATGGGGATAAACCAGAGCACAAAAGCTGAAAATACTAAAAATCAGAGCACCTCTTCTCCTCCAAAGGATCACAGCTCCTTGTCAGCAATGGAACAAAGCTGGACGGAGAATGACTTTGACGAGTTGACAGAAGTAGGCTTCAGAAGGTTGGTAATAACAAACGTCTCCAAGCTAAAGGAGGATGTTGGAACCCATTGCAAGGAAGCTAAAAACCTTGAAAAAAGATTAGACGAATGGCTTACAAGAATAAACAGTGTAGAGAGGACCTTAAGTGACCCAATGGAGCTGAAAACCATGGCACGAGAACTTTGTGACGCATGCACAAGCTTCAATAGCCAATTCAATCAAGTGGAAGAAAGGGTATCAGTGATTGAAGATCAAATAAATGAAATAAAGTGAGAAGACAAGGTTAGAGAAACAAGAGTAAAAAGAAATGAAGAAAGCCTCCAAGAAATATGGGACCATGTGCAAAGACCAAATATATATTTGATTGGTGTACCAGAAAGTGATGAGGAGAATGGAACCAAGTTGGAAAACACTCTTCAGGATATTATCCAGGAGAACTTCCCCAACCTAGCAAGGCAGGCCAACATTCAACTTCAGGAAATACAGAGAACAACACAAAGATACTCTTTGAGAGGAGTGATTCCAAGACACATAATTGTCAGATTCACCAAGGTTGAAGTGTAGGAAAAAGTGTTAAGGGCAGCCAGAGAGAAAGGTCAGGTTAGCCACAAAGGGAAGCCCATCAGACTAACAGCTGATCTCTTGGCGGAAACCCTACAATCCAGAAGAGAGTGGGGGCCAATATTCAACATTCTTAAAGAAAATAATTTTCAATCCAGAGTTTCATATCCAGCCAAACTAAGATTCATAAGTGAAAGAGAAAATAAAATTCTTTACTGACAAGCAAATGTTGAGAGATTTTGTCACCACCAGGCCTGCCTTACAAGAGCTCCTGAGGGAAGCACTAAACATGGAAAGAAACACCCGGTAACAGCCAGTGCAAAAACATGCCAAGTTGTAAAGACCATCAATGCTAGGAAGAAACTGCATCAATTAACAGGCATATAACCAGCGAATATCATAATGACAGGATCAAATTCACACATAACAATATTAACTGTAAACGTAAATGGGCTAAATGCCCCAATTAAAGGACACAGACTGGCAAATGGGATAAAGAGTCAAGATCCATCAGTGTGCTGTATTCAGGAGACCCATCTCATGCGCAAAATCACACATAGGCTCAAAATAAAGGGATGGAGGAAGATCTACCAAGAAAATGGAAAACAAAAAAAGGCAGGGGTTGCAATCCTTGTCTCTGATAAAACAAACTTTAAACCAACAAAGATCAAAAGAGACAAAGAAGGCCATTACATAATGGTAAAAGGATCAATGCAACAAGAAGAGCTAACTATCCTAAATATATATGCACCCAATACAAGAGCACCCAGATTCATAAAGCAAGTCCTTAGAGACCTACAAAGAGACTTAGACTCCCACACAATAATAATGGGAGACTTTAACACCCAACTGTCAGTATTAGAAAGATCAAGACAGAAGGTTAACAAAGATATACTGGACCTGAACTCAGCTCTGCAACAAATAGACCCAATAGACATCCACAGAACTCTCCACCCCAAATCAACAGAGTATACATTCTTCTCAGCACCACATCTCACTTATTCTAAATTTGACCACATAATTGGAAGTAAAGCACTCCTCACCAAATGTAAAAGAACAGAAATCACAACAAACTGTCTCTCAGACCACAGTGCAATCAAATTCGAACTTAGGATTAAGAAGCTCACTCAAAACTGAACAACTACATGGAAACTGAACAATTTGCTCCTGACTAACTACTGGGTAAATAAAAAAATGAAGGCAGAAATAAAGATGTTCTTTGAAACCAATGAGAACAAAGACACAATGTACCAGAATCTCTGGGACACATTTAAAGCAGTGTGTAGGGGGAAATTTATAGCACTAAATGTCCAGAAGAGAAAGCAGGAAAGATCTAAAATTGACCCCCTAACATCACAATTAAAAGAACTAGAGAAGCAAGAGCAAACACATTCAAAAGCTGAGAGAAGGCAAAAAATAAGATCAGAGCAGAGCTGAAGGAGACAGAGACACAAAAAAACCCTTCAAAAAAGCAATGAATCCAGGAGCTGGTTTTTTGAAAAGATCAACAAAATTGATAGACTGTTAGCAAGACTAATAAAGAAGAAAAGAGAGAGGAATCAAATAGATGCAATAAAAATGATAAAGGGGATATCACCACTGAGCCCAGGGAAATAAAAACTACCATCAGAGAATACTATAAACACCTCTACACAAATAAACTTGAACATCTAGAAGAAATGGATAAATTCTGGGACACATACACCCTTGCAAGACTAAACCAGGAAGAAGTTGAATCTCTGAATAGTTCAATAACAGGCTCTGAAATTGAGGCAATAATTAATAGCCTACCAACCAAAAAAAAGTCCAGGACCAGATGGATTCACAGCTGAGTTCTACCAGAGGTACAAAGAGGAGATGGTACCATTCTTTCTGAAACTTTTCCAATCAATAGAAAAAGACAGAATCCTCCCTAATTCATTTTATGAGGCCAACATCATCCTGATACCAAAGCCTGACAGAGACACAACAACAAAAAGAGAGAATTTTAGACCAATATCCCTGATGAACATTGATGCAAATATCCTCAATAAGATACTAACAAACTGAATCCAGCAGCACATCAAAAAGCTTATCCACCATGATCAAGTTGGCATCCCTAGCGTGCAAGACTGGTTCAACATATGCAAATCAATAAATGTAATCCAGCATATAAACAGAACCAAAGACAAAAAACACATGATTATCTTAACAGATGCAGAAAAAGCCTTTGACAAAATTCAACAGCCCTTCATGCTAAGAACTCTCAATAAACTAGGTATTGATGGGACGTATCTCAAATAATAAGAGCTATTTATGACAAACCCACAGCCAATATCATACTGAATGGACAATAACTGGAAGCATTCCCTTTGAAACCTGGCACAAGACAAGGATTCCCTCTCTCACCACTCCTATTCAACATAGTCTTGGAAGTTCTGGCCAGGGCAATCAGGCAAGAGAATGAAATAAAGGGTATTCAATTAGGAAAAGAGGAAGTCAAATTGTGCCTGTCTGCAGATGACATGATTGTATATTTACAAAACCCCATCATCGCAGCCCAAAATCTCCTTAAGCTGATAAGCAACTTCAGCAAAGTCTCAGGATACAAAATCAATGTGCAAAAATCACAAGCATTCCTATACACCAATAACAGACAAACAGAGAGCCAAATCATGAGTGAACTCCCATTCACAATTGCTTCAAAGAGAATAAAATACCTAGGAATCCAACTTACAAGGGACGTGAAGGACCTCTTCAAGGAGAACTACAAACCACTGCTCAGCAAAATAAAAGAGGACACAAACAAATGGAAGAACATTCCATGCTCATGGATAGGAAGAATCAATATCATGAAAATGACCATACAGCCAAAGGTAATTTATAGATTCAATGCCTTCCCCATCAAGATACCAATGACTTTCTTCACAGAATTGGAAAAAACAACTTTAAAGTTCATATGGAACCAAAAAAGAACCTGCATTGCCAAGTCAATCCTAAGCAAAAAGAACAAAGCTGGAGGCATCACACTACCTGACTTCAAACTACACTACAAGGCTACAGTCACCAAAACAGCATGGTACTGGTGCCAAAACAGAGATACAGACCAATGAAACAGAATAGAGCCCTCGGAAATAATACCACACATCTACAACCATCTGATCTTTGACATAAACAAGAAATGGGGAAAGGATTCCCTATTTAATAAACGGTGCTGGGAAAACTGGCTAGCCATATGTGGAAAGCTGAAACTGGATCCCTTCCTTACACCTTATATAAAAATTAATTCAAGATGGATTAAAGACTTAAATGTCAAACCTAAAACCATAAAAACCCTAGAAGAATACCTAGGCAATACCATTCAGGACATAGTCATGGGCAAGGAATTCATGACTAAAACACCAATAGCAATGGCAACAAAAGCCAAAATTGACAAATGAGATCTAATTAAATTCAAGAGCTTCTGCACAGCAAAAGAAACTACCATCAGAGTGAACAGACAACCTACAGAATGGGAGAAAATTTTTACAATCTACCCATCTGACAAAGGGCTAATATCCAGAATCTACAAAGAACTTAAACAAATTTATATGAAAAAATCAAACTACCCCATCAAAAAGTGGACAAAGGGTATGAACAGACACTTCTCAAAAGAAGACATCTATGCAGCCAACAGACACATGAAAAAATGCTCATCATCACTGGCCATCAGAGAAATGCAAATCAAAACCACAGTGAGATACCATCTCACACCAATTAGAATGGCGATCATTAAAAGGTCAGGAAACAACAGGTGCTGGAGAGGATATGGAGAAATAGGAACACTTTTACACTGTTGGTGGGAGTGTAAACTAGTTCAATCATTGTAGAAGACAGTGTGGCAATTCCTCAAGGATCTAGAACTAGAAATACCATTTCACCCAGCCATCCTATTACTGGGCATACACCCAAAGGATTGTAAATCATGCTGCTATAAAGACACATGCACACGTATGTTTATTGCGGCACTATTCACAATAGCAAAGACTTGGAGCCAACCTAAATGTCCATCAATGATAGACTGGATTAAGAAAATGTGGCACATATACACCATGGAATACTATGCAGCCATAAAAAGGATGAGTTCATGTCCTTTGTAAGGACATGGATGAAGCTAGAAACCATCATTCTGAGAAAACTATTGCAAGGACAGAAAACTAAACACCACATGTTCTCACTCATAGGTGGGAATTGAACAATGAGAACATTTGGACACAGGGTGGGGAACATCACATGCTGGGGCCTGTCATGGAGTGGGGTGAGGGGGGGATAGCATTAGGAGATATATCTAATGTAAATGACGAGTTAATGGGTGCAGCACACCAACATGACACATATATACATATGTAACAAACCGGCACATTGTGCACATGTACCCTAGAACTTAAAGTATAGTAATAGAAAAACTATGATACTCTCCTACATACCATATCTGTACAAAAATTATAAATTTTAGATAACCATCCAGAGATATTTCTCTAATTCTTGGAAAAAATATCAACATTGAAAACATCAAAAAAATTAAACAGTTCTTTTTTCGTCCAAAAAACAAAAAAAGAACAATAGGTAATCCTCCCTAACTCATTTTATGAGGCCAGCATCATCCTGATACCAAAGTCTGGCAGAGATACAACAAAAAAAGATAATTTTAGACCAATATCCTTGATGAACATCGATGCAAAAATCCTCAATAAAATACTGGCAAACCAAATCCAGCAACACATCAAAAAGCTTATCCACCACGATCAAGTGGGCTTCATCCCTGGGATGCAAGGCTGGTTCAACATATGCAAATCAATAAACGTAATCCATTACATAAACAGAACCAAAGACAAAAACCACATGATTATCTCAATAGATGCAGAAAAGACCTTCGACAAAATTCAACACTCCTTCATGCTAAAAACTCTCAATAAATTAGGTATTGATGGGACGTATCTCAAAATAATAAGAGCTATTTATTACAAACCCACAGCCAATATCATACTGAATGGGCAAAAACTGGAAGCATTCCTTTTGAAAACTGGCGCAAGAGAAGGATGCCCTCTCTCACCATTCTTATTCAACATGGTGTTGGAAGTTCTGACCACTGGAATCAGGCAGGAGAAAGAAATAAATGGTATTCAGTTAGGAAAAGATGAAGTCAAATTGTCCCTGTTTGCAGATGACATGTTTGCATATTTAGAAAACCCCACCGTCTCAGCCCAAAATCTCCTTAAGCTGATAAGCAACTTCAGCAAAGTCTCAGGATACAAAATCAATGTGCAAAAATCACAAGCATTCCTATACACCATTAATAGACAAACAGAGAGCCAAATCATGAGTGAACTCCCATTCACAATTGCTACAAAGAGAATAAAATACCTAGGAATCCAACTTACAAGGGACGAGAAGGACCTCTTCCAAGAGAACTACAAACCACTGCTTAACGAATTAAAAGAGGACACAAACAAATGCAAGAGTATTCCACGCTCATGGATAGGAAGAATCAATATCATGAAAATGGCCATACTGCACAAAGTAATTTATAGATTCAATACCATCCCCATCAAGCTACTAATGACTTTCTTCACAGAATTGGAAAAAAAACTACTTTAAATTTCATATGGAACCAAAGAAGAGCCTGCATTGCCAAGATAATCCTAAGCAAAAAGAACAAAGCTGGAGGCATCACACTACCTGACTTCAAACTATACTACAAGGCTACAGTAACCAAAACAGCATGGTACTGGTGCCAAAACAGATATATAGACCAATGGAACAGAACAGAGGCCTCAGAAATAAGACCACACACAACTACAGCCATCTGATCTTTGACAAACCTGACAAAAACAAGAAATGGGGAAAGGATTGCCTATTTAATAAATGATGCTGGGAAAACTGGCTAGCCATATGTAGAAAGCTGAAACTGGATACCTTCCTTACATCTTATACAAAAATTAATTCAAGATGGATTAAAGACTTAAATGTTAGACCTAAAACCATAAAAACCCTAGAAGAAAACCTAGGAAATACCATTCAGGCCATAGGCATGAGCAAGGACTTCATGACTAAAACACGAAAAGCAATGGCAACAAAAGCCAAAATTGACAAATGGGATCTAATTAAACTAAAGAGCTTCTACACGGCAAAAGAAACTGCTATCAGAGTGAACCAGGCAACATACAGAATGGGAGATAAATTGCAATCTACCCATTTGACAAAGAAAGAATTCAAACAAATTTACAAGAAAAAAACAACCCCATCAAAAAGTGGGCAAAGATATGAATAGACACTTCTCCAAAGAAGACATCTATGCAGCTAACAGACACAAGAAAAAAAGGTCATCATCACTGGTCATCAGAGAAATGCAAATCAAAACCACAATGAGATACCATCTCACCCCAGTTAGAATGACAATCATTAAAAAGTCAGGAAACAACAGATGCTGGAGAGGATATGGAGAAATAGGAAAGCTTTTACACTGTTGGTGGGAGTGTAAACTAGTTCAACCATTGTGAAAGACATTGTGGTGATTCCTCCAGGATCTAGAACTAGAATTACCATTTGACCCAGCAATCCCATTACTGGGTATATACCCAAAGGATTATAAATCAAGCTACTATAAAGACACATGCACATGTATGTTTATTGCGGCACTATTCACAATAGCAAAGACTTGGAACCAACCCAAACGTCCATTAATGATGGACTGGATTAAGACATGTGACACATATACACCATGGAATACTATGCAGCCATAAAAAATGATGAGTTTATATCCTTTGCAGGGAGATAGATGAAGCTGGAAACCATCATTCTCAGCAAAACTATCACAAGGACAGAAAACCAAACACCGCATGTTCTCACTCATAGATGGGAATTGAACAATGAGATCACTTGGACACAGGGCTGAGAACATCACACACTGGGGCCTGTTGGGGGGTGGTGGGCTGGGGGAGGGAGAGCATTAGGAGAAATACCTAATGTAAATGATGAGTTGATGGGTGCAGCAAACCAACATGGCACATGTATACCTATGTATCAAACCTGCACGTTGTGCACATGTACCCTAGAACTTAAGGTATAACAACAACAACAACAGTTTCTTCTACCAGATGTCCTCAGTCATCTCTCTCAATTTCAAAGTTCCATAAATCTGTAGGGCAGGGGCAAAATGCCACCAGTCTCTTTGCTAAAGCATAGCAAGAGTGACCTTTACTTCAGTTCCCAACAAGTTGTTCATCTCCATCTCGGACCTCCTCAGCCTGGACTTCACTGTCCAAGTCACTATCAGCGGTTTGGTCAAAGCCATTCAACAAGTCTCTAGGCAGTTCCAAACTTTCCCACATCTTCTGGTCTTCTTCTGAGTCCTCCCAACTGTTCCAAACTCTGCACATTACACACTTCCAAAGTCACTTCCACATTCTCAGGTATCTTATAGCAATATTCCATTACCTCAGTATCAAAATCTGTATTAGTCATGGTTCTTTAGAGGGATAGAACTAATAGTATATATATATATGAAAGGGAGTTTATTAAAGAGAATTGAATCACACCATCACAAAGTGAAGTCCTACAACAGGCCGTCTGCAAGTTGAGGAGCAAGGAATCTAGTATTGGCTCAGTCCGAGAACCAACACCTCAAAAGTAGGGAAACCGACAGGCCAGCTTTGAGTCTCTGGATGAAGGCCTGAGAACCCCTGGAAAACAACTGGAGTAAGTCCAAGAGTCCAAAAGCCAAAGAACCTGGAGTCTGATATTTGAGTGCAGGAAGCATCCAGCATGGGAGAAAGATGAGGGCCAGAAGGCTCAGCAAGTCAGCTTCTCCTAACCTTCTTCTGCCTGCTTTATTCTAGCCATGCTGGCAGCTGATTGTATGGTGCCCACCCACATTGAGGGTGGATCTGCCTTTCCCAGTCCACTAAATAAATGTTAATCTCCTTTGGCAACACCCTCACAGACACAACCGGGAACAATACTTTGGATCCTTCAATCCAATCAAGTTGACACTTACTTCATATTAACCTTCACAATGTAATATTCATCCCATTTGTAATTTTTCTTTAATATACAAGCTCCTTGAGAACATGCACCATTTGATCTTGTCTCTCTGTTGTGTTGGGCGGCAGTGGAGAAGAGAAGAGTTAAATGTGTGGGTGTGGAATGAGACTGTCAGATCTGCATCTTGGCTCCCCTACTTATTGGATCTCTGTCCTTGAGTAAATTACTTAACATCTTTCTCAGTTTCCTTACCTGTAAATGAGTGGTGACATATATGGAACGTAGAACAAGAGCCAAGCAAGTATTCAGTAAAAGCTGATGTTGTTGCCTACCGTTTATTCTCAGTGTTTGGCATAGTAGCCGGCAAAAGGAAGAGGATTTTTTTTTCTTTTTTTCAGACAGTCTCCCCCTGTCAACCAGGCTGGAGGGCAGTGGTGTGATCTTGGCTCACTGCAACCTCTGCCTCTTGGGTTCAAGCGATTCTTCTGCCTCAGCCCCCTGAGTAGCTGTGATTACAGGCCTGTGCCACCACACCCAGCTAACATTTTGTATTTTTAGTAGAGATGGAGCTTTGCTATGTTGGCCAGGCTGGTCTTGAACTCATGTCCTCAAGTGATCCCCCCGCTTTGGCCTCCCAAAGTGTTGGGATTATAGGCGTGAGCCATTGGGCCCAGCCTGGAAATATTTTTTTGAAACATAACTGATAACAATATTTTTTGAAAGAATGACAGATACCAATCATGAAGGAAAAGATTTTCACAATTGACAATAAAAAACTTTAAGCTCTGAATGGTAAAAAGTGAGAAAATTAAAAGCCAAATTACAAATTGAAAAAACTAAAGTATATAAAACAAAGGTTTTCATTCTCAATTTGATGCAGAATCTTGACAAATCAAAAAGAACAAAAGGTGAACCCACCTAAAAGAAATAGGCAAAAAACTTTCAAGAAAAGCAGTTTACAAAATGCCAATGACTAATAAACATGGATATTTAACATCACTAGTATTCAAAGTACTTCATTTATAGAGATCCCTCCTTCACCTATCAAATTAGCAAAGATGAAAAAGGCTAGTAATACCAAGTTTTGAAGAGAGGTGAGAGGAAATGACAAGTTTATGTACCTTGGTAGGACATGATATTGTGGCAATATGTTTCAGAATACTCATAAATGTATATACCTTTTAGATCAACAATTACACTTTTAGGCTTAAGAAAATATGAAAATTAGGTACAAATATTTCTCTATATGTTCAACTAAGTATTATTTTTTTAATTAAAAAAAAATTTTTTGAGACAGAGTCTCGCTCTGTTGCCCAGGCTGGATAGCTCACTACAGCCTCTGCCTCCTGGGTTCAAGTGATTCTTCTGCTTCATGCTCCTGAGTAGCTGGGATTACAGATGCCCACCACCATGCCCGGCTAAGTTTTGTATTTTTAGTGGAGACGGGGTTTCACCATGTTGGTTGGCCAGGCTGGTCTTGAACTCCTGACCTCAAGTGATCCACCCTTCTTGGCCTCCCAAAGTGCTGGGGTTATAGGTGTGAGCCACCCATGCCCGGCCAATTTTTTAATTTAAAAAATATTTTTATAGCAGCCCAACTAAGTATTATTTTAATAGTAAATATTGGAGTTAACTTTAATTTTGAACAGGATAAGTAATCATGATGCAGCACATTGAATACTCTTTCATTAAGCTAAACAACTATTAAAAATGATTTACAAATACATTTACTGAAAAGAAACATGTTTGTGATATACAGTTAAGTGTAAAACAATTCAGGTTATAAGAACATATTAGGCCGGGTGCGATGGCTCATGCCTGTAATCCCAGCACTTTGGGAGGCCGAGGCAGGCGGATCACGAGGTCAGGAGATCAAGACCATCCTTGCTAACACGGTGAAACCCTGGCTCTACTAAAAATACAAAAAAAAATTAGCCGGGCGTGGTGGCGGGCGCGTGTAGTCCCAACTACTTGGGAGGTTGAGGCAGGAGAATGGCATGAACCCGGGAGGCAGAGCATGCAGTGAGCCGAGATTGTGCCACTGCACTCCAACCTGGGTGATAGAGCAAGACTCCTCCTCAAAAAAAAAAAAATAAAAGAACATATTGGTCAATATTCACTGATTTTTATAAGAATATTTGACAGAGAGAGGGGGAAGGGAAGGGAAGGGGGAGGAGAGGGGAAGGGAAGGGAAGGAAAGAAGGGAAGAAGGGAAGGGAAGGGAATATGGGTGGATTTATATCAAAAGGTTCAGAAGGAAATGATTCTTTTCTTCTGGATGTGACTATTGCAGATTTTATTTTTAACTTTTCCTCTTTTTCTTATTTATTTATATTTTCTTATTTTAAGAGAAACTATAAAACTATATATATTACTTTTCAACTTAAAAATAGTTTAGCGCTTCAATAATACAGAAGACTCAAACATTACAGATAATTAAAGCATTACTAAATGTGGAAATGTTTAGTTTCACAATTTCTGTAGTGATATTCAAGACCAGATATCACCTTGGGAATCAGAACTGGTGCAGGATCTTGTCCTAACACTACCAAAAAAGCATATGGCTGTCCCAGCTCTGTATGTTTATGTTGTCTTATAATAGAGCAACCAGTTGTTTATTAGGATGGCCAAAAAGGCACATTTCAAAAATGCCTATTGAAATATTAGTAGTACAAATAATACTGCTGCTTAATTTTTTCTAATTAGAACTGATAAAATTCAAAAGCAACATAAGCAGACAAATAGTAATAATATGGTTTATCAAATTAATTGTCACATGATTATTAAAGTGAGATCATGTGTGTTAAGTAGTGGTATCTTAAGCCACTGAAATATCTTCCTTGGTCTGGAATGAGCTTTCTATGGAGATTAAAAAGATGTTAAATTGAACAGTCTTGGTTATTAAATGAAGAAGCAAAGCCAGAAACCCTGTTTAAAGAACTAACAAAAAAGGTCATGAATGATCTGGTGGTTGTTATATTTTCTTGTTTACCCGAGGAGAAGACTATGCTCAAGCATGTATTGAATCCAGTGATAGCCAGAATGTCATCCATACTGCTAGCAGCCATTAGTAAGGTTGGAATGTCTTCCTCAACACCATATCCATTTTCTTGCGACACCATTGTGTAAAGGACAACAACAGCAGGAGAGACAGCACCTAGAACAAAACTGAAAGAAAGAATGAAAATTAATTTAAAAGCATCTTTTTAATCAAGTAGTGTTTTTTAAGTACAACTAGTTTATAATAAATTTATAACAAACATTGTTTAGAAGAATTTCAAATTTGAGTGAATGCAATTTAATGGTGATAAAACTTTTCATGCATTGTTTAGTGCTGGCTAAAATTTTATACAGACGTGGTTTAAAATGTTGGGCTGAGCACAGGTTGCAGCCTTTCCCTCTATTCCTAAATCCTTTGAAGTGAAGATGTAAAGGTAATAGAAAAATTCATAACCTAACTAGAAAGCAAAAGGTGAATCATCAATGGACAAGAAACTAAGTATATGCCAGAAAGAAAAGAGACAGACAATTTAGGATTGAAAAAAGGAAACCATAAACCAAAATGTGTGTAAATAAGATTGCCTCAAAAGATACATGTGCTTCTAAAAGTGGTCCAAGCCCTGAAATGACAGATGCTGGGAGCAGGAGAGACCTCTGGGGAAACCAAATAGTTGATTATTTGGAGTACCACTGTAAGAATGGTCAGACAAATCTACCTTCCACACATTTCCTACCTCTTGAGTAAATAAGTAAGTAAGGAAGGAAGGAACAGAGTTGTCTGCCCAAAAAAACAAGTGTGGCCACCTAAGTTACAAAGGCAAATGAGAACATTTCTGGAGTGGTTGATGACACCCATGAGAAATGGGGAGGCTCCTGCTCAGAATACCTTCTATTGGCATATCTTATCCAGAATTTCACCTCATCTCTTCTACATTTACTTTATAAAGCGTGAAGTATATCCTGTGTAGAAATGCTTTTGGTGCTCCTGCCAGAATCCATTTACCAGGTCAATGAACACATCTCCCAGTGATTCTTGTTGGCTGCTAATATCTGCAGGTTTCTAGAACCCTTGTCCTGCTGACAAGCACCTACCTGGGAATACTAGGAAGGTTGTGTACCCCTCTACTTTCCCTCCAGACAGCATCTGCCAATGACGGACTGATGTGAGATTTGCTTCTGGCTGTACAACTCTATGGCGCAGTTTATGCTACAGATTTCCCTGTGCGCTCAAGAAGAGACTAGACTTCTCTAAGACCACATACTGGTCTAGTTCAGTGGTTCCTGAACTCTGCTGCACATTGTAATCACCTGTTGTATTATTTTTCTCATTTTGCTTAACAAGTCATCCCCAAACATAGCAGCTTAAAACAACAAATATTTATTGTCTTATGAGTTCTGTGGGTCAGGAATCTGGGCATGGCTTAGTTGTATGCCTTGACTTAAGATTTCCCATGAGGTAGGGTGGGGTGGAGAAGATCTGCTTCCAAGTTTACTCATGTAGCCATTGCAGGCTTCAGTTTTTTCCAGTGGGGTTTTCTCCACAGGGCTGCCTCAGGACATGGCAGCTGGCTTCCCCAGGAATAAGTGATCAAAGAGAATTTAATCCACAACATCAATTAAAAACACAAAGTATCTAAGAACAAAACTGTGAAGACAGTCTATACTTTTATAAAAATTGTGAATATAATAATATAATAATTAAGATAATACCTGAATACTTAGAGAGACATTTCACAAGTGTGAAATAAAAAGCCCCAATTTTACCATCGCCCAACACCACGCCTGGCTAGTTTTTGTGTTTTTAGTAGATACGGTGTTTCACCATTTTGGCCAGGCTGGTCTTGATCTCCTGACCTCAAGTGATATGCCTGCCTTGGCCTCCCAAAGTGCTGGGATTATAGGTGTCAGCCACCACGCCCAGCCAAAGCCTCAATAATATAAAGATGTAATCTCTCCCCCAAATGAATTAATCAGAGATACACCAATCAAAATCATTGCAGGGATTTTTACTGAGCTTGACAAGCTGATTATAAAATTCATTTGGAAGAATAAGATCTTAGAATGAAAGATCAAGTAAACTTAAGAGAACAAGATACTGTTTTTGTAAAGGTAAAATAGTTAAAACTAAATAATAGTGACATATAAATAGACAAAATAAATTGGAAGAAAAGAGAATACAAAGTGTGGAAACAAATCCATGGGATTTGTTACATCATACAATTGGTATTTTAAATCAGTGGGAGAAAGAAAGAAATCTTTCACAAATGGTGTTGAGATAACTATTTATGTGGAAAGGAATATAGATAGATCCTTACACATAATAAATGTTAAAAGCTCAAAAGGAAAAGTAGTAATAAGAAAATGTTGTGGGCTAGGCGTGATGGCTCACACCTGTAATCCCAGCACTTTGGGAGGCTGAGGTGGACAGATCAGGAATCTGAGACCAGCCTGGCCAACATGGTGAAACCAATAGCTGGGTGCAGTGGTGCATGCCTGTAGTCCCAGCTACTTGGGAGGTTGAGGCAGAAGAATCACTTGAACCTGGGAGGTGGAAGTTGCAGTGAGCTGAGATCATGCCACTGCACTACAGCCTGGGTGACAGCAAGACTCTGAACAACAAAAAAAAGATGTAGAATAATATATTTGTGATCATGAGGTAAAAAGGACCTTTTGAATGATACATACAAAGGCATTAGACATAAAAAGAGATTTTGATACATTCAATTATATTAAAGTAGTACTTCAAAAGCAACTTCAAAAGTACTATAATAAAGTGCTACTTCAAAAGCAATTCTGCTCTTTCTCCCCCTTTTTCTCTTTTTCATTTTCAAAGTCAAGTGAACGGTGTTGTGTATTGGCAATTCTGTCTGTTGAAAATAACAAAATACACTTCTTAGAGTGAAAAAAAAATCATCACAAACAAAATTAAATATCTACTGATATTTGCAATACATATAATTTACAAATGCACATAACAGATATAATTAATAAAGAAGACCAACTCAACAAAAAAATAGACAAAAGATATGAACAGGCTAGTTACAGATAAGGAAAAGCTGAAGGACAACACATATATAAAAGATATTCAAGCTTGTGAATAATCACAGAAATGCAAATTAAAATAACAAAAATATGCCATTTTTTCAATTATCAGACTGGAAAACATTATAAAATTTAATAATATCAAGGATTTGCAAGGATTTTCAAGAACAACAGGTATGCTCATAAGCTATTGGTATTAGGGCAAATTAAAGTGGCCATACCGAAAGGATTTTCGCAGTATACATCAAACTAAAAATGCATGTAACCCAGGTAACTATTCTAGACAAACTTATATTTATGTAAAATGAGACAAATAAAATGCTATTTTTGTGATAACATTGTAAATAAAATCTGCTGTTGACATACAATGTAATCTTATACAACTAAAAGGAATAAACTACATGTGTATCCATCTTGAGATGGATAAACCTCAAGACTATTGTTGAGTGAAAAGAACAAATTGTAAAGTAAAATTTTCTTGGGTATGATTACGTAAAAATGTGCAAAATAATACTCTTTTTTTCTCTGGGTTCACAAATACATTTGTTAGAAGTCCAGAACATTATTTTTAAAGATCTAGAATGATAACATAAAACTCATGAAGATGCTGCCACTCTGTCTGCAGCAGCACATGAGTGCACCCCACAACACCATTGCCCCGGCTGGCACGTGCAAGTATGCAGAACACCCCATCCCACTCCTGCCGGCGCTGCACCCCTGCCAACACATGCATACCTGCTGTGTGCTGCTGCTGCTGGCACATATGTGTGAGATCACTACAATGAAGCACTTTGGCTGGCACACCCCATCAGAGTGTTGTTGCCAGTGGACTGGGAACACCTCAGTGCTTAACATTGAAGGGCCAGACAACAAATCTGTGAGTATGGTACCAGCCTTGCAAAGTTAGAGCACGCCGTTCAGGAGTGCTGAGCTGAGCCTTTGCCCCCTGAAATCTTCCAGAAATGAAGCCATTTGATTGAAACTACCTTGTGCCACAGTCAAACCCTCAAGGGCATTAAAGAATATAAAAAAGGAAAAAGCTCCATCCAAAGGACAGTGATTCAAAACATTAAAGGAACCTTAGCCCACACAGATGTGAAAGAACCAGTGCAAGAACTCTGGCAATGTAAAAAGCCAGAATGTCTTCCTGTCTTCAAGCAATCATACTAACTCTTCAACAATGGTTGTTAACCAGGATTAAATGACAGACATAGAATTCAGAATCTGGATAGAAACAAAGATCATTGAGATTCAGAAGAAAGTCAAAATCCAATCCAAATAATTTAAGGAATCCAATAAGATGACATAAGAGCTGAAAGATGAAATAGGCATTTTAAGAAAGAACCAAACTAAACTGATAGAGCTGAAAAATGCACCTCAAGAATTTCATAAAACAATAACAAATACTAACAGCAGAACGGACCAAGCTGAGGAAAGAATCTCAGATCTCAAAGACCACTTCTTTGAATCAACTCAGTCAGACGAAAATAAAGAACAAAAAAGAATGAACAAAACCTCTGAGAAATCTGAGATTATGTAAAGAGACCAAACATATGACTCAAGGCATCACTCAAAGAAAGGGAGAAAGAACAAGCAAGTTGGAAAACATATTTGAGGATACTGCCCACAAAAATTTCCCAAATCTTGCTAGAGAAGTCACCATTTAAATCCAGGAAATGCAGAGAATCCTGTGAGATACTATACAAGATGACCATCCCCAAGACAGACAGACATCAGATTCTCCAAGGTCAACATGAAATAAAAAAATATGAAAGGCAGCTAAAGTGAAGGGGCAGGTCACATACAAAGGGAATCCCATCAGGCTAACAGTGGAACTATAAGATACTCTACAATCCAAAAGAAATTGGGGGCCTATATTCAGCATTCTTTTTTTTTTTTTTTTGAGACGGAATCTCACTCTGTTGCCCAGGCTGGAGTGCACTGGTGCTATCTCGGCTCACTGCAACCTCCACTTCCCGGGTTCAAGCAATTCTTCTCCCTCAGCCTCCCAAGTAGCTGGGACTACAGGTGCGCACCACAACACCCGGCAATTTTTTGTAATTTTAGTAGAGACAGGATTTCACCATATTGGCCAGGGTGGTCTCAAATTCCTGACCTCGTGATCTGCCCACCTCGGCCTCTCAAAGTGCTGGGATTACAGGTGTGAGCCACCATGCCCGGCCTTCAGCATTCTTAAAAAAAAAAAATACTTGGCCGGGTGTGGTGGCTCATGCCTGTAATCCCAGCACTTTGGGAGGCTGAGAGGGGTGGAACACAAGGTCAAGAGATCAAGACCATCCTGGCCAACATGGTGAAACCTCATCTCTAATAAAAATACAAAAATTAGCTGGGCATGGTGGTGCGTGTCTGTAGTCCCAGCTACTCGGGAGGCTGAGACAAGAGAATCACTTAACCCAGGAGGTGGAGGTTGCAGTGAGCCGAGATAGCACCACTGCACTCCAGTCTGGGGACAGAGCAAGACTCTGTCACAAAAAAAAAAAAAAAAAAAAAAAAAAAATTCAACCAAGAACTTAATATCCAGCCAAACTAAACATATGTGAACGAGAAGTAAGATCCTTTTCAGACAAACAAATGCTGACGGAATCTGTTACCACCAGACATGCCTTACAAGAGGTCCTTAAGGGAGTGCTAAGCGTGGAAGTGAAAGACTGTTAATGGCCACCACAAAAATACATTTAAGTACATAGACCATTGACGTTGTAAAGCCTGCATAATAACAATCAAGTCTGCATAATAACCAGCTAACAACATAATGGCAGGACCAAAGCTATAAATACCAATATTAACTGTGAATGTAAACAGTATAAATGCCCCGCTTAAAACTCACAGAATGGCAAGTTGGTTAAAGAAGCAAAGCCCAACCGTATCTGTTGTCAAGAGACCCAGCTCATATGCAACAATACCCATTGGCTTGAAGTAAAAGGATGGAAAAAAATCTACCAAGCAAATGCAAAACAAAAAAAGGTAAGCATTGTTATTCTAATTCAGACAAAATAGACTTTAAACCAACAACAATCAAAAAGACAAAGAAGGGCACTACGTAATGATAAAGGGTTCAATTCAACAAGAAGACTTAACTGTCTGAAACATAAATGTGCTCAAAACTGGAGCATTCATATTAGTAAAACAAGTTCATAGAGACCTATAGAGAGAATTAGATAACCACAGAATAATAGTGGGAGACTTCAACATCTCACTGACAGTACTAGACAGATCATAGAGACAGAAAATGAACAAAGATATTCAGGACTTGAAGTCAACACTTGGCTAAATGGACCTAACAGCCATCTACAGAACACTCCACCCAACAACAACAGAATATATCTTCCTCTCATCTGTACATGGCATATATTGTAAAATTGATCACACTATCAGTCTAAAATTATTTTCAATAAATTAAAAGAAACCCCTGAAATCATGCCAACCACACTCTTGGACCACTCAGTGTAACAAAAATAGAAGTCAACACTAAGAAGAACTCTCAAAACCATACAATTACATGGAAATTAAACAACCTGTGCCTGAATGACTTTTGGGTAAACAGTGAAATTAAGGCAGAAACCAATAAATTCTTTGAAACTGATTAAAACAAAGATACAACATTCTAGGCTCTCTAAGACACAGGCAAAGCATTGTTAAGGGAAAAGTTTATCGTGCTAAATGCCCATATTGAAAAGTTAGAAGGATCTTAAATTAACAACCTAATATCATACCTAAAGGAAATAGAAAAACAAGAGGAAAAGAAACCCAAAGCTAGCAGAAGAAAATAAATAACCAAAATCCGAGCAGAATGGAATGAAACTGAGTCATGAAAAGCCATACAAAAGATAAATGAAACTAAAAGCTGGTTCTTCAAAAGAATAAATAAATTTGATAGGTCACTAGCTAGACCAATAAGGAAAAAAAAAAGAGAAGATACAAAAAACACAATCAGAAATGGTAAAGTGGACATTACCGCCAACCACACAGAAATATAAAAAACTCTCACAGACTATGATGAACATGTTTATGCAAACAAAGTAGAACACCTACAAGAAATGGGTAAATTTCTGGAAACATACAACCTCCCAAGATTGAACTAGGAAGAAATTGAAATCCTGAACAAACCAAAAACGAGTTTTGAAACTGAATGAGTAATAAAAAGTCTCTGAGCCAAAAAAAAAAAGCAAGCCCAGGACCCAACAGATTCACAGACAAATTCTACCGGAAGTGTAAAGAAGAGCTGGTACCAATGCTACTGAAATTATTCTGAAAAAAATGAGGAGGAAGGATCCCTCCCTAACTCATTTTATGAGGTCAGCATCATTCAGATATGAAAACCTGGCAGAGACACAACAAAAAAGAAAACTTCAGGACAGTTATCACTGATGATCATAGATGCAAAAATCCTCAACAAAATACAAGCCAACTGAATCCAGCAGCATATCAAAAAGCTAGTCTACTATGATCAAGTAAGCTTTATCCCTGGGATGCAAGTTTGGTTCAAGATATACAAACCAATAAATGTGATTCATCATAAAATAGAACTAAAAATAAAAACATCCCTTCATGATATAAACCCTCAACAAATGAGTTTCTGAAGGAGCATACCTCAAAATAATTGGAGCCATTTATGACAAACCCACAGCCAACTTCATACTGAATGGGAAAAAGCTGGAATATTCCCTTTGAGAACTGGAACAAGACAAGGATGCCCACTCTCACTACTCCTATTCAACATAGTGCTGGATGTCCTAACCAGTGCAATTAGGCAAGAGAAAGAAACACAGACATCTAAATAGGAAGAATGGAAGTCAAACTATGCCTCTTCATAGGTGAAACAGTTTTATACCAAGAAAACCCCATAGTAGCCTCTCGAGAGCTCCCAGATCTGATAAATGACTTCAGCAAAGTTTCAGGATACAAAAATCAATGTACAAAAATCTGTAGCATTTCTATACACCAACAACATCCAAGCTGACAGCCAAATCAAGAATGCAATCCCATTCAGAGTAGCCACAAAAAAACCACAAAATACCTTGGAATACAGCTAAGCAGGGAGGTGAAAAATCTATAAAATGAAAATTACAAACGAGTGCTCAAAGAATCAGAGACAACAGAAACAAAAGGAAAACATTCCATGATCACAGATAGGAAGAAGCAATATTGTTAAAATGGCCATACTGTCTAAGGCTATTTACAGAGTCAATGCTATTCCTATCATAACACCAATGACATTTTTCACAGGATTAAAAAAAAGCATTCTAAAATTCATTTGGAGCCAAAAAAAAAAAAAAAAAAAAAAAAAGCCCAAATAGCCAAAGCAATCCTAAGCAAAAAGAACAAAGTCGAAAGCGTCACACTACCTGACTTCGAACTGTACTACAATGCTACAGTAAGCAAAACAGCATGGTTATGCTCAGCAAAAGAAATAATCAGCAGAGTAAAAAGACAACCTACAGAGTGGGAGAAAATCTTTACAAACTATGCATCCAGCAAAGTACTAATATCCAGAATCTATAAGGAACTCAAAAACAGACATAGACCAGTGGAACAGGTTACAGAACACAGAAATAAAGCTGCACAGCTATAGCCATCTACTCTTCAACAAACTTGACAAAAACAAGCAATGGGGAAGGGAATCCCTACTTGGAAATTGTGCTGGGATAACTGGTTAGCCGTATGCAGAAAATTGAAACTGGACTCCATACATTTCACCGTTTACAAAAATCAACTCAAGGTAGATTAAAGACTTAAATGTAAAACCCAAAACTATAAAAACCCTGGAAGATAGCCTAAGAAATACCATTCTGGACACAGGCCATTCTGGACATATCCTAGGAAATTTCAATTCTGGAAAACACTTTATGACAAAGATGCCAAAAGCAATTACAACAAAAACAAAAATTCACAAATGGGACCTAATTAAACTAAAGGGCTTCTGCACAGCAAAAGAAATCATTAACAAACAACCTATGGAATGGGAGAAAATATTTGCAAACCATGCATTCGACAAAAGTCTAATATCCAGAATCCAAAAAGAACTTAGAAAAATCAACAAGCAAAAATCTAACAACCCCATTAAATGGGCAAAGGACAGGAAAAGACACTTCTCAAAAGAAGACAAACAGGTAGTCAACAAGTATACGGAAAAATATTCAACATCACTAATCATTAGAGAAATGCAAAACAAAAGTGCAATGAGATACAACCTCACAGGAGGCAGAATGGCTATTATTAAAAAGTCAAAAAGTAATAGATGCGGGCAAGCTTGGGGAGCTACTCCCAGGTTTTTGGAAGGCTGAGGCATGAGAATTGCTTGAACCTGGGAGGCAGAGGTTGCAGTGAGCTGAGATTGGGCCATTGCAGTCTAGCCTGGGCAACAGAGCAAGACTCCATCTCAAAAAAAAAAAAAAATACAGAAAAAGAAAAAAAGAAAAACCCACAGTCAACATTATACTGAATGGGGAAAAGATGAAAGCATTCCCCCGAGAACTGGAACAAGACAAGGTTGCCCACTTTCACCACTTCTATTCAACATAGTACTGGAAGTCCTAGCCAGAGCAATCAGACAAGAGAAAGAAATAAAGGGCATCTAAATCAGTAAAGAGGAAGTCAAACTGTTGCTGTTCCTGATGATATGATCATATAATGAGAAAACCCTAAAGACTCATCCAAAAAGCTCCCAGATCTGATAAATGAATTCAGTAACGTTTCAGGATACAACATCAATGTACACAAATCAGTAGCACTGGTATACACCGACAGTGACTGAGCTGAGAATTAAATCAAGATCTCAACCCCTTTTACAACAGCTACAAAAAAAAAACAAAACAAACAAACAAACAAAACCAAAGAAAAAACCCCAAGCAAACCAACTTAGGAATATACCTAACCAAGGAGGTGAAAGACCTCTACAGTGAAAACTACAAAACACTGCAGAAAGAAATCATAGATGACACAAACAAATAGAAACACATCACATGCTCATGGATAGGTAGAATCAATATTGTGAAAATGACCATACTGCCAAAAGCAATCTACATCATCATTCTTCCCCGAACTAGAAAAAGCAATCCTAAAATTCATGTGGAACCCAAAAATAGCATGCATAACGAAAGCAAGACTAAGCAAAAAGAACATATGTGGATGCATCACATTGCTTGACTTCAAGCTATACTATAAGTCTATAGTCACCAAAGCAGCATAATACTGGTATAAAAATAGGCACATAGACTAATGGAACCGAATGGAGAACCGAGAAATAAAGCGAAATACTTAAGCCAACTGATCTTTAACAAAGGAAACAAAAACATAAAGTTGGGAAAGGACACCATATTCAACAAATGGTGCTGGGATAATTGGCAAGCCATATGTAGAAGAATGAAACTGCATCCTCATCTCTCACCTTACACAAAAATCAACTCAAGATGGATCAAAGACTTAAATCTAACACCTAAAACTATAAAAATTCTAGAAGGTAACATTGGAAATACCCTTCTAGATATTTGCTTAGGCAAAGATTTCATGACCAAGAACCCAAAAGCAAAGGCAACAAAAACAAAGATAAATAGATGGGACTTAATTAAACTAAGAAGCTTCTACACAGCAAAAGAAATAATCAGCAGAGTAAAAAGACAACCTACAGAGTGGGAGAAAATCTTTACAAACTATGCATCCAACAAAGTACTAATATCCAGAATCTATAAGGAACTCAAACAAATCAGCAAGAAAAAAACAAATTATCCTATCAAAAAGTGTGCTAAGGACATGAATAGACACTTCCCAAAAGCAGATATAAATGGCCAAGAAACATGAAAAAATCCTCAATATCACTAATTATCAAGGAAATGCAAACAAAACCACAATGCGATACCATCTCACTCCTCCAAGAATAGCCATAATCAAAAAATTAAAAAAAAATAGATGTTGCCATGGGTGTGGTAAAAAGGGAACACTTTTACACTGCTGGGGGGAATGTAAACTAATATAACCACTATGGAAAAGAGCATGAAGATTTCTTAAAGAATTAAAAGTAGATCTACCATTTGATCTAGCAATCCCACTACTGGGTAGCTACCCAGAGGAAAAGAAGTCATTATATGAAAAAAAACACTTGCACACACGTTTATTGCAGCACAATTTGCAATTGTGAAAGATATGGAACTAGCTCAAATGCCTATCAATCAATGAATGCATAGAGAAAATGTGGTGTATATATATATGTGTGTATATAGACACATATATGTGTATGTGTGTATATATATATACACACACAGACCAGGGACGGAATACTACTCAGCTATAAAAAGGAATGAAATAATGGCATTCACAGCAGCCTGGAAGGAGTCAGACACCATTATTCTAAGTGAAGTAATTCAGGAATGAAAAAACCAAACATTGTATGTTCTGACTTATAAGTGGGAGTTATGCTATGAGGATGCAAAAGCATAAGAATGATACAATGGACTTTGGGGACTTAGGGGGAAGAGTAGGAGGAGGGTGAGGGATAAAAGACTACACCTCGGGTGCAGTGTACACTGCTCTGGTGATGGGTGCACCAAAATCTCAGAAATTACCACTAAAATATTTTCCATGTAAACAAACACCACCTGTTCCTTAAAAACTAATGAAAAAAATAAAAAAGACATGAGATCAACCTAAATGCCCATCAATGGTGAACTGGATAAAGAAAATGTGGCACATATACACCATAGAATAATACACAGCCATAAGAAAGAACGAGATCATGTCCTTTGGAGCAACGTGGATGGAGTTGAGGCCATTATGCAAAGTGAATTAACACAGGAACAGGAAACCAAATATCCCATATTCTCACTTATAAGTGGGAGCTAAACACTGAGTACACATGGACAGAAAGAAGGGAACAATCGTCACTAGGTGAATTTGAGGGTGGAGGCTGGAAGGAGGGGGAGAATAGAAAAACTACCTATTGGGTATTATGCTTACAACCTGGGTGACAAAATAATCTGCATACCAAACCCCTGTGACATGCAATTTCTCCATATAACAAGCCTGCTCATGTACCACTTGAGCCAAAATAAAAATTGGAGAAGAAAAAAACTCCTAAGGGTTGTCATTTTGGGTAGAGTTATGGGCATTATGATTTGAAGCCATAGTTTAAGGTCATTCCTCCTTTATTTATAAAGTTCTAATTTTTAAAATAAAAGTGCATTTGAGTATTTTATCATAAACATTAATTTAAAAATTCACTGGATTTTGTAGTAACTATGTAATGGATGAACTTTGCTATGAGTGTCATTGGAATGGATAAGCAGAGACAAAAGTTGATGAATTAAGAAGTGAAAAGGAGTTAGGATCTAGAGACAGTAGTTATAGACTTATTTTGAGGAATTCAAACATGAGACAAATGGATGGTAGATAAAGATGGATGGGGCACTGGATATACAGCAAGAGTTTTTGTTTGCTTTCTTTAAAATGGGAGAGTTTATATTTATACACCTATGTCTATATAAAATGTTTATCATATATATATACACACATACATATATATGAAATGTGCAACTGTATTTACATATAGCTATGAGGAAGAGGCCATTAGATAGATTAAAACATACAGATATGTTATAATACAGACGAAAAGGAATAAATTGATCACGTGAATTTTCTTGATGATAAACATTTAGGGGCTATGAATGTTTGCTAAAAAAATTTCGTGCAATTTGGGACATGCTCTGCTTTTAATCAACTGCTTTCCAAGGATTTTAACACTGTGAAATGAATTTTAATAGAGCTTTTCTATACAATATTCTGAATATTTTAACAGTTTTAACCAAGCATCCTTAATTGAATATTTTCACAAGAAAAAATGAGAAAGAAATTACACTAATAGAATTGCCAATTGACAGGGAAATTTCATAATGAAGTGGGAAAAAACAGCAGCTGCACTTGCCTCCATAAGGCGTGGACCTACAGCCAATCTGAAACAAACCACCTTCAAATGCCTCAAAGCCTGAAACAGAAAGCAGTCACATTTGATACATTTACAATGGCCAACAAGAAAATTATTTTAACAAATGTTGGACTATAAAGTCTTTTTTCATAAGAAGCTTTCACTAAACAAAATCTCATTTCAACAGATTGTCCCACTGGACTTTGAACTCTATTATATTTTATATGTCATCATAGGTTGGATTATAAACAATTTCATCTTTTATAAAATATTACTGTATTTTAATTATTAAAAGATCAATTTTACTGTGATTAAATAGCTAAAGCTACCTTCCTGAACTTTCCTAATACGTAGTATAATAATAGTGTCCTATTAGTGTTTTCCCATTAACTTTTTGATATGAACTGTTTGATTAACTTAATAAGTATAAATACAATACTAACATGCCAAAGAAAATAGCTTAAAAACTGCATAATTCATTTTAAAAGGGAGAACTTTTCAATTTTCTCCTTGGTTCATACTTTCTACTGGAGAATATAATCTCATTGGCTATAATTATTTATGCTCTTGAGCTATTTCTATTAAACCACATTTGCCACATTTATTTGAGTGGCTGTCATATTCATGAATAGTCATCTTCTTATAGATGGGATTTATGATCCCTAGAATGTAATATTTTAAGAAATGCTTTAAAAGATTAGATTTTACAATAATGCAAAGATAATCAGGAAAATAATCCTGTAGAGAAAACGTCATAAAAAATTACTGAAATCCTTCATCTCCCTAAGAAAAGAAAAAGAATTGTATAAGGTTTTTCTTATAAAACCTTTGTTTGTTTTGTTTTGTTTTTTGAGACGGAGTCTCACTCTGTCCCCCAGGCTGGATTGCAGTGGCACTATCTCAGCTCACTGCAACCTCTGTCACTCAGGTTCAAGCGATTCTCTTGCCTCAGCCTCCCGAGTAGCTGGGATTACCAGGTAAATGCCACCATGCCCGGCTAATTTTTGTAGATTACAGGCATGAGCCATCATGCCCGGCCTTTTTTTCTTTATCTTAGGTTTGTTTACAGACTCCACTTGGAACAGGTAAATAAAATATGTGCTTCTTTTTCTTTCTCACCATCCTCTAATATTTGAAATAACCTTACTCGATTTGTAATTGTAAAATCTACCTGTGGATCGAGTCCAAGCCCAACTCGTATTAGAATAATGTTAAGGGCAATGCTTCTTAAAATTGAAGACCATGCGTTAGGAACATGGACATGTTCATTGATGAATGGAACATTCCTAATTGTAAAACCAGCCAGTAACATCCCTTAAAAGAAAGAAAATAAACATACATGACAGTTCATTTTTCTGAGAAAGAAAACAGAAATGTTTACTTTATTTTCTAATGCACTATGTCTCTCATTATTTTGGTAAAGGACAGGTTACAAGCAAGTAGAGAAGGCAGCATGAATAAAGGAATGGTGATAAGAAACAATACACCTAAATGGGGTTCAACAAGTAATTTAGTGTTGCTGGAACATACAGGACAAGGAAAGGAGGGAGGAGAATGAGCTTGGTGGGCCAGATCATAGAAAGGTCTCCCCCCACTTTGGCAAAGTAAGGCACCATGGGAAGGTTTTAGGCAGGAAGTAACATAATGAGTCTTGCGATTTTTATATGAGGGTCTTGGTGAATTAGTTAGGGATAAAACTGGAGACAGAGACCAAATTGAAGGCTCTGCCACAGTCCACGCAAAAGTTGGAAACAAATAGCCTAAGCTAGAGCAAAAGAGAAAGTTTGGAGAGGAGGAAAATGATTCAATAAATACTGAGAAGGTGTTGCAAGAAAACTGTGGATACAGAAGGGACAGCAGAGATAAGATGTAGAGATTATCTCTACTGACAGTGTACTGAATATATATTTATTTTTGGGGACAGGGTCTCATTATTTTGCCCAAGCTGAGTGCAGTGATGCAAACATGGCTCACTGTAGGCTTAACCTCCTGAGCTCAAGTGATCCTCTTGCCTTAGCCTCCTGAGTAGCTGAGACCCAGAAAAATTTTTAATATTTTGTAAAGACAAGGTCTGCTATGTTGCCCAGGCTGGTTTTGAACTCCTGGGCTCAGGTGATCCTCCTGCCTTGGCCTCCCAAAGTGCTGGGATTATGGGCATGAGCCACCATGCCTGGCCCACTGTACTGAATATTTAGATATATTTGAATACAGTAAGTTCTCACTTAACATCGTCGATAGGTGATTGGAAATGGCAACTTTGAGTAAGATGGTATATAACAAAACCAATTTTAGCATAGGCTAAATGATATAAACAAGAGTCAATTTCCTATAGCATATTTCTGGTCACAAAACATCACCAAACTTCTAAATAAAGATCCAAAACACTTCTAGTATTAAACAATGAAATAAATGTGAGCTCTACATACATTTTACAAAGTTTTATAAAAACAAATAAGATAATTCTTTACTTAATTTTTGGTGAATCCACGAGTGATGGTGGTTATAGCAGTGATGGTTAAAATCAAAGAATAAATGTTTACAAAGTGAAAATTTTAAGGAGCACCTCCTCCCACTATGCAGTTCAAAAACAAACACAAATATGGTAGGCTGGCTGAGAGTTTTCATATCACATTGTTTATTGTCTTGCATTTGTATGGTTATCATATACTTAACAAAATTTTATTTTACAATAATTTATATTCATTCATTTATTCATTGTACAATCCACTAGTTCAGGGTCATTGTACAATCCACTAGAATGCTAGTTCAGGGTCAAAGGTGACTGAAACTCAATCCAAAAAAATCAAGGAGGGACTCCCTCCCTAACACATTCTATGAATCTAGTATCACAATTGTACCCAAATCAGGCAAAGCCATACACACACACACACACACACACACACAACTGGTCAATATCCCTGATGAACATAGATGCAAAAATTCTCAACTAGCAAAATGAATTCAATAGTACATCAAAAAGATAATATAGTTAAGTGGGTTTTACTCCAGAAATACAAGGATGGTTCAACATGTGAATCATTCTTCCATAAAGACATATACACACATATGTTCATTGTGGCACTATTCACAATAAAAAGACATGGAATCAACTTAAATGACTAAATAAAGAAAATGTGGTACATATACACCATGGAATACTATGCAGTCATAAAAAAGAATGGCATCATGTCCTTTGCAGCAACATGGATAGAGCTGAACACCATTATCCTAAGTGAAATAACTCAGAAACAGAAAAATCAAATACCACATGTTCTCACTTATATGTGGGAGCTAAACAATGGGTACATATGGACATAAAGATGTAAATAATAGACACTGGGGAGTCCAAAAGGAGAGAGCGTTGGAGGGTTAAGGTTGAAAAATTACCTATTGGGTATAGTATTCACTGTTTGCTGATGGGTTCACTAGAGCCCAAATCTCACCATTATGCAATATATCCATGTACCAAACCTGCACATGTACTCCATTTATCTAAAATTTTTAAAGATTCTATTAAACAATAAAGCAACAGGAATAATGTACTAAGGATATTAAATTTACTTTAAAAATAAATTTTGGATAAAACTTGTGTGTGTATATATGTAGACAGAGAGAGAAATAAATGCCCCTATAAAGGAGCTGTACACACACACACACACATGAAGAAACTATATAAAACATACTACATTGAAATATTTCTGAATTATAACTAATTCAACAAGAAAATGTTCAAAATTTGCATATAGTCAATAATAAAGAAAAGAGAGCTAATTATATACTTACCAAGAAGAGGTGGAAGTGGAGGCACTAAAGGTATTCTAATGAGTTGTAAAATTTTTCCCCCACTAATGGCACTATAAAAAATAATTAACAATCCAAATAAATTTCCACCAGGGAGAGCTTCAGAGCCTAAGATTGACCAGGTCATACACCATATCACAAACAGTGTAACTCCTGAAATACAAAGAAGTGTACAGCTATATATCTACATACACATAGATGTATACAAACAAAGGATCAATTCTCTTTTATCATATATACTAATAGCCAGTTCTATAAAATGATACATGGTATAGATCAACATTGCTTACTAGTTTGGTGAAAGAGATATCTGCTTAACATATATTCCAAATAACCTGTCAATTTATGAAGTAGGTTTTAAACAAAGTGTTTTCACTTTAAAAATATTTAAAAACTATATGTGGGCCAGGTGCAGTGGCTCACGCCTTAATCCCAGCACTTTGGGGGGCTGAGGCAGGCTGGATCACATGAGGTCAGGAGTTTGAGACCAGCCTGGCCAACACAGTGAAATCCCGTTTCTACTAAAAACACAAAAATTAGCCATGCGTGGTGGTGCATGCCTGTAATCCCAGCTACATGGGAGGCTGAGTCAGGAGAATTGCTTGAACCCAGGAGGTGGAGGTTGCAGTGAGCCAAGATTGTGCCACTGCACTCCAGCCTGGGTGACAGAGTGAGACTCAGTCTCAATAAAAAAATTAAAAAAATTAAAAAAAAACCTATATGTGAACTCTTGAAAATGCTAACTTATAATATATGATAGTTAAAAACATCATGGCAATATGATGAGATTTACTTCATTTTATATTTTAAAATAGCTTTTTCATCAGGATGGAAAATAAGAGGATGATTGGCTGTGATAAGAATTCACAACCTTATTGAAGATCACAGTGTCAAGGTGCCAAATCTTTTAACAGGAACCTGCTAAATCTTTTTATTGAAAGGATAATTCAACTGATATTTGGCATAAATGTATTATAGGAGGTAATGGCTGGAAGAAATGAACCTAGATTTTGTGGGAATAAATATAAAGTATCTTAGATTATGTGTAGGAGGTAGAGGTAGATTAAGATGAGTAGGTATAAGTTACTAGACATCTTGTTTCTGGCAACTAGGTGCTACTCACTGAGGAATCCACAGGTTTCTGTAAAGGACAGACAATAACATGGTAAATTTCCATTTGCTAATTAAATGGCTACCTTTATTTGCCATGAATCATAATTGCTAATGCTTTTAATATTCTTAAAACAGCTTACATGAATTTTTTAGCTATGATCCCTTTCTGGCTGTATAGAATTTGCCAGGGTAGAAGAGGAGGATTTTGACTCACTCCAGGCAGAAAGTTAGAACAAAGTTTCTTTCCTCCTCCCGTCTGATTATTGTCATCCTGCAAAACTGGAAGCCTTGGAGGGCTAAACTCTTACTAAAATAATGGACCAGGCTGGGCATGGTGGCTCACGCCTGTAATCCCAGCACTTTGGGAGGCCGAGGCGGGTGGATCACCCGAGGTCAGGAGTTCAAGATGAGCCTGACCAACACGGTGAAACGCTGTCTCTATTAAAAATACAGACAATTAGCCTGGCCTGGTTGTGTATGCCTGTAATCCCAGCTACTTGGGAGGCTGAGGTAGGAGAATTGCTTGAACCCAGGAGGCGGACATTGTAGTGAGCTGAGATGGCGCCACTTCCCTCCAGCCTGGGTAACAAGAGCAAAACTCCATCTCAAGAAAAAAAAAACAAAACAAAACAAAAAAATAAAATAAAAAACACGGACCAGAAAATGTCATCCTACTGACAAATTGAGAAGACAAGGCAGTTTGTCTTAGCTGGTCTCTGTGCGGCCAAGTCTTTTTTGAGAATTCATATGTAAAACTGGCCTCATCCAACTTATGCGTAGGGCTCAAATTATATTACGTGCACAGGTTAGGGATCCCAAAGTTCTAAACCTACCATAAAAGTGTCCCTGCATAGAAGTATCCCTAGAACACTTAGTAGATGCTAATTCAAAAAATCTCTAATAGACACTCCTGATCCCAGACTGCATAAAGTCTCAAAGGTAAAGCCAAGTGAATCTGAACTTAAAATAAGAAGAAATATTCCATGAGCAAAAGTTAACAGATACAACAAAGAATGGGATTAGATGTCTAAAAACCTCAGCTAATAGAACCACTAGATAGACACTATAAAATATGTATTTTCAAAGAGACTAGAGACAATTTTTAAAAATTGGAGACATGAGAAGAAGAAATTACTTCATGTCCAAAACACCAAAAGCAATGGCAACAAAAGCCAAAATTGACAAATGGGATCTATTTAAACTAAAGAGCTTCTGCACAGCAAAAGAAACTACCATCAGAGTGAACAGGCAACCTACAACATGGGAGAAAATTTTCGCAACCTACTCATCTGACAAAGGGCTAATATCCAGAATCTACAATGAACTCAAACAAATTTACAAGAAAAAAACAAACAACCCCATCAAAAAGTGGGCAAAGGACATGAACAGACACTTCTCAAAAGAAGACATTTATGCAGCCAAAAAACACATGAAAAAATGCTCATCATCACTGGCCATCAGAGAAATGCAAATCAAAACCACTATGAGATATTATCTCACACCAGTTAGAATGGCAATCATTAAAAAGTCAGGAAACAACAGGTGCTGGAGAGGATGTGGAGAAATAGGAACACTTTTACACTGTTGGTGGGACTGTAAACTAGTTCAACCATTGTGGAAGTCAGTGTGGCGATTCCTCAGGGATCTAGAACTGGAAATACCATTTGACCCAGCCATCCCATTGCTGGGTATATACCCAAATGACTACAAATCATGCTGCTATAAAGACACATGCACACGTATGTTTATTGCGGCATTATTCACAATAGCAAAGACTTGGAACCAACCCAAATGTCCAACAATGATAGACTGGATTAAGAAAATGTGGCACATAGCATATCTACAACTATCTGATCTTTGACAAACTTGAGAAAAACAAGCAATGGGGAAAGGATTCCCTATTTAATAAATGGTGCTGGGAAAACTGGCTAGCCATATGTAGAAAGCTGAAACTGGATCCCTTCCTTACACCTTATACAAAAATCAATTCAAGATGGATTAAATATTTAAACGTTAGACCTAAAGCCATAAAAACCCTAGAAGAAAACCTAGGCATTACCATTCAGGACATAGGCGTGGGCAAGGACTTCATGTCCAAAACACCAAAAGCAATGGCAACAAAAGCCAAAATTGACAAATGGGATCTAATTAAACTAAAGAGCTTCTGCACAGCAAAAGAAACTACCATCAGAGTGAACAGGCAACCTACAACATGGGAGAAAATTTTCCCAACCTACTCATCTGACAAAGGGCTAATATCCAGAATCTACAATGAACTCAAACAAATTTACAAGAAAAAAACAACCCCATCAAAAAGTGGGCGAAGGACATGAACAGACACTTCTCAAAAGAAGACATTTATGCAGCCAAAAAACACATGAAAAAATGCTCATCATCACTGGCCATCAGAGAAATGCAAATCAAAACCACTATGAGATATCATCTCACACCAGTTAGAATGGCAATCATTAAAAAGTCAGGAAACAACAGGTGCTGGAGAGGATGTGGAGAAATGGGAACACTTTTACACTGTTGGTGGGACTGTAAACTAGTTCAACCATTGTGGAAGTCAGTGTGGCGATTCCTCAGGGATCTAGAACTAGAAATACCATTTGACCCAGCCATCCCATTACTGGGTATATACCCAAATGACTATAAATCATGCTGCTATAAAGACACATGCACACGTATGTTTATTGCAGCATTATTCACAATAGCAAAGACTTGGAACCAACCCAAATGTCCAACAATGATAGACTGGATTAAGAAAATGTGGCACATATACACCATGGAATACTATGCAGCCATAAAAAATGATGAGTTCATGTCCTTTGTAGGGACATGGATTAAATTGGAAACCATCATTCTCAGTAAACTATCGCAAGAACAAAAAACCAAACACCGCATATTCTCACTCATAGGTGGGAATTGAACAATGAGATCACAAGGACACAGGAAGGGGAATATCACACTCTGGGGACGGTGGTGGGGTCGGGGGAGGGGGGAGGGATAGCAGTGGGAGATATACCTAATGATAGATGACACGTTGGTGGGTGCAGCGCACCAGCATGGCACATGTATACATATGTAACTAACCTGCACAATGTGCACATGTACCCTAAAACTTAAAGTATAATAAAAAAAAAAAATTAAAAAAAAAAAAAAAGAAAATGTGGCACATATACAACATGGAATACTATGCAGCCATAAAAAATGATGAGTTCATGTCCTTTGTAGGGACATGGATGAAACTGGAAACCATCATTCTCAGTAAACTATCACAAGAACAAAAAACCAAACACCGCATATTCTCACTCATAGGTGGGAATTGAACAATGAGATCACATGGACACAGGAAGGGGAATATCACACTCTGGGGACTGTTGTGGGGTGGGGGGAGGGATAGTATTGGGAGATATACCTAATGCTAGATGACGAGTTAGTGGGTGCAGCGCACCAGCATGGCACATATATACATATGTAACTAACCTGCACAATGTACACATGTACCCTAAAACTTAAAGTATAATAAAAAAAAAGAAAGTATTGTAAAATAATTAAATAGAACACCTAGAAAAAACTTTAAAATTTACTCAACTGAAAAAAAACCCACTAAGTACACAAATAGCAATCTAGACAAAGCTGAAGAGAGAACACAGCAAAGTAGTAGATATGAGGAAATTATTTAAGAGCATAGCACACACAAAAAAAAACGAGGTGGAAAATGAGAGATTTAGATTATGGAAAAGATCTAAAACACAACTAATGGTAGTTTCAGAAACATAATTGAAAGAATGAAGAAGATGTAATATTTGAGAAGAAAACTGGCTTCAAATTTTACAGAATTGATTAGGGTTTTTATTGATTTGGACACAGGAAGTCAAATGAGTTCTAATCACGATTAAGTAAAAATAGATACTTAGATAAAATGTTGAGAAACTATAGACTACCAAAGGCAAAAATAAAATCTTAAATAATCTAGACAGAGAAAGAGAGATTAATCATAATTGAATAAACAATAGAGCAGATTCTCAATTCTTATCAGCAACAATAGAAGATGGAAGATAATTAAATAAAGTCTTCAAAGTACAGAGATAAATAAAACATTCAATGTTGAATTCTGCAGTCAGTTAACTTTCACTCGAACAAAAGACAAATGAAAGATATTGTCAAACAAACACATTTAAGAACATATGCCATTTTTTACCAGGGAAAAATCTACTGAAAGATATGCTTTAGAAATATGACATAGAACCAAAAAAGATGGAACAATGTGCAAAGAAATTGGTAAAATGTAGGTTAGTCTAAACAGGTATTTGTTGTGTAACACATTACTAACGAAAATTGTTAATCAGAGGATATAAAAATAAGGTTGGGAGGTGACATGAAAAGGTTGGCAATTTATTTCCACACCAAAACTCCCCCCAGAAATTGCAGAAATACCAAAAACAATCATTTCAGGACCCTGAAAACTCATCAAAGGCAGTTATCAAATTTAAGAAGCATTTATTCTTGAAAAAAGTGTTAGGGTTTTGGGTAGGTTTGGTAAAAGTCTGAGCCCTTCCTGACTGGGGTTGCTCCCTGATATGGTTTGGCTTTGTGTCCCCATGCAAATCTCATCTTGAATTGTACTCCCATAATTCCTATGTGTTGTGGGAGGGACCTGGTGGGAGATAATTAAATTATGGGGGTGGCTCCCCCCCCATACTGTTCTCGTGGTAGTGGATAAGTCTCACAAGATCTGATGGCTTTATCAGGAGTTTCTGCTTTTGCATCTTCCTCATTTTCTCTTGCCGCCACCATGTAAGAAGTGCCTTTCACCTCCCGCCATGATTCTGAGGTCTCCTCAGCCACCTGGAACTATAAGTCCAATTAAACCTCTTTTTCTTCCCAGTCCTGGGTATGTCTTTAACAGCAGAATGAAAACGGACTAATACACTCCCATCTCTCTTCTCACCCCCAACCTCAGTTGGGAAAAACTAGTTTGACCAGTTTGAAGCTGGATGTAAAACCCAGCAGCTTTCCTGTTAGGGCTGGGGGCACGGGTGGATTTGGTATGGAGTAGAGGGAAGAAATCAATGGTTTTGCCAGTTAAATACAGCAGAGTGGTTTGGGAATGAACAGAGAGAATTGCAGATTTGCTAGTCTGAGGTTGCAGTTTCAATTGGGGAGGTGGAAGACAAGACAAAAATTTAAATGAGAGATCCTGAGGGTCAATAGGTGCAGCAAACCACCATGGCACATGTATACCTGTGTAACAAACCTGAATGTTCTGCACATGTATCCTGGAACTCAAAGTAAAATTAAAAAAGAAAGAAAGAAAGAGAGAAAGAAACAAAGGAAGAAAGAGGAAGAAAGAAAGAGAGAGAAAGAGAGAAAGAAAGAAGAAAGAAAGAAAGAAAGAAAGAAAGAAAGAAAGAAAGAAAGAAAGAAGAAAGAAAGAAAGAAAGAAAGAAAGAAAGAAAGAAAGAAAGAAAGAAAGAAAGAAAGAAAAGAAAAGAAAAGAAAAGAAAGACCCACATGCAAGGCTAGACTTTTCCAGTTCCAAGTTCCAATTCTCTCACTGAGAAGAGTGGCTCACTCTGCCTAAACTGTTTATACAAACAATGTGGTTTACTCTGAACAGCTGCTCTTCCTCTGGGAGTCTGGAATTCTGGCACATGTGAAGGAGAGTAACTTCCATAAAATCCTGAGTACTGAGTCTCTAATGAGACTCTGGTCCTGGTAGATGACATTGCACATGTGCTGTCAAAATTTCATGCTGGGAAAGAGAAACACATCCTTGTAACTCCACAGGAGATGATTCCGAAAGTTTGAGAAAAGTTCTCCACACATATGGCCAATTGGAAAAGTATGGAAGTGCAGGAAAGACTCAAGAGAGTATGACAAAAAGTAAAAATGAAGTAAGACTTGAGTATTAATTGCAACTTTGAATGCATTCACCCACCCACCCATAGATTATTTGGCAGAGAGTGAAAGCCTTACTAGCTTTAATATAATGTCTCTCCAAAATCAAGCTATGCAACAGACACAAAGGAAATCCCTAGAAAGACAGGCTAAAACAACAATAACAACAACAACACAATATAAAAGACATCAATGCTGAAAAACACTGGGCAGAAGGATTACACAGCACAAGTATAAGCCAATTACCAAAACAGAACAACAACAAAGACAATAACAAATAAAAACCAAATCCAGATTTGCTATAATGTGTAATTAAAGAGTTTAGTTTTCAATTAAAAATTATCAGACATGTAAGGAAACAGGAAAATATGGCTCATACTCTGGAAAAAAAAGCAGTGAATAGAAACTGTCTCAATTCAGATATTGGATTTAGAAAGAAAGTTTTCAAAGTATATATTATAAATATGTTCAAATTAAAAATATGATAATGTGCTGTCTAGTAGAGAATGTGAATAAGGAGACAGAATATGTTTAAAAATAGAATCTAGAATTGAAAAGTACAACAGTTAAAGTGAAAAAATCACTAGCGAGGTTCAATAGCATATTTGACCTTGTGAAAGAAAGTATCAGTGACCTTGAAGATAGACCAATAGAGGTTAATCAATCTGAAGAACAAAAAGAAAAAAGAATGAAGGATAATAAACAGATCCTCAGAAACTTATGGGATACCATCAAGAGCACTAACATATGCATAATGGGGATTCCAGGAGAAGAGAGAGATAAGAGGGCAGAAAAATATTTGAAAACATAATGTCTGAAAACTTGAAAAATGCTATGTAAAACATTAATCTTCAGATATAAGAAGGCAAACAAATCTCGAGTAGGATAAACACAAAGAGATTCACACCTAGAGCCATCCTTGTCAAATTGGTGAAAACCAAGGATAATAAGAAAATCATGAAAGTAGCAAGAGATGACTTATCACATACAGGGGAACAATAATATTATCAATACTGGCATTTTTATCTGAAAAAAATGGAGGCCTTATGAGGCGACATTTCAAAAGTGGAGGGAAAAATTACTGTCAATTAAGAATTCTGTATCCAGTTAAATGATCCTTCAAAAATGGAGCTGAAATAAAGACATTTCCAGATAAATAAAAATAAAAAGAACTTATCCTTGCTAAAGAAACACTAAAGAAAATGATTTTAAGATAAAAGAATATGACACCACATGGCAACTTGAACCTATAAGGAATAAACGGCATGGGAAATGGTAAATAAATTTGTAAGTATAAAAGATTGTATGTGTGTGTGTGTGTGTATTCTGATTTCATCTCTTTTTTTAAAAAAGCATCTGATTATTATAGGCAATAACTATAACAATACTGCTGAGTTCATAGCATATAAGAGATACATTGGATCAAAGTTGCTATATAACACTGGAATTAAGTAAAAATTATTAAACCAAAGTAGATTGTAAAAAGTGAAGATGATTGATTATTATAATCCCCAAAGGTACTTGGGAGGCTGAGATAGAAGTATTGCTTGAGGCTAGGAGTTTGAGACTAGCCCAAGCAACACAATGAAACTCTGTTGATATAGTTTGGATATGTGTCCCTGCCCAAATCTCATGTTGAATTGTAATCCCCAAAATTGGAGATAGGTCCTGCTGGGAGGTGAATGGATCATGGGGGCAGATTTCTCATGAATCATTAGCACCGGCTAATTTGGTATTTTTAGTAGAGACAGAGTTTCTCCATGTTGGTCAGGCTGGTCTTGAACACCTGACCTCAGGTGATCCACCCGCCTCAGCCTCCCAAAGTCCTGGGATTACAGGCATGATCCATTATGACTGGCCTAATCTTTACTTTCTAAAAATTATATTAAAATTGATATTTCTCTATTATCTAATCATAAATTATATCAAATATGCTGTTTTGAATTTTATTTTTCCCTTTAAACATAAAGACACACATTCAGTTCATTGTGCTAGATAAATTACCAGTGCGATCACAAATTAAGAAATGCAATTCAAAGAATTTTGCATACAAGGAGTCCTGAAAGTGTTAATAACTTTTGATGCAAAGATAATTTTATGAAAGTAATAGAAGACTAAAAAAGGTACAAAATAACTATTATGTAAGTATTTTCCTTTTTCTGAATCACCCATGATTACTTTTTCCACCAAGCAAAAACTAACTGCATACTTCAGACCTGTCTCAAATCTCCCCAGCCTCTTTTCCTAAACCTCCCCAGCCTCTCAGGACAGACAGGCTGCTCCTGTATTTTGTGCATTCTGCTATTTTTAGCAAGAGGCCTATTTTGTCAGTGTTGTCTGAATAGTATTTGCCAACTCTCAGACTTTCAGTCACTTATTTGTTTATTTATTTATTTATTTGTCTCCTTTTCTTGTATTTCTCTTTTCCTTTTCTTTCCTTTCTTTTTCCCTTTCCTCCTCCCTTCCTTTGCTTACTTATTTTTTTTCCCTTTAATTCCCATTCACTATTTCCATGACTGTCAAATAGTAGGTTGATCCTTTAAAATATTCCTTTTTTAAAATTTATTGTACTTTAAGTTCTGGGATACATGTGCAGAACGTGCAGGTTTGTTACATAGGTATACACGTGCCATGTGGTTTGCTGCACCCATCTACAATATATCTTAAAATGAATAAAAGTGGAAACACACAGGAGACAGGGTGTATGGGGTGAGTGGGTTGCCAAGTGGATGGTGGCAGGGTGCTCCAGGGTGGCCAGTGGGGCTAAGTGTTGTGTATTCCAAGCATGGTGGGGTTCCTGCCTTCCTGTGTGGCAGACTGTGGCATCAGGTAACAGCCACTCAGTGCCCACCCTGGCTCCTCCATTGCCTTGTTCTCAGCCCCTGACATCCAGCCCACACCTGGAGATTGAGCTGCACCCACTGCTCTGGGTCTCAGCCCTGTGATCACCTCAGTAGATATTCCGAGCTTGGCTATACAGGCAACACTGAGCCATAGTTTACTATTCTTTCATGCATTTCTATCAGAGAGTCAGCAAAGGTAGTTGACAAAGCCCAAGGGAGAATGTTGAGGGGAGTTGATGACCTGGACTTTTTCATACAGGATGAAGCCATTGATAAATCTATGTATGCTACAAAGTGGTCAATATGACATGGAATCACTGAAGACTGGGATATTATGGAAAGGTTCATGGAGCAAGTGGTTTTTAAATGTCTTTGAGCAGAATCTGAGGACCATTATTTTTTAATGACAGAACTTCCACTGAATACACTAGAAAATACAGAGCATTTTTGCAGAAATTATGTTCGAATTATTTAATGTACCAGGATTCTACATTGCAGTTCAGGAGGTACTAGCCCTGGAAGTATCTTGGACATCTCAACAAGTGGGTGAATATATGTTAATGAGTATAGTCATTGACAAAGGAGATGGAGTCACCCTTGTTCTCCCAGTTGTAGAAGGTTATGTAATTGGGAGCTGCATCAATCACATCCTGATTGTAGGTGATACTGTGTATTTCATTCAACAGCTGCTAAGGGAGAGGGAGGTAGGAATCCCTCTTGAGCAGTCACTGGAGAACACAAAAGCCATTAAGGAGAAATACTGTTACATTTGCCCTGATATAGTCAAGGAATTTGCTAAGTATGATGTGGATCCCTGGAAGTGGATCAAACAGTACACAGGTATCAATGTGATCAACCAGGAGAAGTTCATAATAGACGTTGGTTACAAAAGGTTCCTGCAACCTGAAATATTTTTTTACCCAGAGTTTGCCAACCCAGACTTTATGGAATCCATCTTGAATGTTGTTGATGAATACAAAACTGTCCCATTGATGTGCATTGTCCACTGTATAAGAATGTTGTTCTTTCAAGGGGTTTGACCATATTCAGGGATTTGAATCTCAACTACAGAGAGATTTGAAGAGTGGTACATGCCAGATTAAAACTCAATAAGGAGCTCAGTGGCAGGAGAATCAAACCTAAGCTTACAAAGGTTCGGGTGGTAATCAATCACATGCAGCACTATGCCTTATGGTTTGGAAGCTTAATGCTAGCCTCAACTCTGGAGTTATTTCAGGTCTGTCACACCAAGAAGGACTATAAAGAATATGGCCCCAGCGTCTGCCACCAGAGCCTTCTCTTTGGAATAATGTCTTAGTGTCTGCCTTGAAAGCATCATTTAATAGTGTCATGTTGGGGAACAAGTGTCCTTCAGAACCCAGAGAAGACTACCATTTCTAAATGACATTTGGTGTTGATGTCTGAGCAGCATGCTTGCACCACCTAGTGCATGAGGCACAGGGCAGAGTCATTTCAGTAAAAGCCATTTCTTTATGTGTTGACTGTTGTATGCCCACTCCTCCTTCTCTCACTCCCTTTCTTCATGCTTCCCCAGTTTCCCTCCTCCTTTTCACTTGAACTTTTTTGTTGACAAATACCATTCTGAAGGAATTCAAATGTGACTCTGAAAATTGTTAAGAGGAAAAAAAATTTCAAAAATGGCCCAAAATAGTTCTCCCCCAGGAAAGAATGCAGTGGTATAAATCCTTTTCCCCCAGCTTATTTTTATAAATAAAATGTTATAAACTTAAAATACAAAAAAAAATAACATAGCAATATTTACAGGATGCAGTTAAAGCAGTGTATAGAGGACAATGTATAGCTTTAAAAACAGAAAGAAAAAATAATCTAAAATTGATAATTAAAACTTCCATCTTAAGACTCTAGAAGAAGATGAGTAAACCAAGCCGAAAGTAAGTAGGATGAATGAAATAAAAATGTCACAGTGGAAAACGATAAATACAGAACAGGATAACATTAAAAACAACCAAAGAAACCCAAAATTGCTTATTTCAGAAAGTCAAGAGATAAATAATATTTAGTTAAATTGACCAAGAAAAAAGAAAGAAGACACTAATTCCCAAAATCAAGAATCAAAGAGAAATATCACCACAGACCCTACCCTTAAAAGGATGTTAAGAAAATAGCATAATAACTTTAAGGCAAAAAATTTGACAACTTAGATAAAATAGAACAATTCCTAGAAAGACACAAATTACCAAAACTGACTCAAGGAAAAAGAAAAAAAAACAAATACCAATATCAAGTAAAGAAATTGCATCAGTAATTTCAAATCTTCCTATAGAGAAAAAATATACTTCACTGGTGAATTCTATCAAACTATTAAGGGAGGAAATAATACCAATGTTACAAAAACTTTATTCAGCAAATAGAGGATGAAGGAAACTTCCCAACTAACTTTATTTCATTTGATATCAATATTACCCTGATATCAAAACAAGACAAAGACATTACAAGAAAACACAGCTATATACCAATATCCCTTGTGAACATAGACATAAAAATTCTTAACCAAATATTAGCAAATGTAATTGAGCAACATATGAAAAGGATTTTATACCATAATCAAATGAAGTTTATCTCAGGAATGTGAGGTTGACTTAACATCCAAAAATCAATGTAATAAACTATATTAACAGAATAAAGGACAAAACCATATGATCACCTCAATAGATGCAGAAAAGAATTTGACAGAATTCAACACTCATATATTAAAAAAACTCATCAACTTATCAATAGAAGGGAACTTCTTCAAATGATCAAGGCATCTACCAGAAGCCTATAGACAACATACTTAATGGTAAGAATGCGCTTCCCTCTAGATTAGGAAACATGCAAAGATATCTGTGTTTAGCACTTCTATTTAACAATGCACCACAGGTCTTAGTTTGTGCAATAGTCAAGGAAAAAAGGTATGGAAAAAAGACAATTCTTTTTATTGTTAGCCTTGTATGCAGAAAATCCTAAGGAACACACCCACACACACACCCACATACCACACCCCCTCCCAGACTTACTAGAACTAAGAGGGGGGCTTAGTAAGTTTGTAGAGTATATGATCAATATACAAAAATCGGTTATATATATAGTAGCAACAAACAATACAAAGATGAAATAAAGAAAACAATTCCAATCACAATAGCATCAAAAATAAATGTCTTAGTTTGTTTTATGTTGTTATAATAGAATACCTGAGACTGTATAAAGAGGTTTATTTAGCTCATGTTTCTCCAGACTGGGAAGTTCAAGAAGCATGGCACCAGTATCTGCTTAGCTTCTGGTGAGGGCTTTAGCAGTGCATCACAACATGGCAGAAGACCAAAGAGGAAGTGGGAATGTGCCAAGAGGCCAAACACAAGGTACAACCTTGTACAATGGGTTGCTTTATAACAATCCATTCTCAGGGCAACTTATCTATTCCCACAAGAACCAATCCAGTTTCATGAGAGCAAGAACTCACTCACTATATGAGGACTGCACCAAGCTGCTCAAAATGGCAGAGCCCCCATGACCCAAGCATCTCCCATTAAGCCCTGCCTCTTAAAGGTTCCAACATGATTTTTGACAGAAACACGGAAACCATGGCATTCCACACTTGGAACCCCAAACTCATGTCCCTCTTACACTACAAAATGTAATTATTCAATCTCAGTGGTCCCCAAAGTCTTAATGTATTCCAGTAACAATTCAAAGGTCAAAGTCCAAAGTCTCATATAAGACTCAAGGCAAGTTCCTTCTAGCTATGAGCCTGTAAAATAAAATAAAAAAAAATTAAAAAAAATAAGTTATTTACTTCCAAGATACAATGGTGGAATAGTCATATGGCAGACAGTCCCATTCCAAAAGGGAGAAATAGGCCAAAAGAAGAAAGAGGTAACAGGCCTCGAGCAAGTTCAAAACTCAGCAGGGCAGACACTAAATCTTAAAGCTCCAGAATAATTCTCCACTCCATGTGCTACCTCCTGGGCACAGTGGGGAGTTTTTATCCCTAAAGCCTTGGGCAGCCCCACCTCCATTGCTTTGTTGGGCATAGCCACATGGCTACTCTCACTGGTTGGAGTTGGATACCTGGGCCTTTCCAGGCTGAGGTTGCATGGTGGCAATGGCTCTATAGTTCTGGAGTCCCAGTGGTGGTCCACTTCATGGATTCACTAGGCATTGCCCTGGTACAGACTCTTTGTGGCAGCTCCAACCCTACATTTCTGCTCAGCATTGCCCTGGGGGAGGTACACTGCAGTGGCTCTGGCCCTGCAACAAGTCTCCACCTGAGCTCCCAGTCTTTTCAGTACATTCCTTAAAATCTAGGTGGCAGCCACCATGCCTCCACTTCTCTTGTATTCTGCACATCTGCAAAACTAGTACCACATGGTTGTAAAAGCCATCAAGGCTTACCGCTTGCACCCTCCAGAGTGTTGTCATGAGCTGTATCTGAGGCTGCTTGATCCATGACTGTGTGCCACCAAGGTTTATGGTTTGTATCTTGTGGAATGGCAGCCTGAGCCACACCTGAGTATGATTGTGCAATGGCTGGGGTGGCTGCTGAGGGCTGTGCCAGAAATTGGGGAGCAGGATCTCAAAACAGCACAGGGCAGTGATGCATGGGTTCTGTCTCTTAAAACCATTCTGTCCTCCTAGACCTCTGGAGAGGCAACCTCAAAAATTTCTGAAATGTCTTCAGGGCCTTTAAAAAATTGTCTCAATAATTGTCAACTGGCTTTCTTCTCTCAGTGCTAATCTCTTTAGTATTGGTTGTTCTGCTGCACCCTTGGATTCCTCGCCTGAAAATGCTCTTTCATTCTCTTCCGCATGGCCAGGCTATTAATTTTCAAATTTTTGTGTTTGCTTCCCTTGTCATTTTGCATTTCACTGAATGTAGTAAGGAGTAACTACATAGCTGCTCTATATTTTGCTTAGAAATTTCTTCTGCCAGGTACCCTAGTTCATCAACCTTAAGTTTGGCCTTCCACAAAACCTTAGGGCAAAAAGCCTTAGAAACAACACAGCCAAATTTTTGCTATGGTCTAACAAGGATGACTTGGTCTCCAGTTCCTAATACCTTGTTCCTCATTTCTATCTGAGATCTCATTAGAATGCCTTTGCTGTCCATCTTTTATCAGCATTGTGGTAATCACTACTTAACCAATCTCTAAGAAATTCTAAACTTTCTCTCATCTTTTTGTTGTCTTTTGAGCCCTCACTGAAATTACCCTTAATGCTCTGTTTATGGCAATACAGTCTTTTTCTAGTCTGCTCCTTCAAACTTTTCCAACTTCTGCCCATTACCCAGTTCCAATGATGCTTCTGCATTTTTGAGAATCTAAATAGCAACATCCCACTCTCAGTACCAATTTTCTGTCTTAGTCCGTTTTGTGTTGCTATAACAGAATACCGGAGACTGAGTAATTTATAAAGAGGTATATTTGGCTTGCAGTTCTGCAGGCTGGAAAGAATGACACTGGCATCTGCTTGGGTTCTGGTGAAAGCTTTAGTGTTGTGTCACAACATGGTAGAAGAAGGTCAAAGGGGAGTAGGCATGTACCAGGAGGCCAAGCATGAAGCGTGACCTCACCATATGGCAACTCATTCTCATGGTAACTAATCCATTCCTGAGAGAACTAATCTCATAAGAGTGAGAACTCACTCACCAGTGTAAGAATAGTACCAAGCTGCCCACAAAGGAAGAACTCCCAAGACCCAAACACTTCCCATTAGGCCCCACCTCTTAAGCGTTCCAACAAGAGTTTTGGTAGAGACACTCAAACTATAGCAATAATAATTAGGAATAAATTTAACAAAATAAGTGTGAAACCTTTGCACTGAAAACTAAAAAACATCACTCAGATAAATGCCTAAATAAATGGAGAGATATATCATGTTAATGGATTAGATGACTCAATATTGTTAGATGTCAATTGATCTACAAATTAACTGCAATTCCTGCCAAAAGTCTAGAAAGATTATTGGAAAAATTGACAAGCTGATTCTAAAATTATATAGAAATACAAAAATACCTAGAATAGCCAAAACAATCTTGCTAAGTAAGAATGAAGTTAGAGTACTTAATACTGCCTTATTTTAAAATTCAGTGTAAAGCAACAGTAGTCAAGACAGTGTAGAATCCACATTAAGAGAGATAGATAGATCAATGGAACTAAGTGGAGTTCAGAATCCAACCCACATAAATAGTCAATTAATTTTCATCAAAGATGCTAAGACAATTCTATAGGAAAAAGATGTTCTTTCAACAAATGATTCTATAAGAACTGGTTATTCATTTACAAAAACTAAACCTAGATCCTTAGGTCATATACGAAAATTAACTAAAATGGATCATAGACCTAATTGTATGAGCTAAAACTGTAAAACTTCTAGGAAAAAAAAATAGGAGAAAATATTTATGACCTTGGACTAAGAAAAGGTTTCTTAGATATAATATCAAAAACATGTTCCATAAAAGAAAAACAGATAAATTGGACTTCACCAAAATGATGAAATCTTTGCTTTTCAAATATTTCTTAAATAAATGAAAAGAGAGGATCATTCCAAGATGGCTGAATAGGAACAGCTCCTGTCTGCAGCTCTCAGCATAATTGACGTAGAAGACAGGTGATTTCTGTATTTCCAACTGAGGTACCTGGTTCATCTCACTGAGATGGGTCAGACAGTGGGTGCAGCCCACAGAGGGTGAGCTGAAGCAGGGCAGGGCGTCGCCTCATCTAGGAAGCAGCACAAGTGGTCGGGGGATTTCCCTTTCCTAGCCAAGGGAAGCTGTGGCAGACGGTACCTGGAAAATCCGGACACTCCCACCCTAATACTGTGCTTTTCCAATGGTCTTAGCAAACGGCACACCAGGAGATTATATCCCATGCCTGGCTCAGCGGGCCCCATGCCCACACAGCCTTGCTTACTGCTAGTGCAGCCATCCGAGATCGAACTGCAAGGTGGCAGCCTGGGCTGGGGGAGGGTCGTCCACCATTGCTGAGGCTTGAGTAGGTAAACAAAGCAGCTGGGAAGCCTGAACTGGGTGGAGCTCACTGCAGCTCAATGAGGCCTGGCAGCCTCTGTAGACTCCACCTCTGGGGGCAGGGTATAGCTGAATAAAAGCAGCAGAAACTTCTGCAGATTTAAACATCCCTGTCTGACAGCTCTGAAGAGAGCAGTGGTTCTCCAGCATGGAGTTTGAACTCTGAGAATGGACAGAGCTGCCAGTAGGGACTTACTGACACCTCATACAGCCAGGTGTCCCTCTGAGATGAAGCTTCCAGAAGAAGGATCAGGCAGCAATATTTGCTGTTCTGCAGCCTCCACTGGTGACACTCAGGCAAACAGGGTCTGGAGTGGACCTCCAGCAAACTCCAACAGACCTGCAGCTGAGGGTCCTGATTGTTAGAAGGAAAACTAGCAAACAGAAAGGAACAGCATCAACAAAAAGGACATCCACACCAAAACCACATCTGTAGGTCATCATCATTAAAGACCAAAGGTAGATAAAACCACAAAGATGGGGGGAAACCAGAGCAGACAAGCTGAAAATTCAAAAAACCAGAGTGCCGCTTCTCTTCCAAAGGATTGCAGCTCCTTGCCAGCAATGGAACAAAGCTGGATAGAGAATGACTTTGATGAGTTGACAGAAGTAGGTTTTAGAAGGTCAGTAATAACAAACCTCTCTGAGCTAAAGGAGGATGTTCGAACCCATTGCAAGGAAGCTAAAAACCTTGAACAAAGATTAGATGAATGGCTAACTAGAATAAACAGCATAGAGAAAACCTTAAATGACCTGACGGAGCTGAAAACCATGGCACGAGAACTACATGATGCATGCACAAGCTTCTGTAGCCGATTCAATCAAGTGGAAGAAAGGGTATCAGTGATGGAAGATCAAATGAATGAAATGAAGTGAGAAGCGAAGTTTAGAGAAAAAGAGTAAAAAGAAACGAACAAAGCCTCCAAGAAATATGGGACTATGTGAAAAGACCAAATCTAAGTTTGATTGGTGCACTTGAAAGTGATGGGGAGAATGTTTTAGACATGAAATCCTTGCCCATGCCTATGTATTGCCTAGGTTTTCTTCTAGGGCTTTTATGATTTTAGGTCTAACATGTTAGTCTTTAATCCATCTTGAATTAATTTTTGTATAAGGTGTAAGGAAGGGATCCAGTTTCAGCTTTCTACATATGGGTGGCCAGTTTTCCCTGCACCATTTATTAAATAGGGAATCCTTTCCCCATTGCTTGTTTTTGTCAGGTTTGTCAAAGATCAGATAGTTGTAAATATGCGGCATTATTTCTGAGGGCTCTGTTCTGTTCCATTGATCTATATCTCTGTTTTGGTACCAGTACCATGATGTTTTGGTTACTATAGCCTTGTAGTATAGTTTGAAGTCAGGTAGCGTGATGCCTCCAGCTTTGTTCTTTTGGCTTAGGATTGACTTGGCAATGTGGGCTCTTTTTTGGTTCCATATGAACTTTAAAGTAGTTTTTTTCCAGTATTGATTCTTCCAACCCATGAGCATGGAATGTTCTTCCATTTGTTTGTATCCTCTTTTATTTCATTGAGCAGTGGTTTGTAGTTCTCCTTGAAGAGGTCCTTCATGTCCCCTGTAAGTTGGATTCCTAGGTATTGTATTCTCTTTGAAGCAATTGTGAATGGGGGTTCACCCATGATTTGCCTCTCTGTTGGTCTGTTATTTGTGTACAAGAATGCTTGTGTTTTTTGTACATTGATTTTGTATCCTGAGACTTTGCTGAAGTTGCTTATCAGCTTAAGGAGATTTTGGGCTGAGACAATGGGGTTTTCTAGATATACAATCATGTCATCTGCAAACAGGGACAATTTGACTTCCTCTTTTCCTAATCGAATACCTTTTATTTCCTTCTCCTGCCTAATTGCCCTGGCCAGAACTTTCAACACTATGTTGAATAGGAGTGGTGAAAGAGGGCATCCCTGTCTTGTGCCAGTTTTCAAAGGGAATGCTTCCAGTTTTTGCCCATTCAGTATGATATTGCCTGTGGGTTTGTCATAGATAGCTCTTATTATTTTGAGATATGTCCCATCAATACCTAATTTATTGAGAGTTTTTAGCATGAATGTTGCTGAATTTTGTCAAAGGCCTTTTCTGCATCTATTGAGATAATCATGTGGTTTTGTCTTTGGTTCTGTTTATATGCTGGATTACATTTATTGATTTGCATATGTTGAACAAGCCTTGCATCCTAGGGATGAAGTCTACTTGATCATGGTGGATAAGCTTTTTGATGTGCTGCTAGATTCAGTTTGCCAGCATTTAATTGAGGATTTTTACATCAATGTTCATCAAGGATATTGATCAAAAATTCTCTTTTTTGGTTGTGTCTCTGCCAGGCTTTGGTATCAGGATGATGCTGGCCTCATAAGATGAGTTAGGGAGGATTCCCTCTTTTTCTATTCATTGGAATAGTTTCAGAAGGAATGGTACCAGCTCCTCCTTGTACCTCTGGTAGAATTCGGCTGTGAATCCATCTGGTCCTGGACTGTTTTAGGTTGATAAGCTATTGATTATTGCCACAATTTCAGAGCCTGATATTGGTCTATTCAGAGATTCAACTACTTCCTGGTTTAGTCTTGGGAGGGTGTATGTGTCAAGGAATTTATCCATTTCTTCTGGATTTTCTAGTTTATTTGCATAGAGGTGTTTGTAGTATTCTCTGATGGTAGATTGTATTTCTGTGGCATCAGTGGTGGTATCCCCTTTATCATTTTTTTATTGTGTCTATTTGATTCTTCTCTCTTTTCTTCTTTATTAGTCTTGCTAGCAGTTTATCAATTTTGTTGATCTTTTCAAAAAACCAGCTCCTGAATTTATAAATTTTTTGAAGGGTTTTTTGTGTCTCTATTTCCTTCAGTTCTGCTCTGATCTTAGTTATTTCTTGCCTTCTGCTAGCTTTTGAATGTGTTTGCTCTTGGTTTTCTAGTTCTTTTAATTGTGAAGTTAGGGTCAGAAAACACCACAAAGATACTCCTCGAGAAGAGCAACACCAAGACACATAATTGTCAGACTCACCAAGGTTGAAATGAAAGGAAAAATATTAAGGGCAGCCAGAGAGAAAGGTCGGGTTAGCCACAAAGAGAAGCACATCAGACTAACAGCAGATCTCTTGGCGGAAACCCTACAAACAAGAAGACAGTGGGGGCCAATATTCAACATTCTTAAAGAAAAGAATTTTCAACTCAGAATTTCATATCCAGCCAAACTAAGCTTCATAAGTGAAGGAGAAATAAACTCCTTTATAGACAAGCAAATGCTGAGAGATTTTGTCACCACCAGGCCTGCCTTACAAGAGCTCCTGAAGGAAGCACTAAACATGGAAAGGAATAACCAGTACCAGCCACACAAAAACATGCCAAATTGTAAAGATCCTAGGAAAAAACTGCATCAACTAATGAGCAAAATAACCAGTTAACATCATAATGACAGGATCAAATTCACACATAACAATATTAACCTTAAATGTAAATGAGCTAAATGTCCCAATTAAAAGACACAGACTGGCAAACTGGATAAAGAGTCACGACCCATCAGTGTGCTGTATTCAGGAGACCCATCTAACGTGCAGAGACACACATAGGCTCAAAATAAAGGGATGGAAGAAGATCTACCAAGCAAATGGAAAGCAAAAAATAGCAGGGGTTGCAATCCTAGTCTCTGATAAAACAGACTTTAAATCAACAAAGATCAAAGAGACAAAGAAGGCCTTTATATAATGGTAAAGGGATCAATGCAACAAGAAGATCTAACTATCCTAACTATACATGCACCCAATACAGGAGCACCCAGATTCTTAAAGCAAGTCCTTAGAGACCTACAAAGAGACTTAGACATCCACACAGTAATAATGAGAGAATTTAACACCCCACTGTCAATATTAGACAGATCAATGAGACAGAAGGTTAACAAGGATTTCCAGGACTTGAACTCAGCTCTGCAACAAGCAGACCTAATAGACATCCACAGAACGCTCCACCCCAAATCAACAGAATGTACATTCTTCTCAGTGCCACATCTCACTTATTCCAAAATTGACCACATAGTTAGAAGTAAAGCACTCCTCAGCAAATGTAAAAGAACAGAAATCACAACAAACTGTCTCCCAGACCACAGTGCCATCAAATTAGAACTCAGGATTAAGAAACTCACTCAAAACCACACAAATACATGGAAACTGAACAACCTGCTCCTGAATGACTATTGGGTAAATAACGAAATGAAGGCAGAAATAAAGATGTTCTTTGAAACCAACGAGAACAAAGACACAACATATCAGAATCTCTGGGACACATTTAAAGCAGTGTGTAGAGGGAAATTTATAGCACTAAATAACCACAAGAGAAAACAGGAAAGATCTAAAATCGACACCCTAACATCACAATTAAAAGAACTAGAGAAGCAAGAGCACACAAATTCAAAATCTAGCAGAAGGCAAGAAATAACTAAAATCAGAGCAGAACTGAAGGAGATAGAGACACAAAAAACCCTTCAAAAAATCAATGAACCCAGGAGCTGGTTTTTTGATAAGATCAACAAAATTGATAGACCACTAGCAAGACTAATAAAGAAGAAAAGAGAGAAGAATCAAATAGATGCAAGAAAAAATGATAAAGGGGATTTCACCACTGATCCCATAGAAATACAAACTACCATCAGAGAATACTACAAACCCCTCTACACAAATAAACTAGAAAATCTAGAAGAAATGGATAAATTCCTGGACAAATACACCATCCCAAGACTAAACCAGGAAGAAGTTGAATCCCTGAATAGACCAATAACAGGCTCTGAAATTGAGGCAATAATTAATTAGCCTACCAACCAAAAAAAGTCCAGGACCAGATGGATTCACAGCCGATTTCTACCAGAGGTACAAAGAGGAGCTGGTACCATTACTTCTGAAACTATTCCAATGAATAGAAAAATAGGGAATCCTCCCTAACACATTTTATGAGGCCAGCATCATCCTGATACCAAAGCCTGGCAGAGACACAACAAAAAAAGAGAATTTTAGACCAATATCCCTGATGACCAATATCAATATCAATGCAAAAATCCTCAATAAAATACTGGCAAACAGAATCCAGCAGCACATCAAAAAGCTTATCCACCACTATCAAGTCAGCTTCATCCCTGGGATGCAAGCCTGGTTCAATATACACAAATCAATAAACATAATCCATCACATTTCAGCCTTCAAGTAGCTATCAGGTGCGCCACCATGCCCAGCTAATTTTTGTGTTTTTAGTAGAGATGGGGTTTCACCATGTTGCCTAGGTTAGTCTTGAACTCCTGGGCTCAGGTGATCTGCTCGCCTTGGCCTCCCAAAATGCTAGGATTACAGGTGTGAGCCACTGTGCCCAGCCAATCTATGTAACTTTTCATGGAAGGCAAATCTATAAAGAAAGCAGATCATTTGTTACTTGGGACTTGGGTAGGTGGGAGTGAGGATGTAATGCAAATAAGCATGAGGAAACTTTTTGAGATTATGTAAGTATTCAAAAACTGAATTTTTGTAATTGTTGTACAACTCTATAAATTGGCCGAAACTCATCGAAATGTGCATTTAAAATAAATAAATTTTGTGCTCTGTATATTATACCTCAAAAAAGCTGATAAAATATAAATTGGAACAAAAGTACTGGAAAACAGTAAGTTGGGGATGAATGAGGGTGATCAAAATTAATGCATCCTTCAAGATGAAACTAGTGATTTTAATTTTACAATTAGTTTTTTAAATTACTTGTTAATTCAAGTACACATATTACATTTCAAGGGTAATCGTGAATAGAATAGAACTAGAACATACAACTTTTAAACAAATAGAGGGGAAAAACCTTGATCAATCTAATACAATGCATTGGGGAAAAGAATTGGAGAAATAATATGGTTAACAGAAAGCACAAAATATGATGACAGAAGTAAATATAAATTTATCCATAACCACAATAAACGTAAATGGTCTAAATTAGTTAAAGACAGACACTTGAAGACTGGATAAAAACGTGAAAATCCAGGTATAACCTGTAATAGTTAAAAACATGAAGACACAAAATTCTGAAGGTATGAGATGAGTAAATGATAAATAAAACAAATATTAACCAATATATGGCTGATATAGCTATTTTCATATCAAAAACTATAATTTAAGACAAAAAACATTCTGAGGAATAAGTCATTATGTAAAGACATGTATGCATGTAACAATTCAACCGTAAAATATATGAAGCACAAATTGGCAGAATTACAAAGAAAAATGGCTAAATCCTCAACCTTGAAGAAACTTAAACCTCTGAGTCAATGATAATCAAAATGTAGTAAGATTATCTCAGATTTTAACCGCTGTATTAAAAAAGCTTAATTTAAAGGAAATATATAGACTTCTGTATGCTCAAATTAGAGAATATATATACTTCGAAGCCTGATAAAGTCTTAGGAGAACTGAACCTATGCTAGCCTATGAATCATATCACAGCAAATAAACAAACATTATAACATGCGGCTTATACTCTGTAACCAAAATGCAATTTATAAGAGAAAAAAATGTAAATTTCTTTCATCTTCAAACTAAAGGCATACCTTAAATAATTTTTAAGTCAAAGAAGACATGAAAACAAAAATCAGAAGATATTTGGAAGTGAAGTACTACATAACAAAACTTGTGAGATAGAGCTGAGGCAGTACTGAAAGGGTAATTTATATCTTTAAATGTTTATATTGAAAAATAGGCTGAAAATTAGTTAAGTGTCCACCTTAGGAAGTTTAGAAAGAGAAAAAGAGATTGGGCATGGTGGCTCAGGTCTGTAATCCCAGCACTTTGGGAGGTCAAGGAGGGTGGATTACCTGAGGTCGGGAGTTCAAGACCAGCTTGGCCAACATGGTGTAACCCCTGTCTCTACTGAAAATACAAAAATTAGCTGGGTGTGGTGGTGGGTGCCTATAATCCCAGCTACTCGGGAGGCTGAGGCAGAAGAATTGCTTGAGCCAGGGAGGCAGAGGTTGCAGTGAGCCGAGATTGGGCCACTGCATTGCAGCCTGAGCAACAGAGCAAGACTCTTAAAAAAAAAAAAAAAAAAAAAAAAAATGGAGTAAACCTAAATAAAATAAATTAAAGGAAATAAGGCTAAAAGTAGAAATAGACATTAATAAACTATAAAACAAGGAAACAATAGGCAAGATTCACAAAACCAAATGCTGATTCTTTGAAAAGAATAATAAAATAGGCACTCTTCTGGTAACATTGATTAATTAAAAAGAGAAGGTATAAATAAGCAATATTAGGAATAAAAAATGAAGTGTAACAAAATATGAGTGAAAAAATAATAAAGTGAATACTATAAATGACTATATGACAACAGTCTAAAAACATAAGTGAAATGAACAACTTCATTGGCTACTGTAACTTATAAACACTTAGTCAACAAGAAATGGGACACCTGAATATTCACGTATCTATTTTTCAAAATTCAATCAGTAAATACTTTCTCATAGAAAACACCCACTAGTATGAGATACTTTAATATGAAAGTTCTACCGAACATTCAAAGAACATATAAATAAGCACTATCATATCAAAATAATTTCAGAGAATGGAAAAAGAGGGAACACCTTCAATTCATTTTGTGAGGCTAACATAAATGCAATATAAATATTTAAGATCATTATAATCCATGAAAATTGGAGGCCAAACTAAGCTTAGATACAAACATCTAAAATAAAATAGTAGTAAATCTAGTAATGTATTCTAAAAAAAATTCTGGACCAGTTGGGTATCTCAGGAATAGAAGCAAACGTTTAACAGTTTGCCCAAGCAACTTTTATTTTATTTTATTATTTTTAAAAAGACAGGGTCTTGCCCTGTTGCCTGGGTTGGAATAGTGGCACGATCATATATCTCACAGCATCCTAGAACTCCTGGGTTCTAGGGACCCTCTGCCTTAGCCTCCTGAGTAGCTGGGACTACAGGCACACACCACAATGCCTAGCTAATTTTTAAAATGTTTTTATTTTGTAGAGATGAAGTCTCACTATGTTGCCCAAGCTAGCCTCAAACTCTTGGCTTCAAATGATTCTTCCACCTTGGTGCCCCGAAGTGTTGGGATTACAGGCATCAGTCATGGCACCTGGCCTGAGCAGGTTTTAATAAGTCACCCCATGTTTGGAGAATTTCTAACATTATTAATATTACTTTCCCAATGCAGAAGCCAGGAACACAAGTTTTTAAACTTCCTTTGTCATGAAGGCATAGACACATGATGAACACACTGCTACTGACATTAATTTCTGCTTTTATCTGCATAGCTGGTACCTCCAGGAAAAGGAGAGGAATGAGGTTGGAAAATAGTACACAGGAAGCTTCAACTATATCTATAATGATTTTATATATATATATATATATATATATATATATATATATATATATATATTTTTTTTTTTTTTTTTTTTTTTTTTTTTTTTTTTTTTTTGAGGCTGGAGTGCAGTGGTGCAATCTTGGCTCACTGCGACCTCTGCCTCCTGGGTTCAAGCGATTCTCCTGCCTCAGCCTCTTGAGTAGCTGGGACTACAGGTGCATGCCATGATGTCTGGTTAATTTTGTATATTTTAGTAGAGATGGGGTTTCACCATATTGGCCAGGCTGGTTTGAACACCCAACCTCAGGTGATCTGCCCGCCTCAGCCCCCAAAGTGCTGGGATTACAGGCGTGAACTACCGTGCCTGGCCAGATAATGTTTAAATTAGAAGGCTGCATGCATAAATATGATATCTTGGACGTTGATGAGACCACATAGACAAACTATATAAAAGGAAAAGAGGAAAAGGCCCAGGTCTAAGTCCTGAGTGATATTTCATATTTAGAAGTTAGGAAAAGAAGAATGGAATATGTAAGACAAGAAAGGAAGAAGCAGTGAGGGAAGAAGAAAACCAGTAAGTGGTGCCTCAGAATTAGAAAAAAAAGACAAGTGTTTCAATAAGAGAGTGATCGTTGGCGTCAAAAGCTGCAAAGATCTTGAATACGATGCAGACAGAAACGTTCACTGGATTTGGTTAATACACTTAGTCAGATAACAAAAAAACAGCAATTTCACCAGTTACACTCCTTTTCATACTCCAGAGATGAAGGATAATATTCACTAGCCTATATAATATTCTAGGTCTTGAATGTCAAATAACATAACATAGGTGATTGTGTTAAATGTCAGAATATTTAAGGAATAATTATGTTGTAATATACAGGCCAGCGTGCATTTGTTGCTTGCTGGAGTAGTCAAGTTTTATTTCTGACAAGTCTGCAGTTCCAGGGAGCCTCTCCCTGGCTGAGTAACTCTCACCCATCCATCTGTCAGGGAGAGTTTGCTGTGCATCCCAAGTATCTTAGAATTGGGTAGAAGTTTAGCTTTAATTAGTTTGACCTTGAGTCTAACAACAGGAGAGGGAACAGGCAGCGAAGAGGTCGTGAATGATGTCCCAGCAGCAGGAGACAGGGAGTGTCATTATCATTCCTGGTCTTCTCACAGTACTCTGAATACAGAGAGTGAGGAAGATTAGGGGGCCCTGTCTGCTGACTCCCTGATGATCTCAGACCCTCTCTGCTCTTTCTGGATGGTGGCCTGTTAATTCTGGCATACTATTACTGATAATATATTTATCCTTTTCACTGTGATTTGCCCAATTGTTGCTTTAGCACTGGACCTTGTCAAGAAGTTGTTGGTAGTGGATCCAAAGGCACGTTTTATGACAGAAGAAGCCTTAAGACACCGTGGCTTCAGGTGGGTGTGGGACAGTGCCTGCTAGCATAAAATACATGGGAAGCCCTGCTGCCTGAGAGACATGAGACAGAGGACAGAAACATGTTTAGTCTGTTTAATCTAATTGTTTTAGATGTATGGGGGGTATCTTGGAGGATGGGTTACAACCTGTCTTTTTTTTTCTTTTTTGAGACAGGTTCTCATTCTGTCACCCTGGCTGGAGTGCAGTGGCACGATCTCAGCTCACTGCAACCTCTGCCCCCCGGGTTCAAGTGATTCTCCTGCCTCAGCCTCCCAAGTAGCTGGGATTAAAGGTGCATGCTACCAAGCCCAACTACTTTTTGTATTTTTTGTAGAGATGGGGTTTCGCCGTGTTGGCCAGGCTACAACCTTTTTGATGTTACTCATGGCTGTTGGATGTACAAGCTCACTTTATGCCCTGTTCTGGTTCCACTTGGCTGACCCAAGTCTCCAGTCTGGCCTGTGTTCTTTTGAGGGCTTGTTCTGGCTCTACCCCCAGCCATGTCCACTGCTCTTCATAGGTGGGGTGCATTCCAGCCATCTTCAACCTTAAATCAGGGAAGCGGGGGAGGGGGAGGAGGACAGCCTCCCTGGGGAGAACCCAGCTATTTCTCAAGCCCAAGTGACTGGGTATAAAGGGTCCCACTGCTTGTTCATTCAGGTGAGTAAATGTGTCCTTAGTGAAGGCCGTCACCTGCACCTTTCATCTGTGTTACTGCTGTGCTCCTGCTAGGGGTTGGGGCTGCCATTATTAAATGCTGACCTCATTTGGAACTGCCAAGAGTTGGAAGTATGTTTTGGCTTTGCTGGATTAATCTTTAGTTTTGGAATTAGCTACGGCATTGGGCAGGTTTTCTGATAGATGTCTGGTCTTCTGTAAGGAGCAGTTCCATTCAACACAGCCATGCCCCTTTCTATTAATTTTCTTTTGGTCTGTGTATTAGTCTGTTCTCATACTGCTATAAAGAACTGCCCAAGACTGGATAATTTATAAAGAAAGGAGGTTTAATTGACTCACAGCTCCACATGGCTGGGGAGGCCTCAGGAAACTTACAATCATGGTGGAAGGGGAAGAAGGCGTGTCTTAATGGCAGCAGGTGAGAGAGCTTGTGAAGGAAGTGAAGGGCGAAGAGCCTTTTATGAAACTGTCAGATCTCGTGAGAACTCACTATCACGAGAATAGCCTGGGGGAAACTGCCCCCATGAGCCAATCACCTCTCAACAGGTCCCTTTCTCAACACCTGGGGATTACAATTTGAGATGAGATTTGGGTAGGGGCATAAAGCCAAACTGTATCAATCCGTTTTCTGTGGAGATGGGGGACAGAACTGGTAGCTTGAGCTAGAGGCTGTCACTTGAGCTAAATGCTGTTTCTCTGGGGATTACTGGCCCAGGAACTCCTTGGGCAATCCGGCCTCAGCCCCGTACTTCTGGGACTCTAGGAAGACTGCCCCCATTCTCTGTTCTAATACTCTACACCTAACAGTTTTGCTCAGGCCAGCTCAGGTTGAGAACAAGAAAAACTTAAAAAAAAAAAAAGACAGATATATGTGGTTTGGATGTTGCCCTAGAAACTACGGTCTCCCCAGAAGAAATCTGTCAGATGATTTAGCATTTAATAGACCACACAGATTTGAAACAGCGGGACCCTGGAGGAAAGGGCTTTGGAAACAAAGGGTGCCTTTGCATGTGGGGATTTTAATTTTGATGAAAAAGAGAAACATGTCTTTTGGCTCTTTTCATGTGTCCTAATAGGGAAACTCTTGGGTCTAAATGTAGAGGTACAGGAGCTGTGTTCATCTCTAGCAAAAAAACAGAGCTGGCCTGTTAAGCCCGGGAACAGGGTTTGCATCTGCCTGAAATTTATGAGCAAGTGTAGCCCATTTTTCTTGTACTTCTTCGTCTCAAAGAAAACTTATTAACAACCAAGGAGAAGGTGAAGTTCAACTCTGTTGCAGGATCTCCCTGGAATACTCTTTTAGCCACCTTTTGTTTTTGCAGTAAAAGGAGGAATGAGCATTGAATGAAGACAAGGATGAAGACTGACCATCTAAAACATCTGTTAGTAATAATTTGGGTTTTATTTTGGGAAAATTCAGTGTTTTCGCAAAAACCAAATGGTTTTGTGGGTCTGGCACTGGACTGAGTGTTGGGAATGTGGATCCTGGTCTCTGTTTTGTCATTAACAGAGTGCCCAGTTTTGGGAGCATCCCTTACATCTACGGCCTGCCTCATATTTACTGCCTGAAATAGAGGATTTCTTCTGTTTGCTTTCAAGGGATATTATAATTTAATTTTTATTTTATTTATTGTTGGAGACAAGGTATTCTTCTGTTGCCTAAACTGGAGTGCACTGGTGCAATTATAGCTCACTGCAGCCTCGACCTCCTGGCCTTAAGGGATCCTCCCACCTCAGCCTCACAAAGTGCTTGGATAATAGGCACGAGCCACTGTTCCTGGCTAATTTAATATTTTGGAATAATTGTAGACACCATGAAGAAAACCAATGTTTATTTATTTATTTCCTTTTTTGAGATGGAGTCTCGCTTTTGTCTACCAGGCTGGAGTGCAATGGTGTGATCTCAACTCACTGCAACCTCCACCTCTGGGTTCAAGTGATTCTCCTTCATCAGCCTCCCAAGTGGCTGGGATTATAGGTGCCTGCCACCATGCCCAGCTCATTTTTGTATTTTTAGTAGAGATGGGGTTTCACCGTGTTGGTCAGACTAGTCTCAAACTCCTGACCTCAGGTGATCCACCCACCTTGGCCTCCCAAAGTGCTGGGATTCCAGGCATGAGCCACTGCACCTGACCTGATTACTTGTTTTAAATATAGGCCTGATTAGGCTTGTGACCACTCTGTTTGGCTTCACTGAAGGGCTGCCAAGAGATGGACTTTTGAGAGTGACACTGCAAGATAATTGAGATCCTAAGTAAGGCTGTGAGAGGGTGTGGAGAGGAATCCAGATGAGCTTGCTGCTGTCAAATGGCAATGGGGAGCTATGCTGAGAAACTCAAAACAGAGTGACCTCAAGTGATCTGCCCTGCCTTGGCCTCCCAAAGTGCTGGGATTACAGGCGTGAACCACTATGCCTGGTCCTCCTTTCCTTCTTTCTTTCTTCCTCCTTCCTTCCCCCTCCCCTCTCCTCCATTCCTCTCCCCTCCCCTCTCTCATCCCCCCTCCCTTTTTCCTTCCTTGCTTCTTTCCTTCATTTTTTTCCTCAGGGTCTTGCTCTCTCACCTAGGCTGGAGTGCAGTGGCATGGTCACTGCACCATGACTTTCAGGCTCAAGTGATCCTCCTGCCCCAGCCTCCCAAGTAGCTGAGACTACAGGTGCATGCCACCATGTCTGGCTAATTTAAACTTTTTTTTTTTTTTTTTTTTTTTGGAGACAGAGTCGTACTCTTTTGCCCAGGCTGGAGAGCAGTGGTGTGATCCTGGCTTACTGCAACCTCTTGAGTTCAAGTGATTCTCCTGCCTCAGCCTCCTGAGTAGCTGGGATTACAGGCTTGCACTACCACGCCTGGCTAATTTTGTATTTTTAGTAGAGACGGGGTTTCACCATGTTAGCCAGGCTGATCTCAAACTTCTGACCTCAGGTGATTTGCCCGCCTTGGCCTCCCAAAGTGCTGGGATTACAGGCGTGAGCCTCCGTGCCTGGCCTAATTTTTAATTTTTTTTTGTAGTGACTAAGTCCCACTATATTGCCCAGGCTGGTCTCAAATTCCTGGCCTCAAGCAATTCTCCCACTTTGGTCTCCCAAAGTGCTGGGATTATAGGCATGAGCCACCATGCCCAACCTAGTGTTGTAAAATTTCCATATCCATCAAATTGCCAAATGGTGGAGGACTTTGCTGTATCCTCTCCCTTTCCCCACTGTGGTATGCTTGGCTCAGTGGGAGGAGGGGCTGGAGTTGGGTGGGAAAGTACATGAGGCATTGGAATCAGATAACTCTGGGTCTGTATTCTGCACATGCCACCTGTGAGTGGCTGAGCTGGGCTTCTGCCCAACACTCAAAGGCCACATTCCTAGTTATAGATGTTCCTTTCACCTTGCTGAAGATGGGGAGAGCTGCACCAGACCACCTCTCAGGGTTTCCTAATGCAAATCCTTGAACCCTGCAGAAGTGAGCATCCAGAGAGGTGGGAGCTACTCGTATACACACTGTCTGTGCCCTCCTCATCTCCCGCTCCTGCAGCATGAAACACCTGTAATGCTTTGTTCTGTTTATTGTCTCCCTTTCTCATTAGACCTGAGCTCTGGGATATCGTGGGCTTAAGTACTTCTGAAAATTTGTATGGCATCTGCTGGGTGAAATTTCCTAGGGTGCTGGGCTGGTTGTTAGGACAGCCTGGGTGACTGGCCTCATTCATGGCAGGGGCAGCAGGTGGAGAGTGGTCCCGGAAGGATTTGAGGATCTGCACGGAGTCAGGACCAGCCCCTGGCCCCCTGATTGTCACCTTTCTCAGGATCTGGGATGCTAATTCAGAAACTCTTGACTGCTGGAGGCTGTGATTGACCCACTGAGAGCTTTTAGGCATGTGGATGTGAGTCAGCCAGGATTGATGGAGCATTGACTGCTAATTGGACTCCTCTGGGAAGGTAGAGGGGGGCAACACATAATGCCTTCACTGTGGGAGCTTCATCAAGGAAATGATTCTTGGACGGACATCTTTTCCTCCCTCTTTCCACAGGAGCATGCTAGCCCTGTCATTCTAGGAGTTTATTATCCTTCAGACACAGCTACTTATGTTTTTAATTCCCTCACAGGATGAAGACATGAAGAGAAAGTTTCAAGATCTTCTGTCTGAGGAAAATGAATCCACAGCTCTATCTCAGGTTCTAGCCCAGGTATTCATATTCCTGATGATCACTAAATGTAGTCCGGGCTTAAGGAGCTGATAAGAAAAGATGATGAAATTCAAGATTTTCCTGAGTAGCAATTGCTTAACATTGTTTCAGTTATAATGTAGTAGAAACTCTGTTTGAACTTGATTCACTCCAGGACGCTTAGATTTAAAAATGCAGGATATGTTTAATATCTAACACATAATAGACAGATAAGCACAGCTAGGGATTGTCATCCAAAAGGTCACCTGCAAGGCAATTTCGAAAGACTCTATTAGAGGCTCAAATATAAATTTGTTGGAAAAATTAAAATTTGGGTCAGTAGTTGATTCCTTGATTACAAGTTTATTCTTTAAAGTTCTTTGTGAGTATAAGTTAATTCCAGTCCTGCTTTTTTGTTGTTGTTGTTGAATGGTAGCTGTCCTTTTTCCCACTGTTTCCTCCCCACCCCGATTTTTTTTTTTTTCTTGAGACAGAGTCTTAGTCTGTCACTCAGGCCAGAGTGCAGTGGTGCAATCTCAGCTCACTGCAACCTCTGCCTCCTGGGTTCAAGCAATTCTCCTGCCTCAGTCTCCCAAGTATCTGGGACTACAGGTGTCCACCACTGTGCCCAGTTAATTTTTGTATTTTTAGGTGAGATGGGGTTTTGCCATGTTGGTCAGTCTTGTCTCAAACTTTTGACCTGAAGCAGCGACCTGCCCACCTCGGCTTCCCAAAGTGCTGGGATTATAGCTGTGAGTCACCGCACCCAGCCTTCCTCCCAATTTTGTATATGAGAAAACAACTAAGGCACAAAGGTTGTCTTCCCGCAAAAGACCAAGACTTGGGGCTTCAATTGAGAGGTATTGTAGTCCTTTTAAACTTGATATTTAGAAGAGGATGATCAAGAGGAAGGTGGTTATGCTACTTGCTTTCAGTATACATCATTCAGGGGTCAGAAGCCATAGGGAGAGAAATATCTATTAGATAAGCATGTCTGAGTTGCGGGCTGTGGTGAGGACTCAGTTGTCAATGATGACAACCAGTAATTTTTGGTACTAGTATTTCACATCAAATGCCCCCACTTTACTGGAAGTACATTGAGGAACTCTGATAATCTTAAAGAAGCCAGTGATTTTCTTTTGAACATTTCTCCATTTTCCTTTATTTTCAGCCTTCTACTAGTCGAAAGCGGCCTCATGAAGGGGAAGCCAAGGGTGCCGAGACCACAAAGCGCCCGGCTGTGTGTGCTGCTGTGTTGTGAACTCCGTGGTTTGAACATGGAAGAAATGTACCTTATTTCACTCTGTCATCTTTCTTTTCTTTGAGTCTGTTTTTTATAGTTTGTATTTTAATTATGGGAATAATTGCTTTTTCACAGTCACTGATGTACAATTAAAAACCTGATGGAACCTGGACTTTGTGCTTCTGCTTGATAATTGGTTCTTTAGTTGAATGGCTTTATTATTTATTTATTTGAGACGGAGTCTCACTCTGTTGCCCAGCCTGAAGTGTAGTGGTGCAAGCTTGGCTCACTGCAACCTCTGCTTCCCAGGTTCAAGCGATTCTCGTGCCTCAGCCTCCCAAGTAGCTGGGATTACAGGTATGCGCCACCATGCCAAGCTAATTTTTATATTTTTTTGTAGAGACAGGGTTTTGCCATGTTGGCCAGCCTGGTCTTGAACTTCTGACCTCAGGTGATCCGCCTGCCTCGGTCTCTTAAAGTGCTGGGATTACACACGTGAGCCACTGTGCCTAGCCTGAATGGCTTTTTTATATTTAAAGTTGTTGTGTGCCTTTCATCTGGAGCTACTCCTTGGCTATCACTAGGCAGGTTTCCCAGGATGTCACCCTGGTCTCAGCCTGTGAGAGCTGAATACAAATTCTAAGGGCCCCTTGGAAAGTTCCAGGGAAAGGAGCATAGCGAGGTTGGGGGTGGAGTTTGTAGAGACTGGCTGGCTGGCTGCTGACATCTTCATGAGAACAGCAGGTACCTTGGTGCATAATAACAGGCCAGGTTATATTCTCATCCTTGCCCTCATAAAGATACAGGTCTACAGTCTCTGAAACCTTTGGGCTAGATAAGTTGTGAAATTTAATTACCCAATTTTAGGAAGGTGGTAAGGCATATCTACTATGTGTATGTGTAGCACCCCAGTGGAGTCCTACACATGTGGAGTCCTACCCCAGTGGAGTCCAAACATGTTAATATTTCCACAGCAAATATTCACAGTAAGAGGGATAGAGAAAGATTATAGGTAGTTGCATATTGATTCATATCAGTCTTTTCTTCCAAATGAGCTACAGTGACTCATTTTTGAGAGCTGTTTGGGTTTTGGAAGTGGAGATAAGGCATGGTTATGTCTTGTTGACCCAATAATGACTGGGGAGGCCCTGTGCAAAGACTTACCCTTGGCTGCTCTTGTCCTCACAGTGATTCTATGAATGAGGTCCTCTAGCCACTGTCATGTCACAGGTGAGGAAACCAAAGTTGGAGGACAAAGGTAACTTTTCTGATGTCGCACAGCTGGTAAATGGCAGAGCTGGGACCCAACCCAGGTCTTTTTGACTCTAAAACTAATGTTCCTTATTGTCCACTGAATCTGCTTTTATAACTTTGCTTGGTTGATGCTAGGACAGTTTGTAGCTCACTGGCCATGCCATAAATTGAGTGCTGTGGTTCAAAGGCCACTGGCGATTCAGTCAAGGCAGGCTCAAGGGCACACAGCCATTTCCTTAGGAAATGGGGATGGTGGTTGGAAATTTCTATTAAAGGGTATATAAGCATTCTGAGACTTGGCTGGCCTGGTGTAGGGGGTTTGTTGGGAACTTAGGTGGTTTGCATGTTTAAAGGAATAAGACTGAGACTGCCAATTAGATGGGTTTTAGCTCATTTGAATATTTAATGTGGAGGCTGTGGTTTCCTGGGACATTTTTCCCACTGTGGAGAGTTAGCCAGCTTTTCTCTGTTTCTTTTTTTTTTTTTTAATCGAGATGAAGTCTCACGCTTGTCGCCCAGGCTGGAGTGCAATGGTGTGATCTCAGCTCACTGCAACCTCCGCCTCCTGGGTTCAAGCGATTCTCCTGACTCAGCCTCCTGAGTAGCTGGGATTACAGGCACCTGCCATCATGCCCAGCTAATTTTTGTATTTTTAGTAGAGATGGGGTTTCACCATGTTGGTCAGGCTGGTCTTGAACCCCTGACCTCAGGCAATCCGCCCGCCTCCCTCCCAAAGTACTGGGATTAGAGGCATGAGCTACCTTGCCTGGCCACCCTTCTCTGTTTCCAGAGCATTTTGTATTAACTCCCTCTCATGATATCTTATATGGCAGGCTGAATAATGGCCCCTCCAAAGTGTCCTCAACTTAATCCCCGGAATCTGTGACTATGTTCCTTTCCATGACAAAAGGGACTTTGCAGATGTGATTAAGCATCTTGAGATGGGAACTTATCCTATGTTGCCTGTGGGCCCAGTGTCCCATCACAGTGCTTTTTTTTTTTTTTTTTTTTTTTTGAGAAGGAGTTTTTTGCTCTTGGTGCCCAGGCTGGAGTACAATGACGCAATCTCGGCTCGCTGCAACTCCATCTCCCAAGGTTCAAGCGATTCTCTTGCCTCAGCCTTCCGAGTAGCTGGATTACAGGTGCTCGCCAACATGCCCAGCTAATTTTTGTTTTTCCAGTAAAGATGGGCTTTCATCATGTTGGCCAGGCTAGTCTCGAACTCCTGACCTCGTGATCTGCCCACCTTGGCCTCCCAAAGTGCTGGGATTACAGGCGTGAGCCACCACATCCAGCCTACAGTGCTCTTTTAAGAGGGACTCAGCAGTCAGGGGAGATGGCAATGCGATGATGACTGAGTGTCTTAGTCTTTTTTGTATTGCTATGCAATATCTGAGGCTGGGTAATTTATAAAGAACAGGTTTATTTCTTACAGTTCTGGAGGCTGGGAATGTCAAGATCAAGGGGTCTGCTTCTGGTGAGGGTCTTCTTGCTGTGTCATCCCATGATGGAAGGTATCACATCAAGAGAGAAAGGGGGCTGAACTCAATCCTTTTATTAGGAACCCATCCCCATGATAATTAACCCTCTGCTGAGATAACATCATTACTCTATTAATAAGGGCAGATCTTTCATGACCTAATCTCCTCTTAAAGGTCCCATCTCTCAACACTGTTGCATTGGAGATTAAATTTCCAACACATGAACTTTGGGGGACACATTCAAACCATAGCACTGTGCAGAGATTGGAGTGGTGTGCTTTAAAAATGGAGGAAAGGGCCACAATCCAGGGTATATAGGTAACCACTAAAAGCAGAAAAAGGCAAGAAAACGGGTTTTCCCTTCAGAACCTCCTGAAGGAATCAGTCCTTTACAACTAGACTTTAGCCAAGTGAAACTGATTTGAGGCTTCTGACCTATAGAACAATAAGATATTAAGTCTGTATTGTTGTAAGCCAATCAGTTCATGGTAATTTGTTACAGCAGCCATAGAAAACTAATTGACTCACCAATGGGAGAAATCAGCTGCTGATTGAAGGCTACCAAACACCTACTTCCTTTCCTAACATCACTTTAATTTTATCTTAGAGGAATTCTTTTCCCTATCCCATTAAGTTATGGGAGATGGGGCCAGGCATGGTGGCTTAGCAATCCCAGCACTTTGGGAGGCTGAGGCGGGTGGATCACTTGAGGTCTGGAGTTTGAGACTAGCCTGGCAAACATAGTGAAACCCCATCTTTACTAAAAATACAAAAATTAGCCAGGTGTGGTGGTGGGCACCTGTAATCCCAGCTACTCCAGAGGCTGTGGCATGAGAATTGCTTGAACCCAGGAGGCAGAGGTTGCAGTGAGCTGAGATCGCACCACTGCACTCCAGCTTGGGTGACAGACTGAGAATCCATCTCAAAAAAAAAAAAAGTTATGGGAGAGGATGGTAAAGCTAAGTATCTTTTGTACCTACTCCCCAGCCCCACCACTGCAGAAGCTGAAGGGGTTCCTAGAGGCGTCTTCTGCCATGGAGCTGTTCCCACTGGCCCCTAGCTAGAGGTGAGTGTAGGACTTTGAAACATGAACAAATGGAGCTGGGATGGCAATGGCGGGAACAATATTGTGCTAATCTGAACTCTGCACTTCCTAACTTTGGCTCTGGGTAAATTACCTCAAATTGCTGAGCCTTTGTTTCCATATTTATAAAATGGGTGCGGTAAGAGTACCAACCTCTTCTATGCTGTTTGGAGGAGGAAGGTCCATAAGGTACCTGGCATGTGGTAAGGGATTCATGAATGTTGGCTTCTATCATTAAGGCTGGGGGAGACACATAAGTAGCCAGAGGGAGTCATAGAAAGTTCTTGAGCCAGAGAAGTAAGATAATCTTTTCAGCTTTTTGTGAAGCATAAAAGGTGGGTAATTTGCTTGCCTTTGACCAAGCAAATTTGGGGTGTGCCAGGCCTGGGGTGAATGGTGGGAACCCAAGTAGAGGGATATTTCTCATTGACTGAACTAACTGTGACTCCGTTTTGCGGAGCAGCCAGGTTGCTTCATGGTGGACCTGCTGCATGCCTACATGATGGTGCCATGGATAGCTCTTGTTTGTGCCAGCCCTGTACCTGATACCTCTTGTGGTAATTGCATCCCTATTTTTCAGAAGGAAGCATCCCTCCTCCCACTTTCTGGTTTTCCCCATGTCCTTCTGGAGGAGATGACCCCAACCGCTTCCTGAAGGGGCTTCATGAAAGCCAGGTCTGGCCAGGCTGGATGTGGTGATTGGCTCAGGCAGGGGAATGTGGCGCAAACGGATCCAGTGAAAGTCAGTCCTGGGACTTTGGCTGGAACTAATGGGGAACAGCCTCTGCTTTCTTGCGCAGATGTGAGTTAGGAGCTGCTTAGGCCACCATGAGGAAAGAACCGCGTGAGAATGAAGTAATCAAAGGGAAGCAAGCACTGAGAGATTAGAGAGACTTATCTTGTATAAGTGCCTGTATCCAGCTATGCCTGAAGTGAGGTACCACCCCAGGCCTTTTCAGTCATGCTATCAGTTTTGTTCCTTTTTTCTGTTTTACTCTTGGTGGAGTTACTTTTTTTCCTTGTTACTTGAATAAGAAAAATAACAAACTAGAAGGCTGGGTGCGGTGGCTCACGCCTGTAATCCCAGTACTTTGGGAGGCCAAGGCGGGTGGATCATGAGGTCAGGAGTTTGAGATCAGCCTGACCAACATGGTGAAATCCCATCTGTACTAAAAATACAAAAAAAATAGCCGTGCGTGGTGGTGCATGCCTTTAATCCCAGCTACTCAGGAGGCTGAGACAGGAGAATCGCTTGCATCTGGGAGGCGGAGGTTGCAGTGAGCTGAGATCGTGCCACTGCACTCCAGCCTAGGTGACAGAGCAAGACTCCATCTCAAAAAAAAAAAAAATCCAAAACTGACACCCTAACATCACAATTAAAAGAACTAGAAAAGCAAGAGCAAACACGTTCAAAAGCTAGCAGAAGGCAAGAAATAACTAAAATCAGAGCAGAACTGAAGGAAATAGAGACACAAAAAACCCTTCAAAAAATTAATGAATCCAGGAGCTGGTTTTTTGAAAGGATCAACAAAATAGATAGACCGCTAGCAAGACTAACAAAGAAAAACAGAGAGAAGAATCAAACAGAAGCAATAAAAAATGATAAAGGGGATATCACCACTGATCCCACAGAAATACAAACTACCATCAGAGAATACACAAACACCTCTACGCAAATAAACTAGAAAATCTAGAAGAAATGGATAAATTCCTCAACACATACACCCTCCCAAGACTAAACCAGGAAGAAGTTAAATCTCTGAATAGACCAATATCAGGCTCTGAAATTGTGGCAATAATCAATAGGTTACCAACCAAAAACAGTCCAGGACCAGATGGATTCACAGCCGAATTCTACCAGAGGTACAAGGAGGAACTGGTACCATTCCTTCTGAAACTATTCCAATCAATAGAAAAAGAGGGAATCCTCCCTAACTCATTTTATGAGGCCAGCATCATTCTGATACCAAAGCCAGGCAGAGACACAACCAAAAAAGAGAATTTTAGACCAATATCCTTGATGAACATTGATGCAAAAATCCTCAATAAAATACTGGCAAAACGAATCCAGCAGCACATCAAAAAGCTTATCCACCATGATCAAGTGGGCTTCATCCCTGGGATGCAAGGCTGGTTCAACATACACAAATCAATAAATGTAATCTAGCATATAAACAGAACCAAAGACAGAAACCACATGATTATCTCAATAGATGCAGAAAAGGCCTTTGACAAAATTCAACAACCCTTCATGCTAAAAACTCTCAATAAAGTAGGTATTGATGGGACGTATTTCAAAATAATAATGCCCTCTCTCACCACTCCTATTCAACATAGTGTTGAAAGTTCTGGCCAGGGCAATTAGGCAGGAGAAGGAAATAAAGGGCATTCAATTAGGAAAAGAGGAAGTCAAATTGTCCCTGTTTGCAGATGACATGATTGTATATCTAGAAAACCCCATCATCTCAGCCCAAAATCTCCTTAAGCTGATAAGCAACTTCAGCAAAGTCTCAGGATACAAAATCAATGTGCAAAAATCACAGGCATTCTTATACACCAACAACAGACAAACAGAGAGCCAAATCATGAGTGAACTCCCATTCCCAATTGCTTCAAAGAGAATAAAATACCTAGGAATACAACTTACAAGGGATGTGAAGGACCTCTTCAAGGAGAACTACAATCCACTGCTCAAGGAAATAAAATAGGATACAAACAAATGGAAGAACATTCCATGCTCATGGGTAGGAAGAATCAATATCGTGAAAATGGCCATACTGCCCAAGGTAATTTATAGATTCAATGCCAGCCCCATCAAGCTACCAATGACTTTCTTCACAGAATTGGAAAAAACTACTTTAAAGTTCATATGGAACCAAAAAAGAGCCCGCATCGCCAAGTCAATCCTAAGCCAAAAGAACAAAGCTGGAGGTATCACACTACCTGACTTCAAACTATACTACAAGGCTACAGTAACCAAAACAGCATGGTACTGGTACCAAAACAGAGATATAAATCAATGGAACAGAACAGAGCCCTCAGAAATAACACCACATATCTACAACTATCTGATCTTTGACAAACCTGACAAAAACAAGCAATGGGGAAAGGATTCCCTATTTAATAAATGGTGCTGGGAAAACAGGATACCCATATGTAGAAAGCTGAAACTGGATCCCTTCCTTACACCTTATACAAAAATCAATACAAGATGGATTAAAGACTTAAACGTTAGACCTAAAACCATAAAAACCCTAGAAGAAAACCTAAGCATTACCATTCAGGACATAGGCATGGGCAAGGACTTCATGTCTAAAACACCAAAAGCAATGGCAACAAAAGCCAAAATTGACAAATGGGATCTAATTAAACTAAAGAGCTTCTGCACAGCAAAAGAAACTACCATCAGAGCGAACAGGCAACCTACAACATGGGAGAAAATTTTCACAACCTACTCATCTGACAAAGGGCTAATATCCAGAATCTACAATGAACTCCAACAAATTTACAAGAAAAAAACAAACAACCCCATCAAAAAGTGGGCAAAGGACATGAACAGACACTTCTCAAAAGAAGACATTTATGCAGCCAAAAAAACACATAAAAAAATGCTCATCATCACTGGCCATCAGAGAAATGCAAATCGAAACCACAATGAGATACCATCTCACACCAGTTAGAATGGCAATCATTAAAAAGTCAGGAAACAACAGGTGCTGGAGAGGATGTGGAGAAATAGGAACACTTTTACACTGTTGGTGGGACTGTAAACTAGTTCAACCATTGTGGAAGTCAGCGTGGCGATTCCTCAGGGATCTAGAACTGGAAATACCATTTGACCCAGCCATCCCATTACTGGGTATATACCCAAAGGACTATAAATCATGCTGCTATAAAGACACATGCACACATATGTTTATTGCGGCATTATTCACAATAGCAAAGGCTTGGAACCAACCCAAATGTCCAACAATGATAGACTGGATTAAGAAAATGTGGCACATATACACCATGGAATACTATGCAGCCATAAAAAATGATGAGTTCACGTCCTTTTTAGGGACATGGATGAAATTGGAAATCATCATTCTCAGTAAACTATCACAAGAACAAAAAACCAAACACCGCATATTCTCACTCATAGGTGGGAATTGAACAATGAGATCACATGGACACAGGAAGGGGAACATCACACTCTGGGGACTGTTGTGGGGTGGGGGGAGGGGGGAGGGATAGCACTGGGAGATATACCTAATGCTAGATGACGAGTTAGTGGGTGCAGCGCACCAGCATGGCACATGTATACATATGTAACTAACCTGCACAATGTGCACATGTACCCTAAAACTTAAAGTATAATAATAATAAAATAATAAAATTAAATTAAATTAACCATAAAAAAAACAGACTAGTAAATGCAACCATTTACAAATTCCAAGAGACTCTTGAAGATTCTTTTTGTTAGTAGGGAAAACATTCTCCATTTTTCTGCCAACTTTAGGGTTTTCAGAGAAGTTTGGGGGAGAGAAAGGAAAGCAAAGATGTGGGAAGAAAGAGTACTTGCAGCCCCAAGTTGGGCGAACTCCTCCCAGCTACTTATACCACAGGGTTTGGGGAGCAGAGCCCCTTTCATTAAACTTTTAGGAGTCTTGGATGGATAGGGTGGGAATTACACCAGTGAAACTCAGCTTTGTGTGTGCCAGGCATTGGGCCCTGGGATATGCAGTCATGTGTTGTATAATGACATTTTAGTCAATGACAAACCACACGTAAGTCAGTGGTACCATAAGATGATTATGGAGCTGAAAAATTCCTATTGCTTAGTGACATAGCCATTGTAATGTTAGGGTAATGCATTTCTGTGTTTCTGGTGATGCTGGTGTAAACAAATCTGTGCTGCCAGTTCTATAAAAGCATAGCATGTACAATTACGTACAATATATAATACTTGATAATGAACAACTATGTTACTGATTTATTTTTTTGAGACAGAGTCTTGCTCTGTCGCACAGGCTGGAGTGCAGTGGCGTGATCTTGGCTCACTGCAACTTCTGCCTCACAGGTTGAAGCGATTCTTCTGCCTCAGCCTCCTGAGTAGCAGGGAATACAGGCACTCACCACCAAGGCCAGCTAATCTTTGTATTTTTAGCAGAGATGGGGTTTCACCACACTGCCCAGGCTGGTCTCAAACTCCTGACCTCAAATGATCTGCCCTCCTCAGCCTCCCGAAGTGCTGGGATTACCCACATGAGACACTGTGCCCAGCCCTGGTGTATTTAGTGTTTTTCATAATTTTAGAATGTATGTCTTCTACTTACATTAAAAAGTAGTTAACTATAAAACAGCCTCAGGCAGGTCCTTCAGGAAGTATTCTGGAAGAAGAAGGCATTGTTATCAGAGGAGATGACAGCTCCATGCGTGTAATTGCCCAGGCTGGAGTGCAGTGGCATGATCTCGGCTCACTGCAACCTCCGCCTCCTGGGTTCAAGCAATTCTCCTCCGTCAGTCTCCTGAGTAGCTGGGATTACAGGTGCACACCACCATGCCTGGCTAAGTTTTGTATTTTTAGTAGAGATGAGGGTTTCACCATGTTGGCCAGGATGGTCTCGAACTCCTGACCTCAAATGATCTGCCTGCCTCGGCCTCCCAAAGTGCTGGGATTACAGGTGTGAGACACCACGACTGGCAATATTTTTTAAGATACATTTCAGTAAGCTAAGGTTAATTTATTGAAGAAAAGCTTTAAAAATTTTTGGTGTAGCCTAAGCATATGGTGTTTATAAAGTCTACAGTAGTGTACAGTAAGGTCCTATGCCTTCACACTCACTGACTCACCACAGCATCTTCCAGTCCTGCAAGCTCCTTTCATGGTAAGTGCCCTATACAGGAGTACCATTTTAAAATCTCTCATACTCCATTCTTACTGTACCTTCTCTATGTTCAGGTACACAAGTACTTACATTGTGTTACAACTGCTTATGGTATATTCAGTAAAGTATCAGGCTGTACAGGTGTGTAGCCTAGGAGCAATAGGCTACGCCATACAGCCTAGGTGTTTAGTAGGCTATACAAGGCTATACAAGGTTTGTGTAAATGCACTCTGCTGTTTGCACAATGCTGCAATCACCTAAGGAGTCATTTCTCAGAACCATCCCGTGATTAAGAGAGGCATGATCATACAGTCCTCATCTCCCTGAAAGCTCAGTCAACCCTGTGCAGTGCTACTGCCACACTCCCCTTTCGCACATGTAGAAATCAAGGATCTTTGGCTCCTCTGAGTGACTTGTTCAAGGTTTCTCAGTTTCCAAAAGATGGAGGCGGGACTTGAATTGAGATTTCCCTTTCTTGAGAACCTGTGGTCCTTAACCATTAAAACCACTTAAGAGGTCTTCTCTCTTGATCACTACCTACTAAGCGCTAGGCGCGGTGCTGAGACGTTCTCTTGATTATCATATTGAGTCTTTAGATTTAGGAGAAACAGGCCGAGCGCGCTGGCTCACGCCTGTAATCTCAGCACTTTGGGAGGCCGAGGTAGGAAGATCACAAGGTCAGGAGATGGAGACCATTCTGGCTAACACGGTGAAACCCCACCTCTACTAAAAATACAAAAATTAGCAGGCGGTGGCGGGCGCCTGTAGTCTCAGCTGCTCGGGAAGCTGAGGCAGGAGAATGGCATGAATCGGGGAGGCGGAGCTTGCAGTGAGCCGAGATCGCACCACAGCACTCCAGCCTGGGTGACAGAGCGAGACTGTCTCAAAAAAAAAAAAAAAATTTAGGAGAAACAAGTCCCGAAGCCCTGACCCTAACACGCAAGGGTTAGTGGAGATGTGGGGCTTGAACTCAGCTTCTCCGTTGAGTCTGGCTGTCTCCGGGACGCAGGCACGTGCTTGCACACCTCCATGGTGGCGATCCCGCCCCCTTAGTAGCGTCCTTAGCTCCGCACTTCTTGCAGGGAAGTTCCTCTTGGCCCAGACCCTCGTCCTAGGCCCCGCGTCGTGGGGGAAGCGAAAGGGGCAGTGTGGGGAAGTGGCCGAGGGGTCGGGTGCGGGATGGTCTGCAGAGAGGCAGGCGGCGGTGCGGAGCCGGGAACCACGCGCTCACCCTCCAAGTCGGACGGGCCCGGCGGGGGTGGGCGAGACACTGGGAACAGCGGCCAGCTCCAGAGGGCGCGAGGCGGGCCGCGCGGGGAGGGGTGGCGCGCGCGGTTGGGGGGCAGTGAGGGTCGCCGCGGCGGCGCGCAGCACGGCGGGAACATGGCGCGCGAAACTGGCGCGCGCGCCTAGCTGGCGGGACCCTTAGCTCCAGGTGGACGCGGCCCGGACCCCGTGGATATGGAGCAGTCGCCGCCCCCGGCGCCCGAGCCGACCCAAGGGCCGACCCCCGCAAGGAGCCGAAGGCGGCGGGAGCCCGAGTCGCCGCCAGCGTCGGCGCAGGTGAGTGGGTGAGGGGCTCGGGCCGGGAGACTTTCTTTGTGAAACTCCGGCGGTGGGAGCCGGGCCAGGCCTCAGCGGCTGAGGAGCGCCTGTGAGGCGTAAGGCGTCTCGCAGTCCGGGTTCGATCCCAGCCGCCAGCCGTCAGGAGGCGGGAACTGGTCCGCAGCCTGCCTGCCTCAGTTTCCACGGGAGTGTGTGTGGGTGTGTGAGGGTGTGTATGGGTGTTGGCCTGCGCACACCGGAGGGGGGGTCGGTATACAGTCGGCGCCTAATGCATGCGGCGCCTCCCCCCTCCCCCCAGTCCCCGTGGGGCGGAACCTGGGGACTGGAGTCCACCGGAGCAGTAGGCGGCACCCGCGGGGAGACAGGTGTCGGCGCAGCCTGGGAGGCTCAGGTGCTACCTTTGCCGGGTGGGGTTTGTGAGGAGTGAGCTCTTCGTCCCCGGAGGCGAGCAAATCTGTCGGTGGCTCATCACAGAGCGCTGTTTTGGAAAGCGTTCCACCCACCTCAGCTTCGTGCTGTGTTTGGGCCACTAGTCAGGGGGAAGGATGCTGAGCGACATGGACTTTAGAGGTGGGGCTCCCGCTGGACGGGATGGCTCTGGGCTCTCCAGCTTACCCCCACCCTTGCCTCCCAAACCCGTTAGAGCGTAGGAATCATTGGGAGCACGTGATAAAAATGCCACGGATTGTGGCTCACCAAAGCAGGGAAGCGGATTTGGAACTTAGGCTCCCAAGTTGTGATCCGTCGAGCTTGGCAAGCACTGTTTTAGAGAGTAGGCTTCCTGCAAGCAGGAGCCGGTTTTGTGTATACCTCACCATGGCATCTTGGTACCTGGCATGGTGCCTGGCACACCGTAGATGATCAGAAAATATCTGTAGAAAGTCTAAATTATTAGGGATAGTGCAGCATAGGAGTTCTTGAGACATTTTCAGGAGCTTCTTGAGATTAATATCTGTCAGATTTGTTTTACAGTATATGATTTTTCTCAGCTCCCAACTTTTGTGATTGTTTTTAATGCCATGTTTTCAGTATGTTCTAGGCAAAAGCAGGGTATATGTTGCTTAGTATACACTATCCACTAGGCCGGTTGCGGTGGCTCACTCCTGTAATCTCAGCACTTTGGGAGGCAGATTGCTTGAGCCCAGGGGCTTGAGGCTATAGTGAGCCAAGGAGTTAGAGGCCAGTGTGGGAAACATAGTGAGGCTCGTCTCCGCAAAAATTAGCTGGGTGTGGTAGCATGCATTTGCAGTCCCAGCTACTCTGGAGGCTGAGGTGGGAGGATCACTTGGGCTCAGGAAGTACAAGTTGCAGTGAGCCAAGGTTGTGCCACTGCATTCCAGCCTGGATAACACAGAGAAACCCAGTCTCTTAAATAATTAAATAAATACATAAATGATTATGTATACTCCAGCTAGGTTAAAATTAATTCTGAATCAAAATTCTAAATTAAAATATGCATGTTTCTTTCTCTTCATCATTTGAGAACACTAGGCTTTTAGGATTTCATTCCGTTGGGGCAGGTAAATATCTACATTTTTGACAAAGCAAATATGAATCACTGTTAATTCAAGAAAGGTGGGAATTTGCTTAAACCTGAGTATTTGTAGTCTTTGTGATTTTTTTAAACTTTAAATATAAGTTTTCTTTTTTTTCTTTTTTTTTTTGAGATGGAGTCTCACTCTGTCATCCAGGCTGGAGTGCAGTAGCACAATCTCAGGTCACTACAACCTCCACCTCCCGAATTCAAGCGATTCCCCTGCCTCAGCCTCTGGTGTAGCTGGCATTACAAGTGTGTGCCACCACGCCCAGCTAATTTATGTATTTTTAGTAGAGAGGAGGTTTCACTGTGTTGCCCAGGCTGGTCCCAAACTCCTTGACCTCAAGTGATCTGCCCACCTTGGCCTCCCAAAGTGCTGGGATTACAGGCGTGAGCCACGGCACCTGGCCTTATTTTTATTTTTTTGAGACAGAGTCTCAGTCTGTCGCCCAGGTTGGAGTGCTGTGGCATGATCCCCACTCACTGCAACCTCCACCTCCCATATTCCAGCAATTCTAATGCCTCAGCCTCCAGAGTAGCTGGGGTTACGAGACCCGGCTAATTTTTGTTGTATTTTTTTAGTAGAGACTGGGTTTCCCTATGTTGGCCAGGCTGCTCTGGAACTCCTGACCTCTAGTGATCCAACTGCCTTGTCCTCCCAAGGTGCTGGAATTACAGGCATGAGCCACTGCCCCCAGCCAATCTTTGTGATATTTTGAAATTGAGGTTTATATTTTGTTCAGAGTCAAAGCTAAAATAGAATTGTTTGAAAATTAATATTTCAGGAACTATTTTTTAATTAAGTTGAATTTTATTTTATTAGTTTCATTTCAGTAGGGTTTTAACTTAAAAATATATATATACGTATATATATATATATACATATATATATATGTATATATATATATACATATATATATATGTGTATATATATATACATATATATATATGTATATATATATATACATATATATATATGTATATATATATATACATATATATATATGTATATATATATATATATTTTTTTTTTTTTTTTTTCCCTGAGACAGAGTCTTGCTCTGTCACCCAGGCTGGAGTGCAATGGCATGATCTTGGCCTCACTGCAACCTCCACCCTCCTGGCTCAAGCAATTCTCCTGCCTTAGCCTCCCAAGTAGCTGGGACTACAGGTGCCCACCACCACACCTGGCTAATTTTTATATTTTTAGTAGAGATGGGGTTTCACCATATTGTCCAGGCTGGTTTTGAACTCCTGATCTCAAATGATCTGCCCTTCTTGGCCTCCCAAAGTGCTGGGATTACAGGTGTGAGCCACCGTGCCTGGCCTAAAAAATATTTTTAAAGACAGGATCTAGCTATGTTGCCTCAGCTGGTCTTGAACTCTCAGTCTTGGCCTCAAGTGATCCTTCTGTCTCAGCCTTCTGAGTAGCTGGAAGCACAGCTGTGAGCCAGCACACCTGGCTTTTTTTTATTTCTAATAAAAAAGTTAATAGAGTTTCTTGTTTCACTGGACAAAATATGCATATATAGGAAGGAAAGACTTTTGGACTTGAGATTGCGCTGAAGAAGAAAAATGGAAAAATTAAGCATTTTAGTCTCTCAGTGTGTTATTTTTGTAGCTTATACAGATATGTCTTTTTAAAGTGTCTTTAAAAAGCTTTATTGAGATAAAGATAAATGAGATAAATTCACCTACCATGAAATCAACCCCTCGAGTGCAGAATTTTGTGGTTTATAATATGTTCACAGAATCACACAAACAAGACAGGTATCTAGATATTTTCAGACCATTTTCATCAGTCCACAAGAAATCCCATACCCATTAGCAGTCATCCTTATTCCCTTTTCCCCTAGTCCCTGGCAATAACTAGCCTACTTTCTGTCTCTGAGTTTAGCTCTTCTGGAGGTTTCACAGAATGAAATCTTACTACATATGGTCTTTTGTGATTGACTTATTTCACTTGGCACAGTGTTTTCAAGGTTTATCCATGCTGTAGCATATATCAGCACTTCATTCTTTTTTAATGCTGAGTAATCTTTTGAATGGATATACCATATTTTATCAGTTCCTCTGTTGATAGGCACTTGAGTTTTTTTTCCAATTTTTGGCTATTATGCACAATGCTGCTGTGAACATTTGTGTACAAATTTTAGTGTGGATGTATATTTTCATTTCCCTTGGGTATATCCCTAAGGAATACACTATCTGGGTCATATGATAATTGTTTAAGACTACAGGCACGTGCCACCACACCTGGCAAATATTTAAAAATTTTTTGTAGATAAAGGGTCTCGCTATGTTGCCCAGGCTGATCTTGAACTCCTGGCCTCAAGAGATCCTCTCACCTCAGCCTCCCAGAAAGTGTTGGGATTACAGATGTGAGTCACTGCACCTATAAAAGAGGCTCATACCTCTTTTTATGTATTTTTTTTTTTTTTTTTTTGAGACAGGGTTTCACTCTGTTGCCCAGGCTGGAGTGCAGTGGTGGGATCACAGCTCACTGCAGCCTGGACCTCTCTCCATATGATTCTAGCTGTGGGTGTCTTTCCTGTAGTTTTTATTATGTTGTGGTATGTTTCTTCTGTACCCGTTTCTTTGAGGATTAATAGCATGAAGGGATGTTGAATTTCATCAAATGCTTTTTCAGTTTCAGTTGACATGATCATACTGTTTTTGTCATTTATTTGGTTGATATGATGTATCACATTGTATGTTGAGTGACCCTTGCATCCCGGGGATACATCCCACTTGATCATGATGAATTATCTTTTTAATGTATTACTGAATTTGATTCACTGGTATTTTGTTGAGGATTTTTGCATCAGTATTAGAGATACTGGCCTGTAGTTTCCTTCTTTGATGGCTTTGTCTGATTTTGGTATCACAGTAATAATGGTCTCATAGAATAAGTTTGGAAGTATTCCCTCCTGTTTTTCAAAATAGTTTGAGTAGGATTCGTACTAGGTCTTTAAATTGTTTGGTGTGAAGCCATCAGTTCCTGGGCTTTTCTTTACTGGGAGACTTTTTCTGATGGCTTCAATCTCATTACTTGTTACCAATCTGTTCTGGTCTTGGATGTTTTCATTGTTCAACCTAAGTAGGTTGTATGCATCTAGGAATTTGCCAATTTCTACTAGGCTTTCCAATTTATTGGCATATAATAGCCAGTTATGATCCTTTGAATTTCTGAAGTATTAGTTGTAATGTCTCCTTTTTTTATCTGTTGATTTTACTTATTTGAATATTGTCTCTTTTTTCTTAGTTATCCTGGTTAAAAGTTTGTCAATTTTGTTTAGCTTTCCAGAAAACCAACTTTTCATTTAATCTTGTTTGTTTTTTCTTTCAATTTTATTTCTGCTACGATCTTATTTATTTTATTATTTTCTGTTTAGTTTGTTCTTACTTTACTAGTTCTTTAAGATGTATTGTTTATTTGAAGTTTTTCTTTTGTTTGGCTGGTAGGCACTTATAGCTGTAAATCTCTGCCTTTGTACTGCTTTCTGCATAACAAGTTTTGGTATACTGTGTTTTCATTACCATTTGTTTCATGAAATTTTTGAATTTCTGTCTTAGTATCTTCACTGACCCGCTAGTCATTTATTCAGGAGGGTAGTGTTTAACTTCCATGTGATTGTATTGTTTCCAAAATTACTCTTCTTATTGATATCTAGTTTTATTCCTTTATAGTCAAAGAAGATGGCCACGGAGACAGCAGCGTGGTCAGAGTGGTAGGAGCTGGCCATCGGCGAGAGCTGCTCCATGCCTGGCTGCTGGGTGCTAGAGCCTGTGGCCCACTGGCTTGCCTCACTGTGGTTGGTGGTGGTGGTGACAGAGACTGCAGCATGACCAGAGTGGTAGGACAGGGGCTATCCAGGGCTGCACCTTTCACAGTGTGGGGTGGGTTGGGGACGCTATCCAGGGTGTCATTGCCTGCATTAGGGGTACTGGTTGGTAGCACTGTACAGGGCTGCACTGCCCACGGCAGGGAGGGTGGGTTATGGGCACTTTCTGGGGCTGCAGTGCCCATGGAGGAGGACAGGTTAGGGCACTATCGGGTATACGCTACTGGCGGCATTGGGGGACGGAGGTGGGGGGCGCTATTGAGGGCAGGACTAGCCGTGGAGGGCGGGCAAGTTTGGTGCTATCAGGGGCTGCACTGCTGGCAGCGGTCAGCAGAGTTGGCATCCAAGGAAGGAGTGGTTCTCCTCTCCCTGACTCCACACTCCAGAGGGCAACCCACTCTTGGTCATACTGGAATGCGGCAGGCACGCAGTGTTTGCGTGGGAATCCTGAGCACGGCAGAGCCCCCACACCCACCGTGGTTCCTGGGCCTGTGCACTCTGGGTCTGTGCCTCAGAGGCTGCCAAGCACCCCTGGGGACACCACGGGGGACAGGGCCCTGTGTGGAGGCATCTGGAACAGGAATTGGCACCTGGGTGTGGAGGGCTGGCTGGGTCTGAATTTTTCTGCTTCTCCTGCTCCCCGAGGAGTGCAGCCCCGGTGGGCCCAATGGTACCTGTGGAGTGGGGAGCTGGGTGCTCTGGTGTCTCCAGCACCCACCCCAGACCCCAGTTCCTGGCCAGCTTGGGCCAAAAGGAGAGGCTGGACTTTGGAGGGTGGGTGTGAGTGCCTTTGCTGAAACTGGCCCCTGCCACCCAGTGGCCAGCATGACAAGTTGAGGCTCTAACCCTTCCACCCCTCACATCTTCCTCTAGGCTTTTCTGGCTTTGCCCGCCCAGCTGCTCCGTGCCAGGAGGAGGAAGAGACACCTAGAGCCTGCGACACCATGACTTGCCTCACTGCGGGTGGGTGGCAGCGACGGAGACTGCAGTGCACCAGAGCAGTAGGAGAGCGGCCGCGCTAGGAGGGCAGGCGGCTGCAGCCAGGGTTGGGGGTCAGGCTTACAGCGATGGACGGGCTGCAGCAGTGGCCAGGTGGTAGGAGCCTTGTAGGGAGGGCTGGTGCATTGGCAATGGGCCTGGCTTTGCCTTGCCTTGCCCTGTACCTGCCCTACTGTTACCTGGACTGTCTCGGCCCTGTCCTGCTCTGGTCCCATCCTGACCCTGTCTTGGCCATGTGCTACCCTGTCCCTGCCCTGGTCTTGCCCTGGCACTGGCCCTGCCCTGAACCTGCACTGGCCTGACCTTGGCTCTGGCCCTGGCTCTGGCCCTGCCCCTTGTCCTGACCCTGGTCATGTCATGGCACTGGCCCTGCCAGTGGTCATGGTCCTACTCCTGTTCTGGCCCTGACCTGGCCTTGGACATGTCCTGGTCCTGCTTTGGCCCATCCCTGCCCTGGCCCCACCATGGGCCTGCCTGTTCTGCCCTCTCCTGGCACTGACCTTGCCCTGTCATGGCCCAGTGGTGCCATTGCCCTGCCTTACCCTGCACTGGTTGTGCCTTGGCCCCGCTTGGTGCTGGCCACTCCCTGGACCTGCCCAGACCCTGCCTTGACTTTTACCCTGCCCTCACTATGGCCTGGCCCTGGCCCTAGCCCTGGTCCTGCCATATCTCTGGCCCTGCCCTTATCCAGGCCCTGCCCCTACTGCTGCCCTGGCCTGGAACCTGGTCCTGTCAAGGACCTGCCCTGACTCTGCCATGGCCCTGGCCCTGCTCTGCCTTGTTCCTGGCCCTGATCCTTTCCTGGCTCTGCACTGGTCTTTCCCTGGCCCTGAGCTGGCAGTGGTCTGCCCCTGGTCTTGCCATCACTCTGCCCTGCTGTGCTCTGGATGTGTCATCACCCTGCCCTGGCCCTACTCTGCCTTTGATCCTGCCCTGGCCTTACCTTGGCCCTCACCCTAGTCTTCGCTAGGCCCTGCTCTGGAGCTGGCCGTAGCACAGACCTGGCCCTGACCCTGGCCCTGGTCTTTGTCCTGCCATAGCCCTGGCCCTGAAGTGGACTTGGAGGTGTCCTGGCCCTGGCGTAACATGGCTCTGCATTGGCCTGTCCCTGCCCTGCCCCTACCATCGCCTTGCCCTGCTCTGCCCTGTCCCAGTACTGACCCGGCCATGCTATTTCCCTGCCCTACCCTGTCTTGGCTGTGCCCTGGCTCGGTTCTGTCCCTGGCCCCGGCCCTGCCCTGGACATGCTCTGACACTGCCTCAGCCTTGGCACTAGCCTGGCTCTTTCTTGGCATCAGCCCTGCTCTCTCTGTGGACTGGCTCTTGTCCTGTCCTGCACTGGCCATACCATGCCCTGCCCTGCCCTGCCCTGACTCAGCCCTGGCTCAGCCCTGGCCCAGCCTTGGCCTTGGCATTGCCCCTGTTCCTGCCATATTTCTTGCCCTGTCCCTACCCTGGCCTTGGCCCTGACCCTTACCTTGCTCTGGCCCTGCCCTTGCCCTAACGCAGCCCCTGGCCCTGTCATGGCCCTGCCCTGGACCTTTCCTGGCCCTGGCCCTTCCCTGCTTGAGACCTTGCCCTGGTTCTCCCCTGGCCCTGACCCTGAAATGCCTGGCCCTACCCTGGCCTTGCACTGCTCTGGCCCTTGCCCTGACTCTGGTCCTGTCACTGGCCTAGCCCCAGCCCTGTTGCTGGTCTTACCATGGCCCAGACCCTGCCTTGGCCCTGCCCTGAAACTGTCCTGGACCCTGGCTGTGCCAAGATCCTGCACTGTCCTTGCCCTTGTTTTGCTCCTGCCCCAAACCTGGTCCTGCCCAGGCCCTGGCCCTGGCCCTGCCCTGGCTGTTCCCTGGCCCTGCCCAGGTCTTGGCACTGGCCTGGCCCTGGCCTGCCTTGGCCCTATGCTTTCCTGGCCCTGCCTTGCCGGCCCTGGTCCTGCCTTGGCCCTAGCCTGGCTTTGACCCTGCCCTGGCCCTACCTTGGCCTTCACCCTAGCCTTACCTGGGCACTGTGTTGGACCTGGCTATAGCACAGACCTGGTTGTGGCCCTGGCCCTGCCATGGCCCTGTCCCAGACCCTAGCCCTGCCAGGTACCTGTCCTGGCCCATCTCTGGGCCTGGCTTTGTCCCTGGTTCTTAGATGACCCTGGCCCTGCCCTTGTCCTTGCCCTGGCACTGGCCTTGGACATGTCCGTGGTCCTAACCCTGGCCCTGCCCTGGAGCTGCCACTGTCTTAGCCCTGCCCTGGCTCTGGCCCTGCCCCGGCCCCAGCCATAGACCTGCTCTGGTTGGTCATGCCCTACCTTAACCCTGTGCTACCCTGGGCCTGCTCCACCCTGCCCTGGCCCTGCCCTCCCTTTGGCCCTGCCCTGACCCCTCCTTGGCCCTCACACTGGCCCTAGCACAGACCTGGTCCTATCTGTGGCGTTGGCCTGGCATTGACCCCTGCTCCTGACCCTGGTCCTGCCATGGCCCTGGCCCTGCCAATGACCCTGACAGCCCTGGCCCTGGCCCTGTCTTGGCCCTGGCCCTGAACTGACCCTGCCCTGACCCTGGCCCTGAAGTGGATTTGCAGGTGTCTTGTCCCTGATGTAACCTGGTCTTACCATGGCCCTGTCCCTCCCCTGGCTCTGTCCTGGTCTTGTGCTGACCCTGACCCAGACCTTGGCCCTGCCCCAGCCTTGTCCTTGACCTTGTCATGGCCCTGCGTCTGCCCTGGACTGGCGCTGGCACTGGCATGGACCCTGGCCCTGGCCCTTCGCTACTTAAGGCCATACCCTGGCCCAGCCCTGGTCCTGACCCTGTCCTGGCCCTAATTTGGCCTGGCTCTACCCTGGCATGCTATTCTGGCCCTAGCCCTGACCCTGTCCCTGTCCCTGTCCCTGTCCCTGTCCCTGTCCTGGCCCTAGCCCCATTGCTGGTCCTGCCATGGCTCTTATCCTGACATTGCCCTTTCCTGGTCCTGGCCCTGGCCCTGTCCCAGCCCTGCTCTGGACCTGGTCTGAACCCTGGCCCTGCAATGGACCCTCCTTGGTCCTGCCCAGACCCTGGCTCTGGCCCTACCTCTGCCCTGGCCATACCCTTGCCCTGGCCTAGACCCCAGTCCTGGTCCTTGTCCTGCCCTGCCTGTGCCCTGTTCTATCCTGGGCTGGCCCTGCCATGGCCTGGTCTTGCCATTGCCCTGCCCTAGCCTGCCCTGCTTGTGCCCTAGATCTGCCCCGGCCTTTGCCCCTGTCTTGGATCCAGCCTTGACTCAGCTCTGGACCTTCCCTGACCTTGCCTCAGCCCTGGCACTACCCTGGCCTTGCCTTGGCATTTGCCCTACTCTCTCTATGGCCTGGCTCTGGTCCTGCCCTGCTCTGCTCTTGTTCTGTCCTGGCACAGCCCTGGCCCTGGCCCTGCCATATCACTGATTCTGGTCCTGCCCTTATGCAGGCCTGACCCTGCCCCTGCCTTGGCTTTGGCCTGGACCTTGGCCATACAGTGACCCTGCCATGACCCTTTCCTGGCCCTGGCCTGGAACCTGGCCCTGCCAAGGACTCGCCCTGGCTCTGTCATGGCCCTGGCCCTTTCCTGGATTTGGATGTGTCCTGTCCCTTATTTGCCCTGACCCTTCCCTGGCTCTGCCATACCCCTTCTCTGGGGTAGGGCCAGGGTCAGGAACAGGGTAGGGCCATGGTAAGGCCTGAAGATGGGAAGGGCCAGGGCAGCGGCAGAACCAGGGAAGGGTCAGGGCCAGGGATGTGGTAGGACTAGGGGCAGAGCCGGCACTAGGGCTGAGCCAGGGCAGAGCAGGAGAGATTACATTAGGCTATTATGTAAAATTTTTATTTTAGATTTTTAAGATAACTATAGTAGTGGTAATAATGTCTATACTATGTTGTTTGTAATAGTAATAATATTTGCAGTAAATAATCACTAAATTTTAACTAATACTATCTTTGCTTCCAGTAGTGTTCTATGAGTATAATTTTATCAATATGTAAATATGTGAGGCATTGATTCTCACAATAATTCTATGTGCTAGGTACTTAAAGCATCCCCATTTTCAGAATGTAGGAAACAGGCATAAAGAAGTTAAATACTTGGCCAGATTACTCCTGTAATCCCAGCACTTTGGGAGGCCAAGGCAGGCAGATGGCTTGAGCTCAGGAGTTTGGAACCAGCCTGGTCAACATTGTGAAACCCCATCTCTACTAAAAATGCACAAAAAGAGCTGATTTAAGTTTCTTGTAGGATTCTGGTTATAAAACACTGGTCAAACACACAGGGCATGGATAGGGCAGGGCCAGGGACAAGGTCAGGCCAGGAAGGGGCCAGGGCCAAGGCAGGGCCAGAGCTGGACTTGGAGGTGTCCTGGTCTGATTTGCCCTGCCCCAACATTGGCCCAGCCCTGCTCTGGCACTTCCTGTCATGCCCTGGCCCTGGCCTGAGCATTGGCCCTGGCCCTGTCCTGCTTCTGGCCCTGCCCCGGAGTTGACCAGGCACTGCCATGGCCCAGTCCTGCATTGCCCTGCCCTCCTCTGCCCTGGTGTTGCCATGGCCCTCCTTGGGCCCTAGCTCTGCCTCGACTCTGGACCCGCCCTGACTCTGCTCAGCCCTGGATCTACCCTGACTCTGCCTTGGTGTTGCCCTCCCATCTCTATGGCCTGGCTCTGGCCCTGCCTTGCACAGGCCATGCTCTGCCCTGCATGTCCCAGCCTGGGCCCAGCCCTTGCCCTACCATATTCCTGACCCCAGCCGTACCCTTGTTCTGGCCTTGACCCTGCCGTGGCACTCTCCTGGCCCTTCCTTGGTCCTGCCCTGCCCTTCCATGTCCTGGCCTTTCCCTCACCCTGCAGTGGTCCTGCCCTGCCCTGGCAGTGCCTTGGCCCCAGCCCTGCCTTCTCCCTGGCCTTGCCCTTTCCCTGCCCTGGCCTGACCCCAGGCCTACCGAGTCCGTGAAGCGACCCTGGACCTGCCTTGCAGTCATCTGTCCTGGCCCTGTATTGTCCCCACCATGCTCTGGTCCAGCGCTTACCCTGGCCCTGTTGCTAGTCCTGCCACTGCTATGGCCCTGCCCTGTTTTTGGCCATGCCCTGTGCTACCCTAGCCCTGCCCCGCCTTGGCCTTGGCCCTACCGTGGCCTTTTCCTACCCTGGCCTGGCCGTACACTGGCCTTTTCTAACCTGGCCTTGCCCTGCCCTGGCCTTGCCCTTCCCTGGCCTTGCCCTGCCCTGGCCTTGGCTTTGCCTTATCCTGGTCCTGGTTCTGCCCTGGCCCTGCCCTTTCTCTGGATCCTCTCTGGTTCTGCCTTCTCCCTGGCCCTGCCCTTGCTCTGGCCCTGTCCCTGGCTCAGCCTTGACCCTGGCCCTGGCCCTGACAATCCCCAGGCCCCACACTGGCCATGCTTGGCCCTGGCCCCTCCTTTGGCCCTGCCCTGGCCCTGTGCTATCTTAGTCCTGCCCTGGCCCTGAACTCGCCCTGGCCCTACCCTCACCCTACACTGGCCCTGCCCTACCCTGGCCTTGCCCTGCCCTGGCCCTGCCTTTGGCCTGCCCTGGCTCTGGTTCTGCCCTGGCCTTACCCTTGCCCTGGACCCTCCCTGGCCATGTTTTTACTGTGATCCTTCTCTGGCCTTGCCCTTGCCCTGTCCCCTTTCTGGTCCTGCCATATTTCTGGCCCTGCCCTGTCCATGTCCTGGACCTGACTCTGGCCCTGGACCTCCCTGTCCCTGCCCTGCCATACCCTGGCCCGTTCCTTGCTCTACACTGACCCTGCCCTGCCTTGGCCCTGTGCTACCCTAGCCCTGCCCTGGCCTTCTGCTGGCCCTGATCCTGCCATGGCCCTGGCCCTGCCATGTCCCTGCCCTGGCCCTGGTTCTGCCCTACTTCTGGCCCTGGCCTTGGTCCTCTCATGTCCCTGGCTGTGACCCTGCCCCTGGTTTTTCTCTGGCCATGACCCTGCCCCGGTTCTGTCCTATCCCTGGCCCTGTCTCAGTTCTGTCATAGCCCTGGCCTTTCACAATACTTTATGCTTAGTAAGGGCTCCATAGTGTCTGTGAGTTGAATGTTGTGTTCATAGTATCTGCCAAAACAGAAAGAAAAAAACAAAATCTGATGATGAGAAGTTAAAGCTTTGTATATCATATGCCTTGAATTGTAAGTGCTTGTTATTAGTTGTATTACATATAGGTCATGGTTTTGTACACATAACTCCAAACCATTGATACTGTTAAAAGAATATATGAATATACGAAAGAATGTATAAACGTAAGAATGTATGAGTATCTAATGACCTCTCTAAATTAATTTTTATTTTTAGCTCTATTAGATTTTTCTCAGTGTAACAAATGTTTATTCCTATGTAATTAAGGGCATATTTCCTGTACAGAATATTCATATTACTTAATTGAAAATTATATAATGCAAAAATATAATACTATTTTTAGGCCAGGCATGGTGGCTCATACCTGTAATCCCAACATTTTGGGAGGCCAAGTTTGGAGACTCATTTGAGTCCAGGAGTTGACCAGCCTGGGCAACATAGTGAGACCTTTCCTTTATTAAATAAATAAATAGGATGGGCACTGTGGCTCATATCTGTAATCCCAGCATTTTGGGTTGCCAAGGCAGGAGGCTTGCTTGAGCCCAGGAGTTTGAGACCAGCCTGGACAGCATAGCAAGACTCCATCTCTACAAATAATAAAATATTAACCAGGTGTGGTGGTGCGCACCTGGGGTCCCAGCTACCTGGGAGGCTAAGGTGGGAGGTTTGCTCGAGGCTGCAGTGAACTGTGAATGCACCACTGCATTCCAGCCTAGGCCACAGAACAGGACCTTGTCTATAAATAAATAAGTAAAAATATAAATAAAAATAAGTAAAAAGAAATATAAGTAAATATAAATATAAATACATATAAATATAAAAATGAATACATGAAAACCAACAATTTTTAAATTTAACATCACTGAGGGCATCCTATCCATTTCATTTCATGATTCCATTACATCATTTCACTTAGATGAAATGATGACTTGAGATGAAATGATGAGATGAAATGATGAAATGATAAGATGAGATGAAATGATGAGATGAAATTTTGAGATGAAATGGTGAGTAGAAATGAAGAGATGAAATGGTGAGACAAAATGACAAAATTGGAAAGAAATTGAAAGGAGATGAGATGAGATGAAATGAGATGATGGATGAAATGATGAGATGAAACGAGATGAAATGATGAGATGAAATGAAATAATGAAATGAAATGAAATGATATGAAATGATGAAATTGAAATGAGATGAGATATGATATAATGAGATAAAATGATGAGATGAAATGAGATGAACGATAAGATGAAATGATGAAATGAGATGAAATGAAATGATGAAATGAAATTGAAAGATGAGATGAAATGATGAGATGAAATGATGAAATGTTGAAATGATGAAATGAAGAGATGTGGTGAGATGAAATGATGAGCTGAAATGATGAGACAAAATGAAATGAAATGAGATTAAATGATGAGATGACAAATGAGATGAAAAATGATGAGATGAAATGATGAAATGAGATGAGATGAATTGAGATGAGATTAGATGAAATAATGAAATTAGGTGAAATAATGAAATGAGATGAAATGAAAAATGAAATTGAAATGAGATGAGAAGAAATGATGAGATGAAATGTTGAAAGGAGGAAATGATGAGATGAGGAGATGAAATGATGAGATGAAATGAATTGAGATGAAATGGTGAGATGAAAAATGATATGAAAAATGATGAAATGAGATGATATGAAGTGACATAATGAAATAAATGAAATTAGATGAAATGAAATAGTGAAATGAAACGATGAAATAATGAAAATGAAATGGAAATGAGATGAGATTTGATGAAATGATGAGATGAAATGATGAGATGATAGGATGAGATAAAATGAGATGAAATGATGAAATGAGATGAAATGATGAGATGAAATGATGAGGTGAAGTGATGCACTGTCACGTGTGTGTCTACTCTTTTTCCCAACCAACAAAAATTATAATTCATTTTAATTTTATTATTTAAGAATATTCTTAAGAGTTGAAGGAAAAATAATATCTACATTATGAGTTACAATCTAAGTATAAATAATACACAAATATATTAAAACTTACAAAGAATATGTTTTGGAATCGAATATACCATGCTTCTGTGATGACAGTTATTTCATGCTGGTTGTCACAATTTTACATGAAAAACTAATGAAAAAATGTTTTTAACTGTTTCTAAAAATAACAGTTTCCAAAACAGTTTTACATTCAAAATATGAAAAAGATGTCTTTGTGTTCCTTAATCTGATGAGATTTTCACACTCTGCACATGATAATTGTTAGATTTTTATTGTGTTGATAAATTGTATATCAAATAAAAAATGTTATTAGCTCTTAAATTAGGATTTTTAGGTGATATAGGAAGAAAGGAAGGCAAGTTTTTGTAACTTTGTCTAAATGAACTTTCTAAATGCCTGAGTATTAAAAGATAGCATGTCTATAAATCACAATGTATATATTACTGTATGACCTAGGACCAATCAAAACTGTTACCTCTGATAACATTATATTGTGCCCAATATAAAATAGATATAATAATACCTCAAACTTAAATCCAGGCATTGTCATTGAATATCTTAAGAATATGCAGCAAAGGTGCTTTTAAAAATACAAGCTAGTGATTGTACTAAATTTGTAAATCACATAGGATAGTGGGTCATTTTAAGAATATTAGTTATTTCAATCTATAAACATGGATGTCTTTCCTTTTTTGTGTTTTCTTTAATTTCTTTCATTAATATTTGTCATTTTTGTTGTCGAAATCTTTTACTTCCTTGGTTAAATTTATTTCTAAGTACATTTTTGTAGCTATTGTAAAAGGAATTGCTTTCTTAATTTCTTGTTTCAGCTAGTTTACTATCAATATATAGAAATGCTACTGACTTTTGTATGTTAATTTATATCCTGCAACTTTATTAATTTCATGTATCACCCTAAGAAGCTTTTGGTAGTGTCTTATTTTTTTCCGTGTATAAGATCACATTGTCTTTAAACAGGGACAATTTGACTGTCTCCTTTCCAATTCAGATGTCCTTTGTTTCTTTCTCTCACCTAATTGTCCTGGCTAAGACTTTCACTATGTGAAATATGATTGGTGAAAATAGGCATCCTTTTCTTGTTACAGTAAAATCTTTTTCTTGTTCACAGTAAAATCTTTCACCTTTTCCACACTCAGTATGATCTTAGCTGTAGATTTGTCCTTTACGTCCTTCTGTGTTAAGGCATATATTTTCTATACTAAATTGTTGAGAGGTTTTTTGTCATGTAAGAATATTTAATTTTGCCAAATGCTTTTATTGTGTTTATTAATTTAATCATATGGCTTTCAGTATATATCCAAAGGAAAGAAAATCAGTATATCAAAGAGTTACCTGCACCCACAAGTTTATTACAACACTATTCACAATAGCCAAGATATGGAATCAACAAAAGTGTCCATCAACAGATGAATGGATAAAGAAATGTGACATACATATATAATGGAATATTATTTAGTCATAATAAAGAACAAAATCCTGTTATTTGTGGCAACAAGAATGCAAGTGGAGGGCATTATGTTAGGTGAAATAAGCCTGGCATAGAAACATAAACACCACATAACTACGTGTTCTCACTTATGTATGGAAGCTAAAATTTTTAATCTCATAGAAGTAGATAGTAGAGTTTTGGTTACCATATCCTGGAAAGAGTAGGAGAAAGAAGAGTATAAGAAAAATGTGGTTAATACATACAAAATTACAGCTGGAGAGAAGGAAGAAGTTCTAGTTCTCTACAGCACTGTTGGGTGACTGTAGTTAATGGGAATTTATTTTGTGTTTTCAAATAACTAAAATAAAAGATTTTGAATATTCTCACTGCAAAGAGATAATACATGATTTAGGTAATGGATATGATAATGACTGTGACTTGATCTTTATGCATTGCATAAATATATCAAAATATCACTCTGTACCCCATAACATGTACATTTATTATATGTCAATTAAAGTAAATTTAAAAGAGAAAAAATGAGGTAAAGGTAAATGTACAGAATTTAATTACTTTTTCTTCTATAAAACCCAAAAGTCAGTACCAAGAAGAGTCAATTTATTAGTTTTCTAAAATAAAAAAAAATCAAAGTCACCAAAAAAGAGCAATGTCCAAGAAAACATTGAAAATGAAACACAACATTTAGTAAGAATAGAAAACTTGGGCACTGTATCACCCTGTTCCTAGATACCGATTTACTGATGGCCATTTAAATAGAATTTTATTCTATCTAATTCATTTATACTCCCAGAGTTTGAAATTACATTTTGCCTACAATAAATGAGATAACACTTGTAAATTATATGGTACTCCGCCTAACACATGTTAATAACTCAATACATGTTAGCAATAAACTTTTAGTACAGTAGTCAAAGTATTAATTTCTCACATTGCAATTTCCTTCAAAGACATGAATACAACCTAATGACTCCTTGTTCATCAAGATACCTCTTCAAATTATTCTATTTGTTTCATTCAGTATATTATCTGTGTATACCGATATGATATTACACTCGTTTTTTTTATTTTTTGAGATGGAATCTCATTCTGTTACTGATGCTGGAGTGAGGTGGCATGATCTTTGTTCACTGCAAACTCCACCTCCCAGGTTCAAGCGATTCTCCTCTCTCAGCCCCCCAAGTAGCTAGGACTACAGGTGCACACCACCATGCCTGGCTAATTTTTGTATTTTTAGTACAGTCAGAGTTTCACCCTGTTGTCCAGGCTGGTCTCGAACTCCTGACCTCAGGTGATCCACCCACCATGGCCTCCCAAAGTGCTGCGATTACAGGCATAAGCCACCGCACCCAGCCTGATATTGCACTCTTGAATTTTGAACACTGAATATCTTTTTGAAAGATTACACCTCTTTACCTCTTCGTGCTTCAGAAATTATTTTCCTTCAAGTGTTCTAAGAGTCTAATGAAGAATGAAGTCATGTTTTATCACTTTTGTCCTTAAAGAAAGATTTCAGACATGCTGAAACTGATTGAAGTATCATTTGCTACCAGATAGATTAATTATCTCTAGTTGTAGGAGTGGATACATCTTTAATGGTATACTTTGGGTTATTGTCTTATTTTTGATGCAGTATTCTATAAATAATTTATTAAACCTGGCATCCTTGGGTGAGCATGGATTTTTCAACTTTGGTGTTATATTGTGTTTGCTTTTAAAAACTGCTTTTGAGGCCAGGTATGGTGGCTCTTGCCCATACCCAGCACTTTGGGAGGCCAAGATGGGTGGATTACCTCAGGTCAGGAGTTCAAGACCAGCCTGGTCAACATGGCAAAACCATGTCTCTACTAAAAACACAAAATTAGCCAGGCATGGTGGTACATGCTTATAGTCCTAACCACTCAGGAGGCTGAGGCAAGAGAATCACCTGAACCTGGGAGGCAAAGGTTGCTAGGTTGCTGTGAGCCAAGTTCGCACCATTGCACTCCAGCCTGGGTGAAAAGAACAAAACTCTGTCTCAAAAACAAAAAACCCACCAAAAACTGCTTTTGAATGGAGTTGTACATACAATCTTTATGAAAAAAATTATCAAGTGCATAAGTTCATAATAGAAACACCAATAATACTCCAGGCACAAGTTAGTACTAAAAAAGTTATGTTGAATATTCTCTAATACAACATGCTTTTTCCCTTCATGAACAATTTGTTTTACTGAGAAGAGTCATTGTTTATGGTAGACTTAGACTACAGATGAATATGTACTTTAAACACTCTTAGTTGCTTTCTTAATTTTATATCTGCTGCTTTATGCTTCTGTTTATTTTCATTCTTTCCAATGTCCACATTCTAGTAAATTTGAATATTTTAATCCAAGTTTATATACTATTTAATATTGCTTGTATAGTTTAGTATTTTTAAGACTCAAAAAGGTTTACAGAAAGAAGAAAAAGATCAACATGTTATTAATCATTTAAAGATCATTTTGAAACCTTTGACCTTTATATTTTAATGAATAAAATGTTAGTAGTTATTAGTATAAAATACTTTATGTCTTTTGGACTTAGCATCCAGTATTTCTTTTTTAATAAAGAAAATAATTATTCTCTTGCAATATACTATGTTTATCTGGGTTTTGAAAAGTGATGTTTCCTAATATGAGAAAGCCATTTACATTTTTAAATCTACAAAGGCAAATGGAATGGTACTAAATTATTTACATAATAATGTTTAGATGGTGGCCCTTATAACATTCTTTCTGTACTTCCTCCAGAGTTGGGGATATGCAATCCTAGAATATTTCTGGGAGCTAATCCTTTAGCTTGATGAATGAAACAAGACTTTTAAATAAAATTAAACTTTCAAATTATCCAGGTGATGGGCCTGTCTTTTAATTCAATGGATATGGAGCATAATGAATTATCCCCTGTTCATTGGGTAATAAGTTATCATTCTTAACTTCTAATACTCAAAATGTCCTTTAATTTTTAATTTTTGATAGTCATATCATTATCCCTAGGTATTTTAGCTTCTATCTTAAATTCTAAAATAATTTTGAAACAGGAGAAAGTATTCTTTATTACTATATGTATTAAACATCATGGTTTTCAAATTTAACTGCAAATGTATCTTTTCATTGCTTCTTGATGACGCCCTTCACCCTATCCATATTGTCACTACCAAGTGGCGATTACTTTTCAGGTTCACATACTTATTCTTTAGAAAAATCTTCTCTGTGCCTTATAAAGAATATGATTGTTGGCATTCAAAAGCCAGCGAAGTATACATTATTAGCCTGTTGCCTAACTCATTTCTTTAAGAAACTACACTAATTACCCACATACTTATGTTTTTATTTCCTCATTATTTCTGGAGAAAACAAATACTGCTAACATGATATTTGTAAGAGAGAAAAAAGTCTTTTCTTGAAAAGTGCTGTCATTGTAGTACTAACTTATAGTATCAACTTCTTTATCAACTCCTTATACACTTTTTATTCTGAGAGAAATAAAAAAGCTAAAAGTGAAATGACTTTTTTAACTCTCCATATTATAAGAACCCATCTTGGTAATTTAAGGTCTTTATAGTTAGGGTAAGTTGTGTCATACCTAGGTTACAAAATAAAAAGTATTTTGTCTCTTTGGGCCTTTCCTTATTCAGCAATACTGTCAGTTTGGCTTTTTTTGTAGGTCAACTTATTGATCTCAGTATTCTGAAATAATATGTTTACTATCTTTTGATAAGCATTTAAAATATTAGATTTATTGTTACTCTTATGCCTTCATTGGGCTGGAAGAATAATTGTTTCTCTCACTCCACAAAAGCGAAGTTGCAGAGAAAAACACATAGACATTCAACTGCAAAGCAGAGAAACTTGACTATTTCCTGCAATTTTAAAGTGTATATTGAATAAAACCATCTTTTTATTTTATTTTTTGCTCACTGGCAAATATTAACAATATCAAGTGTGTTATTATAATGTTATCTAGTTAAAAATCTCAAAAAGTTTTCATAATTACCATTTTAAAATATATAAATAGGTGACCTAATGTTAATTTTTATGGTCTGAGACCATGTCTGTTATTTCACTCTTTAAATTCAGTTAGTAATGCAGAACCTAGCACTTAGTAGATACTCAAAAATTATTTGCTGGATAAAAAAAGGTTAAACATGTAATATACACAAAATGTACTGGAAAAAATGCACCAAACAATTTTGTTATACCAGTTTAATGTAAATATTGCCTTTAAAAGATAATATAGTTTTCAGGTGTCTACAGTGATTTTGTAATATTTGTGCACATATAAAATAATATTTCCAAAAATGTAATCCAGTGAGGAAATATACTTTCTAAATTCTAGATTTATAATTTAGGGTTTAAATTATAAAATCATTAAATAAGACAAAAGGGAAATATAGTCAAATATCCCCTTGGAAAAAAAATTAAGTGGCCTCTAAAGTGAGGTATTCATATATGTAATTTTACAATCCTCTAGTGATAGAATTAATTAAATACACCACCAAATTGATTAATTCCTACAGTGTTAAAAGAAAAGCACTAATAATGCCAGTGACCATGTAACATGGATTTAAGCTACAAGTCATAGAACTGTGATGAGAAGCCTCAGCGCTGTAAAACAGAGGGTGGAGGAAAGCTTTTCCTCTCTCAAATGAGCTTTGCCTGGTATACTTCTGGAAGAATAGGAAGTTGAAGTGTTCAGGACTTTTATGTCTATTCTACTTTGGCTTAGTTTACATGATTCTTAGTTTATTAGCCTAGAAATGGCCAAGAAAACTTAAGGCTCAATAATTAGTTATAAATATGAAATATCCCCAGTTTTTAAGATAAAAACAACTTATAAATGTATTTGTCTGTAAAAATTGTGTATATTTTTACAGAACATCTATTTCTCTCTTTTTTTATTTTTTATATTTTTTATTATACTTTAAATTCTAGGGTACACATGCACAATGTGCAGGTTTGTTGCATATGTATACATGTGCCATGTTGGTGTGCTGCACCCATTAACTCATCATTTATATTAGGCATATCTCCTAGTGCTATCCCTCCGCCCTCCTCTCACCCCACAACAGGCCCTGGTGTGTGATGTTCCCCTTCCTGTGTCCAAGTGTTCTCATTGTTCAATTCCCACCTATGAGTGAGAACATGTGTTGTTTGGTTTTTCGTCCTTGCGATAGTTTGCTGAGAATGATGGTTTCCAGCTTTATCCATGTCCCTACAAAGGACATGAACTCATCATTTTTTATGGCTGCATAGTATTCCATGGTGTATATGTGCCACATTTTCTTAATCCAGTCTATCATTTTTGGACATTTGGGTTGGTTCCAAGTCTTTGCTATTGTGAATAGTGCCACAATAAACATACGTGTGCATGTGTCTTTATAACAGCATGATTTATAATCCTTTGGGTATATACCCTGTAGTGGGATGGCTGGGTCAAATGGTATTTCTAGTTCTAGATCCCTGAGGAATGGCCACACTGTCTTCCACAATGGTTGAACTAGTTTACAGTCCCACCAACAGTGTGAAAGTGTTCCTATTTCTCCACATCCTCTCCAGCACCTGTTGTTTCCTGACTTTTTAATGATTGCCATTCTAACTGGTGTGAGATGGTATCTCATTGTGGTTTTGATTTGCATTTCTCTGATGGGTCTATTTATTTAAAACAAAGGGAGGGGAGTCTCATTTACATTAGTTTTTTTCATATCCTTTTGAACTTTGCAATTTCTATGTTTCAGAACCTATTTCTTACAGTTTTTCTATGCTAAACTCTGTCCTGGTCAGTTCTAGAGTGTATGAAGAACCAAATGATGTAATTATGTGCCACCTGGCTGTAGTGGAACAAATTTGACTCTTAAGTATGCAGGCTCTGATTTTCCTGTCTGGTTTCGGTAAGTATTCCTTACATAGGTTTTTTCTTTGAAAATCTGGGATTGAGCGGTTGACGAATGAAAATTAATCCTTTCACTTTGTTGTGTATAGGTTTGCAATAATTAGGTCAGAGTGGAGTTTTAAGGTCATGGAGGGGGCTGATGACTTACAACTAATGGGCTCTGATTGGGCAACTACTCATCTGAGTTCCTTCCATTTGACCTAATTAAGCTTGTGAAATTTACACTAAGCCATGAGCTCATCTTTAAAAAGTTTTATTAAAAGATTTTCAGCTGTTCCAAATGGGACTTATTAGTGGAATGTGTTTTAAAGGATCATATCAGATGAATGAAAGGTATTTGATCCTTTCTTTCCTTAATAATAAAATGATGGTTTGGAAAAATAGGCTACAGTCTAACCACAGTGCTATTATTAGGCTTTCTTGTTAAACATAGGTCTAAGCCTAAGTATGTCAATACAACCAATACTTACTGTTTCATTTCTAGTAATGAAAAAAAAAAACAAGTCTTTCTGGCATAAGGATGATTTTCATCTGGTTATTTTGAAACATTTTTGTAAAATAAGTTTACATCTATAAAGAACATTTTTATTTGTAAGGAGGGGTATGTCTCTGTGCACTGGAAGAGAAGGAGGACTAAATCACTGGGAAGTCTTATGATAAAGAAGCCATTGGCTTAAATCTGCAAAGCAAGCCATCCCTTGGTTTAAGGTGTTTTTCCTGGCCATCCTGTCTTGACTAGAACTTTACCTACACCTTCCTTTTTGGTTTAGGCAAATTATAGTATCTAAACCTGAAGTCTCGGCTCTGTGTTTTTGAGATACAAATGTTCTACCATGTCTTCTCTGGAACCTGATAACTATCTATCTCTTTAAAATGCAAGTCTAGGGAGATGACTCATCAGAAAAAGAAGAAAAAAGAGGTATTTGGAAATTGTGCAAATTAAAGCAGCCCCTGATGCCAAAGTCTACACATTCCTGAGTGAATCAGTTCTGGCCAGTTCTAGCTGGATCAAGAGAGCTCTCTGCTGGGCAGGCCTGAAGAGCAGCTGGATGGCAGACACCTGAGGAGCCAGGTGCCTGAAACTTCCTCCACCTGCTTGAGGAGCACCAAAACCCAGGTGCTGGCTGGACAACCCCTTCTGGCTGCCTAAGCAGGTGGCAGAAGAAGGAAACAAGGTCAGAGGCAGAGTGTTGAACCCTGCCTCCCAGGTGGGTGGAAGATGCCTGTCGCCAAACTAGGGCCCAGCTTGCCGGGTGAGGTGGGTGAACTGGTGATCCCCCGAGAGAGTGGACATCAGAACTACATGTTCCCGGACTTCACCTCGGCCAGCAAAGGAGAGAGAGGGTTAATGTTAACTGCAGAAGGCCCACTCTAGCCTTAAATTCTGAAATTCAAACCCTTCCCCTGGAGACAAAACAAACAAGACAAGGAATTATGAGGTCAGGGGACAAGAATCACAAGTTCCCTAGTGGGAGACTGAGGAGGCAGTGTCCTTCCTGCCCTTGGTCTACTGGCTAAGAAACTTCCTCAGCCTGACCTTTCCACATTGCACTTTCAGCTCTGTTTGCAATTTTCCTCCTTTAGTGCTGAGGGAATCCCAGTGTTCGATTCTGAAATCTATGCGTTCCTAATGGGTGGTTAAAAAAAACCTCAGCAAGAGAAGCAGAAAATGTTTCCTCTTCCTGAAAAACTGTAGAAAGGCAGGCACCATTCCAGGTGAGGACATGGTCCTTGCAAATGTCTTTGTGTTGTTGTTTTTTTTTTCTTTTGAGATGAAGTTTTGCTCTTGTTGCCCAGACTGGAGTGCAGTGGTGTGATCTCTGCTCATTGCAACCTCCGCCTCCTGGGTTCAAGCAATTCTCCTACCTCAGCCTCCTGAGTAGCTGGAATTACAGGCACCTGATGCCACACCTGGCTAATTTTTTGTATTTTTAGTAGAGATGGGGTTTTGCCATGTTGGCCATGTTGGTCTCCAACTCCTGACCTCAAGTGAGCCACCCGCTTCTGCCTCCCAAAGTGCTGGGATTACAGGAGTGAGCCACCGCGTCCAGCCTGCAAACATCTTTAAAGACAGCGTGTTTCAGAGGCTGTGACGGTGCCCTGTCAACATGTCAAATCTCGCTGTCCCAGGAGCTCTGAGGAGCAGCCCAGCTCCTTGCCAGGCTGATGGTACTGAAACTCTGCTCTCCAAGACATAACCTGATGGCTGTGCAAGATTTCTTAATTGACTGTGGACTGTGAGAGTCTGCATCTCATTTTAATTAAGACAGGAAAAGAAAGAACAAAAGAGCAACTCCCAGGTTAGAGAGAGACTGGATTTTAGTATAATATTCAAGTGTAGCATTGCTAATAATAACAAACCTTTCCCCTGCCAAACGGTAAACACTTGCACTGCCTATTATACAAAAATTCAACCACCCTCTCTGTTCCCCCGATATCTCCTCCCCAGTGACCCCCCTCTCATGTGGCCTCATGAGCCTGGCCAGTGATGAATGGCACTTTCATGGGCATGAGACTCCACGTGAGTGGGACTCAGCTGGGACCCCTCTCCACCTGGGAGCTGGAGAAGCCACCCTAGTACCAGCTCAAAGTGTCCGTGATGTCCCTGCTGCTGAGGTAGGGGCCGCCTCTGAGCTGGTCTCGTGTGAGCTGCTGCTGGTAGTGGGCTCTGCCCTGAGGGCCTGGTGGCTGGTCGGAAGGGCAGGCACACATGAGTGACTCCCCAGGATCTCAGGCCACCTCCCCACCACAGCCCTGCACCGTGTGCTCCAGGCATGTGCTGAGTGCCTGGTCAATCACCAGTGCCCTATTGATCCCCGTCTCCAGAGAGATCATTTAGTGTCACTCCACAGAGGGGGAAACTGAGGCCCAGAGAAGTAAGGTGACTCTCCCCAGTCACAGTGCTGGTCAGCAGTAGGATGGGAGGCTAGTCCCTTGCTGTCTGACTCCCTGAGCCCACCCATATCCCAAGGCAGCCAACCTCTGCCCGCCCTGGTTCAGGCCCCGACTGGCCCCTGTGGTGGGTGATGTCTATCTTCCTGGCCTTTGTGCTCCCAGCCAACTGGGATGGAGCCTCCAGCTGGCATGACATGTTGTAGCTATGGACAGAAGAGTGGCTGTGAGGCTGCCAGGAATCTCACCAGGGCCCCCTCCCAGGGCCTGTCCAGAGTGAGGTCTGGGTACCCCAGGCATTGCCAGACCACAGGATCTGATGTTGGCCAAGAGGCCATGGCCACAGGCTTTCTGAGGCTGGCCCCCAGGGAGAGTTCAATCCTACTATCCCAATTCCTGCCCTGGCCTTACCTCTCAGTCTCACCGAGCCGCTTCATGGTCCCAAACCAGGACCCAAAGTGCTGCTTGGGCTCAAGGTTGTAATTATTTGCAGCCAACTGGAGCAGCGGACCTCCTTGCTTACTTTGAATTCCTGGGTCCAGAGGGAAAAACTGGGTGGTGACAGGGACTGGACAGGGATGCCACAGGGGCCCTGTGGGGGTGTTAGATGGGGTGGTGGCCAGTCTTTGCTCATAGGGGACCCCCTCCTCCTCTCCAGTCCTGTCCCCACCTGTTCTCAGAGCTGGCTCAAACAGCAGCTCCTCCAGGAAGGTGTCCTTGGTTTCAACCTGGTACTCCCACCTGCAGGTCTTCCTGGAGTGTCTCCTCTTTGTCTCTGTCTCCCCATAAATCTAAGACAAGGGGGATGGATTTGCCCACTGCTACTCACCGTATGACTCTTGTGAGGTTGATCAGTCTCCCCTGGAAGGCCAACAGCTGAAGTCCATCAGAAAGGGTCCTCTGGCCCAGAGCCAGCCCCTGCCCACCCCTGTCATGCTGCACCCAGGGTGCAAGAGCCAGATCAGGTCTGGGTGACAGGAGGGGTATAGAGGGGCTGAGGCTCAGGGGCCTTCTAGCCTAACTTGTCTGGAGACAGTTGGGGAAACTGAGACCCCAAGCAGGGAGGTATGGCTCTGGGAGATTATTCTCATTAACCTGGAACATTTTTGCAAGCTGCTAGGTGTAGGAAGTCTGTCACAGGTAAGAGAAATGCTTTTTGAGAGCATGAGAGACAGCAGGGTTGTGACAATATAGAAATACCACTGTGCAGATTCACCAATTGCCACCACCAGGAGCCCCCTGAGAGTCATTGCAGATGCACAGCCCTCCCCTGCAACCCCTGGACCTCCCCATGGTCTGGCACCTAAAGGGTTATGCCTCATGGCAGGAATCAGGGCCCTCAGGATGCCCTGCCCACTCCAAGGTCTGTCTCTGCTCTGATTGGTCACTGACATTCAGATTGTCACCCAAATATAAGGATGTTAGCAGAAAGACTCATTCAATACAAGTGGACTCAGACATAGATAGGAATTGGGTTGCAAAAAGCCCCTTTTGTTCTTTTATTTTATTTTGGAAAAAACTGTTATTGTGAAAATTCACATATATATATAGAAAAAAACTCAATCAATGCAAAAGGATAGACAATGAACAAATGAATTCCCCTTCCACTCCAGATCCGCACCTCAGATCCAGACCTCCTGAACCCACTTCCCCCATCTCATCACAGATCCAGACCTCCTGAGCCCACTTTCCCCATCTCATCACAGATCCAGACCTCCTGAACCCACTTCCCCCATCTCATCACAGATCCAGACCTCCTGAGCCCACTTTCCCCATCTCATCACAGATCCAGACATCCTGAGCCCACTTTCCCCATCTCATCACAGATCCAGAACTCCTGAGCCCACTTTCCCCATCTCATCACCAGTGATTTCTTGGGCTCTGCATTAGTTTTCTATTGCTGCTGCAACAAACAGCTACAGACTCAGTGGCTTCCACTTCTGTCTTATAGTTCTGGTTGCCAAAATTCCTAAGAGGATCTCACTGGGCTAAAGTCAAGGTGCTGGTGGGGCTATGTCCCTTCTAGAGGCTCAAGGGATGAATCAGCTCCCTGCCTTTTCTAGCTTCTAGGGGCTCCCAGCTTCTAGGTTTGTGGCCTCCTTCCTCTATCCTCAAAGCCAGCAACAGCAGGTGAAGTCCTCGCCCATCATGCATCACTCTCCCTTCTGCCTCCTTCAACTTTTTTTTTTTTTTTTTTTGTATTTAGGGGGAACGAGTACAGGATTCTTACATAGTCAAAAAGCTCCTTATAGAGAAGCTCGGAACTTTCAATACAGCTTGCCTTTTTTGCCATTTTAATTTTCCATTTAATTTAAATGTATTCTCTCATTTGACCTTCATACTCTGTGGAGAAATATTTCTATTCGGCTTGTATTGACAAGCTGTTTTCACACAGCCCCCGCATCACCCAACCAACCAGCCGAGTTCCTCATTCCCATGAAACAGATAAAGAAACTGAGGCCCAGGGAGGCTAAGAGTCCTACCAGGATCATTCACCTTTCAAGGTAAGGAGCCAGTTCCAGACCTGGGTTTGTGCAGCTCCAAGCTCCCCCGTCTTTCTACAATGCTAGATTTAGACTATAGCAATCTAGCAAGTGTGGCCACACAATGGTCAAGTTGGATTTAGATGATGTTCTCTATAAATCCATTCTCCTCTCCCGTGTAAGCAAGGCAAAGTACTCCAGGCCATGGGGAGTCCCTGAAGACTCGATGAACTGCAGTGGCCAGTGGCCACATCAGGAGGTTGCAGGTTGACCAGAACTCACCGACACAGCAGGAGAGCAGCTTGGAACCTGCAACCCAGCCAAGACCCAGTGCCTTGGATTGGGGGAGAAAACATGCAGCCATTCCTCTCTCTCTATTGGCTAGAGGGGATTCTGGCTTTTCCTGCCAGAGCCACCCCTTTCCCTCCTCCTAAAGTTGATGGTGGTTCTTTAAGGAAAGGGAGAAGAGCACGGTGTGATAGGGCAGGAAGAGAAGAAAACGGAGGAGAGGAGGGGACTTTCCCATAAACAGGCAGAAGAAAAGGCAGCTGTGGTGTGTGATGGACATGGAAGCAGTGGTGTCCAATGTGGGGTCAGCCCTAGAGGAGAGACAGAGAGAGAGACAGAAAAGTGAGAGAGTCCTGACCCTTATGATTAACATGGGATCTGCCTGCAAATGCTGTTTAGGTCCATCACCTCTTCCTGTACTGCTATTTTTGAGAGTGATGCTCCTGAGCCCCATGACCCAGTCAAATTTGATGTCCCCTTGAGCCAGATTCAGTGCTGGGAGTCCAGTGTGATCTGCCTGGATCTTGCTGCATTGAGAACAGGCCAGATCTTGACCCCAATACAGGGGCTGGATATGAACAGGCAACAGCTGGGTTTCTGAGTCAGAAAGACTTGGTTGATTGCTAATTGCTTAGGTGAGTAATTTAATTTTGTTCAGTCAGATTCCTCAGCTATAAAATGCAGATGACAGTACTTATTCCTCCAGGTTGTGGGGAAAATGGAGATTCTGAGCACGATGTCCATTTCACAGAAAGGTACCAATTTGGTGGCTTATTTTCCTTTCTACCTTCAGAAGTGGCTATCCCTGCCACCCAAACAGACCCTTGACTTTCAAGTGGATGGGGTCCCATTTGCACAGGGGGAGACCTTACAGCCTACGTTGAGTCTATACTTACCACTTAGTAAGCATGGTATCCGCTCAGGGGCCTCTGTGGGCATCCATCTCCTCTGCAGCATATTTCCTCCCCACTGCTGGGTCTGCGCATGACCCCCTCCTTGGGTTAGGCCTCTGATCAGTGATGACCTTGGTATGCTGGTGATGGTCAGTCTTGGCACCAAATGAGCCAGTTTATATCATCAGCTATTCAATAAAACACTAATCTAGGTGTCACCGTGAAAGTATTTTGTGACATTGTTATGTACGTGTTGTTACAAATGTGCATGATGCATTTACTACAGCATAGAATTTTGCCTGGGTGCCAGCCTGAAATCTGTCTGACAGATCATAGCCATGTTAGTCCCACAGTCACAGGGGCCAATGGATTAAATTATTTTATCTCCCTTGAGAACTAAAAATAAAATCCTAAGCCCCCCACCTGACTTAGCAGACCCCCTGTTGGCCAACGGAACCTCAAATAAATCTTAAAATTCAGTTCTTAGCCATGACAGGACAGGAGGTCAGACATACGTCCCTGTACCTCCCTCCCTCTTATGGTTTAGACCCAATGACTGAACAGCATTAATGTTAAAATAGAGATCATGAGACTGACAGAACGGACTCTTTGTGGCAATAAGACCCCAAATTATAAACAGGACCTAGGGCCATGCCAGGCGAGGGTTAAGTCATGTACCCTACTCTTAAAGCATAAACTAGATTCTAACTACCACATGGTTTTTATTTTTCTCTAGCAGCCAAGCAAGCACTGGCTGTGAGAGCAGCAAGATTAGAACAGTTACAACTCACCCAGTTCACAGACACTGAGTAACTGATCTCCTGCCCCACCAACCTTAACGACAGCTTTCACTGGACAAGGGACTGATTTCAGTAACTTTCTCCTGATAAGAGACCATCCTCCATGGACTGGTTCTGGCCAGTTTTAGAGGTTATGCCTTTACAGAGGCTGAGTACCTTCATGTCCCTGCTTCACTTTTTGATGTGTAGGGCCTAATTATAATACATTTAAATGTAAAGTCTCCACCCCAGAATGAACATGCATGTTTATTGAACATGCATCTGTTAGGACCTCTCTTATGAGTATTCTCATAAAATTATATAGCTCCTCTGATATCCTATTGAGTATGTATATGTAGCCAACTCATTCGGCTCAAATTCCTTTCCTCTCCTTCCCTCCCTGGAAATGCCTGCCTCTGGCCTTGGCTGTAGGCCACACTTCCCAGCCTGTCATAAGGGCCACCTTGCAGGCTGCAAACCTTTATAAGAAATAAAGCTCTCTTTTCTAAGTTTATAAAATAGTGTGATTTTTCAGTCGATGCTCTCTTTCTACACACACACAACTTATACAGAAAGAAATCTGGAGAATATATGTGGGAATGGATATTAAGTGTGTGGCACCACGGTGGAAGTAACATAAAGTTGGATTCAGCTAAATTTATTAATGTTGGCCCACTAAACAGAGATTCTGGATTCAAGGTTGTAGGTCAAAGCTTTATTTAGAAAGGGCTCCAAGGGTTGGTTTGATCGGTTACTTGGTTGGTTGCTTGCTTGGTTGGTTGGTTCTTGCTTCCTTGCTTGGTTGTTTGGTTGGTTTGTTGCTTGCTTGCTTGTTGGTTGATTGGTTGGCTGTTTGCTTATTTGTTTGGTGACTTGGTTGGTTGGCTGAAACAGAATCAGAGTTTACCTAAGGTACATAAAGTTGAGACGCCACAACTTCCTTGGTTTATGTGTACAGGAAGGTATGCAAAAACTCAGGGAGACTGGATTTATTATGTCAGACCTGCTCACTCACACTGGAGGGTCTACAGAACATACTTCTCACAACGATCATGAGAAAGAATATTGTGAGAGGAGCCCAGTATCCTGGAAGAGCTTTGAGCTTGTGCTCTCAGTAGGCAAAATGTTACAGCAGGAATTGCAGCCACTGGACTGGGATCTTTAAATAAAATGAGGATAATTGAATCCCGGGGTGGCAGGGAACATGGGCTGTCCTTAATCACCAAAGATGAGGTGGGTGTGGTCACCACAGTGGAAAGCAGTGTCAAAGCAGCAGTCAGAATGGTTTGACTCACAGACACCCACGGCATTGTGTAGTCCATGGTATCCACAGGGAGAGCTAATGGGCTGTACCAAAGTCTTAGTTGTTCTTTAAAAAATGAAGAATTCTAGGTCAACTGAATAAAAGACTAACTCAAATTAATGAAACACAGATAGAAAACCCTCAATCAATTCCCAGACTTGAGCCAGTTCACAGGCCCACAACCCCTTAAGTGAAGGGGAGGTTGGGTGATCTTGGGGAAGTACGCTGATACATTGCCAAAAATTTACATTGTTAATCTTTTTCCCAGTCTTCCCCAAAGGGACCTACAGCCTTCTACCAGGATGACTGTGACTTAAAGAAAAGAAAATTCTCAGATATGTGGGGAATTACTGGACACGGGCTCTCATTTGACACTATTATCACTATGTTGCCTAGGATGGATTCACTCTCCTAGGTTCAAGCAGTCCTCCTACCTCAGCCTCCCAAAGTGCTGGGATTACAGACATGAGCCACTGTGGCCAGCAGAGCTTTGAAACTAGAACATGGAGGTCCAGTGGTAAAGATTTGACAAGTCTGGGAAGAGATTGGGCCATGGCAATGTTGATGATTCTTTTTGTTTGTATGTTTGTTTTTGCAATAGAATCTTGCTCTGTTGTCTAGGCCGGAGTGCAATGGCGCGATCTTGGCTCACTGCAACCTCTGCCTCCAGGGTCCAAGCAATTCTCCTGCCTCAGCCTCCTGAGTAGCTGGGATTACAGGTGCTCACCACCACACCAGGATAATTTTTTTTTTTTTTTTTTTTTTGAGACAGAGTCTCACTCTATATTGCCCAGGCTGGAGTGCAGTGGCACGATCTGGGCTCACTGCAAACCCCGCCTCCCAGGTTAACGCCATTCTCCTGCCTCAGCCTCATGAGTAGCTGGGACTACAGGCACCTGCCACTGTGCCTGGCTAATTTTTTGTGTTTTTAGTAGAGACGGGGTTTCACCATGTTAGCCAGGATGATCTCGATCTCCTGACCTCATGATCCGCCCACCTCGGCCTCCCAAAGTGCTGGGATTACAGGGATGAGCCACCATGCCCAGCCACACCAAGCTAATTTTTGTATTTTTTTTTAGTTGAGACAGGGTTTCACCATATTGGCCAGGCTGGTCCCTGACCTTGTGATCCGCCCACCTCGGCTTCCCAAAGTGCTGCGATGACAGGCGTGAGCCACCGCGCCTGGCCAATGTTGATGATTCTAAACAGCAGCCGCTAATGTGAAAACCATCCAACTGGAAGCCCTGGCCTTGCCCAGAGGACACAGTCTGGGTGGTGGGCAGAGACTTCAGCTGCCTTCCAAGGCAAGCAGCTCCCTGCTGCCCACTTGCTGGGGATTTTACTTACAGGGCGGAAGCTGGCAGGTGATTTGGGGGCAGGAATTGCTTCCTGGATGGTGTAGGATGAACCACACTCCCCAGGAAGGCACTCATCCTGGTGGCCTAACAGAAGCAGCCCTCACCCCAAAAGGCAATGCTGCTCCACTAGTTTTATGGAGTGACTCCTTCCTGTAGGTTCCTTCCAGCTTTACCAGAAAAACACAGAACATCTTTCCTGACAGGGCATTGGTTTTGTTTTTGAACAGAGAGATCCTTCTTTTAAAAAGTTAGTTTTTTCTTTTTCTTTTTTTTTTTTTTTTTTGTAATGGAATCAACCTAGGTCCTAAGACTAGCAGGTTATTATTATTTTTTTATGATTATTTTTTGAGATGGAGTCCCACTCTGTGGCCCAGGCTGGAGGGCAGTGGCATGATCTCGGCTCACTGCAATGTCCACCTCCTGGGTTCAAGAGATTCTCCTGCCTCAACCTACAGAGGAGCCGGGATTACAGGCGTGCACCACCATGCCCGGCTAATTTTTGTACTTTTAGTAGAGATAGGGTTTTGCCATGTTGGCCAGGCTGATCTCAAACTCCTGACCTCAGGTGATCCACCCACCTCGGCCTCCCAAAGTGCTGAGAATACAGGTGTGAGCTGCCACACCCAGCCACAGGTTATTTTTGCTGATCTTCTCCCTCCTCCCACCCTCCACCCTCAAAGAAAATGTGGTACATCTACACCATGGAATACTACGCAACCCTGAAAAGGAACAAAATCATGTTTTTGTTTTTGTTTTTTTTGCAGCAACATGAATGTAGCTGGAGGCCATTATCTTTTTTAATTATTTTTATTATTTTTTATTTTTTCTATTCTACTTTAAGTTCTGGGGTATATGTGCAGAATGTGCAGGGTTGTTACATAGATATACATGTGCCATAGCGGTTTGCTGCACCCATCAACCCGTCATCTACATTAGGTATTTCTCATAATGCTGTCCCTCCCCCAGTCCCCCACCCCTGCAACAGGCCCCAGTGTGTGATGTTCCCCTCTCTGGGTCGATGTGTTCTCATTGTTCACTTCCCACTTATGAATGAGAACATGCAGTGTTTGGTTTTATGTTCCTGTGTCAATTTGCTGAACATGAGGGTTTCCAGCTTCATCCATGTCCCTGCAAAGGACATGAACTCATCCTTTTTCATGGCTGCATAGTATTCCACAGTGTCTATGTGCTTTGTTTGTTTGTTTTGTTTTTTTGAGACCGAGTCTTACTCTGTTGCCCAGGCTGGAGTGCAGTGGCACGATCTTGGCTCACTGCAATCTCTGTCTCCTGGGTTGGAGCAATTCTCCTGCCTCAGCCTCCCGAGTAGCTGGGATTACAGCCATGCACGACCATGCCCGGCCAGTTTTTGTATTTTTAGTAGAGACGGGGTTTCGCCATGCTGGCCAGGCTGGTCTTGAACTTCTGACCTCAGGTGATCCACCCACCTCAGCCTCCTAGAGTGCTGGGATTACAGGCGTGAGCCACCGCGCCCGGCCAACAGTGTCTATGTGCTACATTTTCTTTATCCAGTCTATCACTGATGAGCATTTGGGTTGGTTCCACATCTTTGCTATTGTGAACAGTGTGGAGGCCATTATCTTAAGTAAATTAACAGAATGCTGTGTGTTCTCACTTATAAGTGGGAGCTAAATGTTGTGTATACGTAGACACAGAGAAGGGAACAGATACTGTGTTCTAGTTAGGGGGAGAGAGGAAGGTAGAAGGACAAGAGTTGAAAAAACCAACTGTGGGGTATTATGCTCACTACCTGGGTGATGGGATCACTCATACCCTAGACCTCAGCATCACACATCGTACCCATGTAAGAAACCTGTACATGTACCTCCTGAATCTAAACTGCTCCACCATTTGCGCCAGCAATTCCAAGACTGGGCATCTACCCAAAGGAAAAGAAGTCATTCTACCAAAAAGACACATGCATGGTAAACTTGTTTTTTTGTTGTTGTTTTTTGAGACGGAGTCTCGCTCTATTGCCCATGCTGGAGTGCAGTAGCAATCTCGGCTCACTGCAACCTCCGCCTCCTGGGTTCAAGTGATTCTCCTGCCTTAGCCTCCTGAGCAGCTGGGATTACAGGTATGTGCCACCATGCCTGGCTAATTTTTGTATTTTTAGTAGAGATAGGGTTTCACCATGTTGACCAGGCTGGTCTCGAACTCCTGACATCAGGTGATCTGCCACCATGCCTGGCTAATTTTTGTATTTTTAGTAGAGATAGGGTTTCACCATGTTGACCAGGCTGGTCTCGAACTCCTGACCTCAGGTGATCTGCCCACCTCGGCCCTCCAGAGTGCTGGGATTACAGTGCCTGGCCCTGTAAGGTTCATCACAGCATGACTTACAATAGGAAAGTCATGGAATAAACCCAGTTGCCCATCAGTTGGGTACTGGATAAAGCAAAAGTGGTTCTTCTACAGCATCAAGTACTACACAGCCATGAAAAAGAATAAAATCATGTCCTTTGCAGCCACATGGATGTAGCTGGAGGGCATTATGCTTAATGAATTAACACGAGAACAGAAAATCAAATACCACATGTTCTTGACTGGATAAAGCAATTGTGGCCCTTCTACGCCATGGAATACTGCACAGCCATGAAAAAGCATAAAATCATGTCTTTGCAGCCACAGGGATGCAGCTGAAGGGAATTATGCTTAGTGAATTAACGCCAGGAAAAGAAAATTGAATACCACATGTTCTCTATTAGATAAAGCAAATGTGGTCTTTCTGCATCATGGAATACTACACAGCCATGAAAAAGAATAATATCATGTCCTTTGCAGCCACATGGACACAGCTTAAGGACATTATGCTTAGTGAATTAATGCCAGGAACAGAAAATGAAATACTACATGTTCTCAACTGGATAAAGCAAATGTGGCCCTTCTACACCACGGAATACTACACAGTGATGAAAAAAATAAAATCATGTCTTTGCAGCCACATGGATGCAGCCAGAGGGCATTATGCTTAGTGAATCAATACGAGGAACAGAAAATCAAATACCACATGTTCTCCACTAGATAAAGCAAATGTGGTCCTTCCGCATCATGGAATACTACACAGCCATGAACAAGAATAAAATCATGCCCTTTGCAGCAACATGGATGAAGCTGAAGGGCATTATGCTTAGTGAATTGATGCCAGAAACAGAAAATCAAATACCACATGTTCTCAATTAGATAAAGCAAATGTGTTCCTTCCACATCATGGAATACTACACAGCCATGAACAAGAATAAAATCATGCCCTTTGCAGTCACATGGATGAAGCTGAAGGGGACTATGCTTAGTGAATTAACGCCAGGAACAGAAAATCAAATACCACATGTTCTCGCTTATAGGTGGGAGCTAAACATTGCCTGCATCTGGACACAATGAAGGGGCACCAGAGACCCTCAGGACTAATAGAGCAGGAAGCAGGGGCGGGGGTACAAGGGTTGAAAAACTACCCTGAGATTCTTTGAATTTCCGGCAGAAAGCAGCAACTGGAGAGAGCTTTGGGTCACGGATTTTTCTGTTGCATTTTCTTGCTTGTTTGTTTTTTTTCTCTCTCTTTTTTTTTTTTTTTTTTTTTTTTTGAGATGGAGTCTCACTCTGTGACCCAGGCTGGAGTGCAGTGGTGCAATCTCAGCTCCCTGCAACTTCTGCCTCCTGGATTCAAGCAATTCTTCTACCTCAGCCTCCCAAGTAGCTGGGACTACAGGCACCCACCACCACACCTGGCTAATTTTTGTATTTTTAGCAGAGACAGAGTTTCACCATGTTGGCCAGGCTGGTCTCGAACTCCTGACCTCAGGTGATCCACCTGCCTCGGCCTCCCAAAGTGCTGGGATTACAGGCATGAGCCACTGCGCCTGGCCTCTCTTCTTACATATTTCTACAACTCCTCTAGAATTTGGGGTTTGTTTTTCTTAATTACAAGGAATCAAGTTGAATCATTAGTGCATATATAAATATACATTTTATTTTTAGTACATATTATATACCACAGGAATGTACAATGCTCAGTGCCTGGGTGACGGGATTATTCATACCCCAAACCTCAGCATTGTACAATATCCCCAGGTCACAAAGCTGCCCGTGGATCCCCTGAATCTATAATAATAATAATAAATAAAAAGTGACTTTGTCATTCGCAGGGAAATGCGAATGACATTCACTCTGCCTCTCAGGCCCTTGGATTCCCAAAGTTTGTTTTCATCGCGCCCAGGGGACACTCAGAATCTCGTTTTCAGAACGTGGGTTGTTTTTCTTAGAAGCGCTTTGCAAAACAAAATAGGAAGCAAAATCTTTCTCACTCCTTCCGCTCCGTAATAGACAAAATAAAATGAGGGGGCAGGAATCCAGAGACTTTGACCGCAGTTGGCAGATTTATTGTGGTACAGACATGAAGGCAAGCAGTGTTCTCTCTGATTCTACGAACCGTACAGCCCGGGCCGGCTGCCTTCTGCTTTCTGGATGGTGCAGGCATGAGCTCCAAGCCCAAATTTCACCGGAGCTCCAGGAATCGAGCCTGGCCCAGGCACTCACTGCACGGGGGCCAAGCGTGAAACCAGTGATCGCTCCAGCAAGGTAACAGGACAGCTTGGTGATCCTTCTTGCCGGCCACAAAAGGTTATAGCCAGAATTCCACCGAATGTGGTCTTTCTGTGTCTCTCCCCAGATAGCGAAGCTGGACAAACCTGGGGGTGGGGGGTGGGGGTTGCTGACCTCAGTGGGGTGTCCTGGAGAGGCAGGAACCAGGGTTTACAGGGTGCAGATCCTACTGAAGCAAATGGATGTGGCATCCGCGGGCAGAGCTGGCTGTGGCGTCCCCCCTTCTGCCTGGAGTGTCACCAAATTTCACCGAGAGACCCCTTCTAAACCTGGGGAGTGTGCTGACCAGTGGGGTGTCCTGGAGAGGCAGGAACTAGGGTTTACAGGATGCAGATCCTACTGAAGCAAATGAACGTGGCATCCTTGGGCAGAGCTGGCTGTGGGTGGCCTTCCAGTCTGGACATCTCCCCCACTGCCTGGGGTGTCACCAAATGCACCCAGAGACCTCTCGTCCGAAAGCTCATTCATGGGAAGCCTCCAGGTCTCCTCGGCAGGCAGCATCACGTCTGATTTAACTGCGTTATCAGGTAATGCAGGCCTGTTCTACCTGTGTGCGTGAGCGCGTGGGTGCCGTGTGGGAGTGTGTGTGTTGATGTGGGTGTGGGTGTGTGCTTGTGTGGCTGTGTGTGTGTGCCTGTTTATGTGATGATGAGTGTGTCTGTGAGTCTGTAAGACAACGTGTGTTTCCATGCGTGTTTCTGTGTGAGCGTGCATTCCTGTGTTTTATGGAAGTGTGTTTTTGTGATGGGGTTTGTGTGTGCCCCTGCATTTATCGTACTTGTGTGTTCGTGAATATGAGTGTATGTGTGTGAATCTGTATGGCAGTGTATAAATTCTTTTTTTTTTTTGAGACGGACTCTCCCTATGTCACCCATACGGGAGTGCAAAACATGGTGAAACACCGTCTCTACTAAAAGTACAAAAATCAGCTGGGTGAGGTGGCTCAGGCCTGTAATCCCAGCTAATTGGGAGGCTGAGGCAGGAGAATTGCTTGAACCTGGGAGGCAGAGGTTGCAGTGAGCCAAGATCATACAGCTGCACGGCAGCCTGGGAGAGACAACAAGCCAGCCAGGCCAGCCAAGCCAGCCAAGCCAGCCAGCCAGCCAAGCCAGCCAAGCCAGCCAGCCAGCTAAGCCAGCCAGCCAGCCAAGCTGGCCAAGCCAGACAGGCAGCCAAGCCAACCAAGACACCCAGGCAGCCAAGCCAGCCAAGCCAGCCAAGCCAGCCAGCCAGCCAAGCCAGTGAGACAGCCAAGCCAGACAAGCCAGGCAGCCAGCCAAGGGAGCCAGCCAGCGAAGCCACCCAGCCAGCCAAGCCAGACAAGCCAGGCAGCCAGCCAAGGGAGCCAGCCAGCGAAGCCACCCAGCCAGCCAAGCCAGCCAAGCCACCCAGCCAGCCAAGCCAGCCAAGCCAGCCAGCCAGCCAAGCCAGCCAAGCCAGCCAAGCCAGCCAGCCAGCTAAGCCAGCCAAGCCAGCCAGCCAGCCAAGCCAGCCAGCCAGCTAAGCCAGCCAGTCAGCTAAGCCGGCCAAGCCAGTCAGGCAGCCAAGCCAACCAAGCCAACCAAGCCACCCAGGCAGCCAAGCCAGCCAAGCCAGCGAAGCCAGCCAGCCAGCCAAGCCAGCCAAGCCAGCCAGCCAGCCAAGCCAGACAAGCCAGTCACCCAGCCAAGACAGCCAAGCCAGCTGGCCCACCAAGCCAGCCAAGACACCCAGCCAGCCAAGCCAACCAAGACACCCAGCCAGCCAAGCCAGCCAAGCCAGCCGACCAGCCAAGCCAGCCAAGACACCCAGCCAGCCAAGCCAGCCAAGACACCCAGCCAGCCAAGCCAGCCAAGCCAGCCGACCAGCCAAGCCAGCCAAGACACCCAGCCAGCCAAGCCAGCCAAGACACCCAGCCAGCCAAGCCAGCCAAGCCAGCCAGCCAGACAAGCCAGCCAAGCCAGCCAGCCAAGTCAGCCAGCCACCCAGCCAGCCAAGCCAGCCAGCCAGCAAAGCCAGCCAAGGGACCCAGCCAGCCAAGCCAGCCAAGCCACCCAGCCAGGCAAGCCAGCCAAGCCACCCAGCCAGATAGCCAGCCAGCCAAGCCAGCCAAGCCAGCCAAGCCAGTCAAGGAAGCCAGCCAGCCAAGCCAGCCAAGCCAGCCAAGCCAGCAAGCCAGTCACCCAAGCCAGCCAAGCCAGCCAAGCCAGCAAGCCAGTCACCCAAGCCAGCCAAGCCAGCCAAGCCAGCCAGTCACCCAAGCCAGCCAAGCCTGCCAGCCACCTAAGCAAGCCAAGCCAGTCAGGCACTCAAGCCAGCCAAGCCACCCAGCAAGCCAAGCCAGCCAAGCCAGCCAGCCAGCCAAGCCAGCCAAGCCAGCCAAGCAAACAAGCCAGCCAAGCCAGCCAAGCCAGCAAGCCACCTAAGCCAGCCAAGATACCCAGCCAGCCAAGCCAGCCAAACCAGCCAACAAGGCAAGAGAGCCAAGCCAGCCAAGCCGGCCAGCCAGTGAAGCCAGCCAAGCCAGCCAACCAGCCAAGCCAGCCAAGCCACCCAGATGGCCAAAGAAGCCAAGCCACCCAGCCAGCAAAGCCAGCAAAGCCACCCAGCCAGTCAAGACAGCCAGCCACCCAGCCAGCCAGGCAAGCCAGCCAAGCCAGCCAAGCCAGCCAGGCCACCCACCCAGCCGGCCAGCCAAGCCGGCCAAGCCAGCCAACCAGCCAAGTGAGCCAGCCAGCCAAGCCATCCAGCCAGCAAAGCCAGCCAAGCCACCCAGCCAGCCAAGCCAGCCAACCAGCCAAGCCAAGCCAGCCAAGCCAGACAACCAGCCAAGCCAGCCAGCCAGCCAAGCCAGCCAAGCCAGCCAGCCAGCCAAGCCAGTCAAGCCAGCCATCCAGCCAAGCTAGCCAAGCCAGGAAAGCTACCCAGCCAGCCAAGCCATCCAGCCACCCAGCCAGCCAGGCCAGCCAGCCACCCAGCCAGCCAAGCCAACCAAACCAGCCAGGCCAGCCAGCCTCCCAAGTCAGCCAAGCCAGCGAGCCACCCAAGCCAGCCAAGCCAGCCAGCCACCTAAGCCAGCCAAGCCAGCCAAGCCAGGAAGCCAGCCAAGCCACCCAAGTGAGGCAGACAGCCAAGCCAGCCAAGCCAGCCAAGCCAGCCAGCCAAGCCAGCCAAGCCAGCCAAGCCAGCCAGCCAGCCAAGACAACCAGGCTAGCCAGCCACCCAAGCCAGCCAAGCCAGTGAGCCACCCAAGCCAGCCAAGCCGGCCAGACACCTAAGCCAGCCAAGCCACCCAGACAGCCAGCCAGCCAAGCCAGCCAAGCCAGCCAGGAAAGCCAGCCTGCCAAGCCAGCCAAGCCAGCCAGCCACTCAAGCCAGCCAAGTCAGCGAGCCAACCAAGCCAGCCAACTCAGCCAGCCACCTAAGCCAGCCAAGCCAGCCAGCCAGCCAAGCAAGCCAGCCAGCCAAGCCAGCCAAGCCAGCCAAGCCAGGCAGCCAGCCAAGCCAGCCAAGCCAGCCAGCCAGCCAAGCCAGCCAGCCAGCCCACACAGCCAAGCCAGCCAGCCAGCCAAGCCAGCCAAGCCACCCAGCTAGCCAAGACAGCCAAGAGAGCCAAACCAGCCTGCCAGCCAAGCCAGCCGAGCCATCCAGCCTGCCAAGCCAGCCGGCCAGCCAAGCTAGCCAATCCACTCGGCCACCCAAGCTGGCCAAGTCACCCGGCCAGCCAAGCCAGCCAAGCCACCTGGGCAGCCAAACCAGCCAAGCCAGCCAAGCCTGCCAGCCATCCAAGCCAGTCAAGCCAGCCAAGCAGCCAAGCCAGCCAGCCAGCGAAGCCAGCCAAGACAGCCAGCCAGCCAAGCCAGCCAAGCCAGCCAACCAGCCAAGCCAGCCAGCCATCCAAGCCAGCCAAGGCAGCCAGCGAGCCAAGCCAGTCAAGCCAGCCATCCAGCCAAGCCAGCCAAGCCAGGCAAGCCACCCAGCCAGCCAAGCCATCTAGCCATCCAGCCAGTCAGGCCAGCCACCCAGCCAAGCCAGCCAAGCCAGCCAAGCCAGCCACCCGCCAAGCCAGCCAGCCAGCCATGCCAGCCAAGCCAGCCAGCCAGCCAGCCAAGCCACCCAGCCAGCCAAGCCAGCCAAGCCACACAGCCAGCCAAGCCAGCCAAGCCAGCCAGCCAGCCAGCCAGCCAAGCCAGCCATGCCAGCCAAGCCATCCAGCCAGCCAAGCCAGGCGGCCAGCCAAGCCAGGCGGCCAGCCAAGCCACCCAGACAGCCAAGCCAGCCAGCCAGCCAGCCAGCCAAGCCACCCAGCCGACTAAGCCAGCCAAGCCACCCAGCCAGCCATGCCAGCCAAGCTACCCAGCCAGCCAAGCCAGTCAGCCAGTGAGCCAGCCAAGCCAGCCAAGCCAGCCAAGCCAGCCAGCCAGCCAAGCCACACAAGCCAGCCAGCCAGCCATGCCAGGGCGAGACTCCATCTCAAAAAAAATAAAAAAAGACCAGCCTGGCCAACATGGTGAAACCCTGTCTTTACTAAATGTATAAAAAATTAGCTGGGTGTGGTGGCAAACACCTGTAATCCCAGCTACTTGGGAGGCCCAGGCAGGAGGATCGCTTGATCCCGGGAGGTAGAGGCTGCAGCCAGCCAAGATTGCACCACTGCACTCCAGCCTGGGCAACAGAGTGAGACTCCATCTCAGAAAAAAAAAAAAAAAAAAAGAACAGGTTGGCCAACATGGTGAAACCCTGTCTCTACTAAATATACAAAAACATTAGCTGGACATGGTGGCACACGCCTGTAATAACAGCTACTCGGGAGGCCCAGGCAGGAGGATCGTTTGAACCCGGGAGATGGAGGTTGCAGCGAACCAAGATTGCACCACTGTACTCCAGGCTGGGCAACACGGTGAGACTCCATCTCAGAAAAAAAAAAAAAAAAAAAAGACCAGCCTGGCCAACATGGTGAAACCGCGGCTCTACTAAAGATACAAAGAAATTAGCTGGGCGTGGTGGCACACGAATATAATCCCAGCTATTCGGGAGGCCCAGGGAGGAGGATCACTTGAACCCGGGAGGTGGAGGCTGCAGCGAGGCAAGATTGCACCACTGCACCCCAGCCTGGTCAACAGGGCGAGACTGCATCTCAGAAAAAAAAAAAAAAAGCCTGGCCATCATGGTGAAACCCCGTCTCTACTAAATATACAAAAAAATTAGTTGGGGGTGGTGGCACACGCTTGTAATCCCAGGTACTCCAGAGGCCCAGGCAGGAGGATCGCTTGAACCCGGGAGGTGGAGGTTGCAGCTAACAAAGATTGCACCACTGCACTCCAGGCTGGGCAACAGAGCGAGACTCCCACTCAGAAAAAAAAGAAAAAGAAAAAAAACACCAGCCTGGCCAACATGGTGAAAGCACGTCTCCACTAAATATACAAAAAAAAATAGATGGGCATGGTGGCACTTGTCTCTAATCCCAGCTACTCGGGAGGCCCATGTAGGAGGATCGCTTGAACACAGGAGGTGGAGGCTGCAGCTAGCCAAGTTTACACCATTGCACTCCAGCCTGGCAAACCAAGCCAGCCAAGCCAGCCAGACAGCCAGCCAGACAGCTAAGCCACCCAACCAGCCAGCCTGCGAAGCCAGCCAAGCCAGCCAGCCAGCCAGCCAGGCAAGCCAGTCCAACCAGCCAGCCAGCCAGCCAGCCAAGCCACTAAAGCCAGCCAGCCAGCCAGGCCAGCCAAGCCAGCCAAGCCAGCCAGCCAGCCAAGCCAGCCAGTCAGTGAAGCCAGCCAAGCCAGCCAGCCAGCCAGCCAAGCCAGCCAAGCCAGCTAGCCAGCCAAGCCAGCCAAGCCAGCCAAGGCAGCCAGCCAGCCAAGCCAGCCAAGCCAGCCAGCCAGCCAGCCAGCAAAGCCACTCAACCAGCCAGGCAGCCAAGCCAGCCAAGCCAGCCAGCCAGCCAGCCAGCCAAGCCACCCAGCCAGCCATACAGCCAAGCCACCCAAGTCAGCCAGCCAGCCAGCTAGCCAAGCCAGCCAAGCCAGCCAGCCAGCCAAGCCAGCCAGCCAAGCCAGCCAAGCCAGCCAGTGAAGCCACCCAAGCCAGCCAGCCAGCCAGCCAAGCCAGCCAACCAGCCAAGCCAGCCAGCCAGCCAACCAGCCAAGCCAGCCAGCCAAGCCAGCCAAGACAGCCAACCAGCCAAGACAGCCAGCCAGCCAACCAGCCAAGCCAGCCAGCCAGCAAGCCAAGCCACACAGGCAGCCAGGCAGCCAAGCCAGCCAAGGCAGCCAAGCCAGCAACACTGCCAGCCAGCCAGCCAGCCAAGCCAACCAGCTAGCCAAGCCAGCCAGCCAGCCAAGCCAGCCAAGCAAGCCGGCCAGCGAAGACAGCCGGCCAGCCAAGGCGGCCAAGCCACCCGGCCAGCCAAGCCGGCCAAGCCACCCGGCCAGCGAAGCCAGCCAAGCCACCAGGCCAGCCAAGCCAGCCAAGCCAGCCAGCCAGCCAAGCCAGCCAGCCAGCCAGCCAGCCAACCCTGCCAGCCAGCCAAGCCTTCCAAGCCAGCCAGCCAGGCTACCAGCCAAGACACCCAGCCAGCCATCCAGCCAACCAGCCAAGCCAGCCAGCCAGCGAGCCAGCCAAGCCAGCCAGCGAGCAAAGCCAGCCAGCCAGCCAAGCCAGCCAAGCCACCCAGCGAGCAAAGCCAGCCAGCCAGGCAAGCCAGCCAAGCCACCCAGCCAGCCAAACCAGCCAGCCAGCCAAGCCAACCAAGCCAGCCAAGCCACCCAGCCAGCCAAACCAGCCAGCCAGCCAAGCCAACCAAGCCAGCCAAGCCAGCCAGCCAGACAAGCCAGCCAAGCCAGCCAACCAGCCAAGCCAGCCAGCCACCAAAGATGGCCGGCCAGCCAAGGTGGCCAAGCCACCCAGCCAGCCAAGCCGGCCTAGCCACCCGGCCAGCGAAGCCAGCCAAGCCACCAGGCCAGCCAAGCCAGCCAACCAGCCAAGCCAGCCAAGCCATCCAAGCCATCCAAGCCAGCCAAGCCAGCCAGCCAGCCACACCAGCCAAGCCACCCAGCCAGCCAAGTCACCCAAGACAGCCAGCCAGCCATGCCAGCCAAACCAGCCAGGCAGCCAAGCCACCGAAGCAAACCAAGCCACCCAGCCAGCCAAGCCAGCCAGACAGCTAGCCAGCCAGCCCACCGAGCCACCCAGTCAACTAAGCCAGCCAAGCCAACCAGCCAGCCATGCCAGCCAAGCCACCCACCCAGCCAAGCCAGCCAGCCACCCAGCCAGCCAGGCCAGCCAGCCACCCAGCCAGCCAAGCCAGACAAGCCAGCCAAGCCAGCCAGCCACCCAGCCAGGCAGGCCAGCCAGCCACCCAGCAAGCCAAGCCAGCCAAGCCGGCCAGCCAGCCAAGCCAGCCAGTCAGCCCAGACAGTCAAGCCAGCCAGCCAGCCAGCCAAGCCAGCCAAGCAAGCGAGCAAGCCAGCCAGCCAAGCCAGCCAAGCCAGCCAGCCAGCCAAGACAACCAGGCTAGCCAGCCACCCAAGCCAGCCAAGCCAGCGAGCCACCCAAGCCAGCCAAGCCGGCCAAACACCTAAGACAGCCAAGCCACCCAGCCAGCCAGCCAGCCAAGCCAGCCAAGCCAGCCAAGCCAGGAAAGCCAGCCTGCCAAGCCAGCCAAGCCAGCAAGCCACCCAAGCCAGCCAAGCCGGCCAGCCACCTAAGCCAGCCAAGCCACCCAGACAGCCAGCCAGCCAAGCCAGCCAGGAAAGCCAGCCTGCCAAGCCAGCCAAGCCAGCCAGCCACCCAAGCCAGCCAAGTCAGCGAGCCAACCAAGCCAGCCAACTCACCAGCCACCTAAGCCAGCCAAGCCAGCCAGCCAGCCAGCCAAGCCAGCCAAAACAGCCAAGCCCGGCAGCCAGCCAGGCCAGCCAAGCCAGCCAGCCAGCCCAGACAGCCAAGCCAGCCAGCCAGCCAAGCCAGCGAAGCAAGCCAGCAAGCCAGCCAGCCAAGCCAGCCAGCCAAATCAGCCAGCCAAGCCGGCCAAGCAAGCCAGCAAGCCAGCCAGCCAAGCCAGCCAGCCAAAATAGCCAAGCCACCCAGCCAGCCAAGCCACCCAAGACAGCCAGCCAGCCATGCCAGCCAAACCAGCCAGCCAGCCAAGCCACCGAAGCAAGCCAAGCCACCCAGCCAGCCAAGCCTGCCAAGCCACCCAGCCAGCCAAGCCAGCCAGCCAAACCAGCCAAGCCACCCAGCCAGCTAAGCCACCAAAGACACCCAGCCAGCCAGCCAGCCAAGCTAGCCAACCAGCCAAGCCAGCCAAGCCAGCCACCAGCCAAGCCAGCCAAGCCAGCCAAGCCTGCCAGCCAGCCAAGCCAGCCAAGCCAGCCAGCCAGCCAAGCCAGCCAAGCCACCCAGCCAGCCATGCCAGCCAAGCCACCCAGCCATCCAAGCCAGCCAAGCCACCCAGCCAGCCAAGGCAGCCAAGACAGCCAAGCCATCCAGCCTGCCAAGCCAGCCGGCCAGCCAAGCTAGCCAATCTACTCGGCCATCGAAGCCGGCCAAGCCACCCGGCCAGCCAACCCAGCCAAGCCACCTGGGCAGCCAAACCAACCAAGCCACCCGGCCAGCCAGCCAGCCAAGCCAGCCAAGCCTGCCAGCCAGCCAAGCCAGCCAACGAGCCAAGCCAGCCAGCCAGCCAAGCCAGCCAAGCCAGCCAAGCCACCCAGCCAGCCAAGCCATCCAAGCAACCCAGCCAGCCAAGACAGCCAAGCCAGCCAAACCAGCCTGCCAGCCAAGCCAGCCAAGCCATCCAGCCTGCCAAGCCAGCCGGCCAGCCAAGTTAACCAGTCCACTCGGTCAGCCAAGCCAACCAAGCCAGCCAAGCCAACTGGGCAGCCAGACCAGCCAAGCCACCCGGCCAACCAGCCAGCCAAGCCAGCCAAGCCTGCCAGACAGCAAATCCAGCCAAGACAGCCAAGAAGCCAAGCCACCCAGCTAGCCAAGCCAGCCAAGCCACCCAGCCAGCCAAACCAGGCAAGCCAGCCAAGCCAGCCTGCCGGCCAAGCCAGCCAAGCCACCCAGCCAGCCAAGCCAGCCAGCCAGGCAAGCCAGCCATGTCAGCCAAGCCATCCAGACAGCCAAGCCAGGCGGCCAGCCAAGCCAGCCAAGCCACCCGGCCAGCCAAGCCACTTAAGCCACCCGGCCAGCCAGGCAGCCAAGCCACCTGGGCAGCCAGACCAGCCAAGCCACCCGGCCAGCCAGCCTGCCAAGCCAGCCAAGCCTGCCAGACAGCAAATCCAGCCAAGCCAGCCAAGCCACCCAGCTAGCCAAGCCAGCCAAGCCACCCAGCCAGCCAAACCAGGCAAGCCAGCCAGCCAGCCAAGCCAGCCAAGACAGCCAAGACAGCCAGCCAGCCACGCAAGCCAAGCCAGCCAGCCAGGCAAGCCAGGCATGCCAGCCAAGCCATCCAGCCAGCCAAGCCAGGCGGCCAGCCAAGCCAGCCAAGCCACCCGGCCAGCCAAGCCACCCAAGCCACCCGGCCAGCCAGGCATCCAAGCCAGCCAAGTCAGCCAGCCAGCCAAGCCAGCCAAGCCAGCCAGCTAGCCAAGCCACCCAGCCAGCCAGCCAGCCAAACCAGCCAAGCCAGCCAGCCAGCCAGCCAAGCCAGCCAAGCAAGCCAGCCAGCCAGCCAAGCCACGCAAGCCAGCCAGCCAGCCATGCCAGCCAAGCCAGCCAGCCGGCCAAGCCAGCCAAGCCAGCCAAGCCTCCCAGCCAGCCAAGCCAGCCAAGCCAGCCAAGTCACCCAGCCAGCCAAGCCAGCCAAGCCACCCAGCCAGCCAGGCCAGCCAGCCAGCCAGCGAGCCAAGCCAGCCAAGCCAGCCAGCCAGCCAAGCCAGGCAGGCCAGCCAAGCCAGCCAGGCAGCCAAGCCAGCAAAGCCAGCCAGCCAGCAAAGCCAGGCATGCCAGCCAAGCCAGCCAGGCAGCCAAGCCAGCCAAGCCAGCCAGTCAGCCAAGCCAGCCAAGCCAGCCAACCAGCCAAGCCAGTCATCTAGCCAAGCCAGCCAACCAGCTAGCCAGCCAAGCCAGCCGGCCTGCCAGCCAGCCAAGCCGGCCAGACAGCCAAGGCAGCCAAGCCAGCCAGGCAGCCAAGCCAGCCAAGCCACCCAGCCAGCCAAGCCAGCCAAGCCACCCAGCCAGCCAAGACAGCCAAGCCAGCCAAATCAGCCTGCCAGCCAAGCCAGCCAAGCCACCCAGCCAGCCAAGACAGCCAAGCCAGCCAAATCAGCCTGCCAGCCAAGCTGGCCAAGCCACCCAGCCAGCCAAGACAGCCAAGCCAGCCAAATCAGCCTGCCAGCCAAGCTGGCCAAGCCATCCAGCCTGCCAAGCCAGCCAGCCAGCCAAGCTAGCCAATCCACTCGGCCACCCAAGCCAGCCAAGTCACCCGGCCAGCCAAGCCACCCAGCCAGCCATGCCAGCCAAGCCACCCAGCCATCCAAGCCAGCCAAGCCACCCAGCCAGCCAAGGCAGCCAAGCCAGCCAAGCCATCCAGCCTGCCAAGCCAGCCGGCCAGCCAAGCTAGCCACACTCGTCCATCGAAGCCGGCCAAGCCACCCAGCCAGCAAAGCCACCCGGCCAGCCAGCCAAGCCACCCGGCCAGCCAAGCCATCCAAGCCACCTGGGCAGCCAAACCAGCCAAGCCACCCGGCCAGCCAGCCAGCCAAGCCAGCCAAGTCTGCCAGCCAGCCAAGCCAGCCAAGACAGACAGCCAGCCAAGCCAGCCAAGCCTGCCAGCCAGCCAACCAGCCAAGCCACCCAGCCAGCCAAGCCAGCCAAGCTACCCAGCCAGCCAAGCCATCCAAGCAACCCAGCCAGCCAAGACAGCCAAGTCAGCCAAACCAGCCTGCCAGCCAAGCCAGCCAAGCCATCCAGACTGCCAAGCCAGCCGGCCAGCCAAGTTAGCCAATCCACTCGGCCAGCCAAGCCAGCCAAGCCACCTGGCCAGCCAAGCCAGCCAAGCCACCTGGGCAGCCAGACCAGACAAGCCACCCGGCCAGCCAGCCAGCCAAGCCAGCCAAGCCTGCCAGACAGCAAATCCAGCGAAGCCAGCCAAGCCACCCAGCTAGCCAAGCCAGCCAAGCCACCCAGCCAGCCAAACCAGGCAAGCCAGCCAGCCGGCCAAGCCAGCCAAGCCAGCCTGCCGGCCAAGCCAGCCAAGCCACCCAGCCAGCCAAGCCAGCCATCCAGCCAAGCCAGCCAAGCCAGCCAAGCCAGCCAGCCAGCCATGCAAGCCAAGCCAGCCAGCCAGGCAAACCAGCCATGCCAGCCAAGCCATCCTGCCGGCCAAGCCTTCAGTTTGTTGGAAATGCACTATCTGTGAGGTATGATAAAGCAAAGCACAGTAATACAGGGTACGCCTGCATAAATATACCATTAGTTGAGCTTGGAAGCCGAGAAAACAGCAGGTCTTTACCACGTTATCCCAGGTTCCCCAGGAAAGAGCGTATGTAAGATGGAATTTAAATATTGATCTAGTTGTCTAATCTTGGCCATAGCTTTCGAACCACAGTATAATTATCTAGGTTCAAGAACCATTAACTCTCCCTGATTTCTCAAGGGCAAAGATGTCAATGCCAAGAGAAGATGTTTGTGTTCATTGGTATTTCCAAATATATTACTTTTTCTTTGGGCTTGTTGGCTATAGATAAACCAGCCAATGAATTTTGGGCTAAGAAGTCCAAAACACCCCTATCCCATTAACAGTAACAGCAGCATCAAGAGGCAGCCTGGTATATTGCACTTAGGAAATTTATTGATTCATAGCTGTGTTCTCAGTAAGGTGTTTACCACTACTTTTCGGAAAACGAATTATCTTTTCTGCATGTATATTTTTCTGCATTTAAAAGATACGAGTCTCTTTTTTGAGCAGTTCTCTTTGTAAGGATTGATATTTGATGACTGTATTCTTTCTTAAAAGAAATTTTATTTCAAAGAAAAGAAATTTGCTTATTTTATAGTAGAATAAAACTTCTATTTTTCAGTTACAATTTGTATCTATTGGAAACTTTTGTAAATCTAAGATACGACATGGGATCTTAGTTTTTCTGTATCTTAAATATTTTACTATTTCATCATCCTAGAAATTACTTTATCCATATTCATTATTTCCAACTATGCTAAAAAAGACTAAAATAATATGAAAATATAAAAGAAGGATAGAATAGCCTAGAAGGATAATAAAATAGTGAAGTAAATCATGACGTTACATCATGCTTCAGTTTTCTTATTGCATTGCCCAGTGTCTTGCATCATCTTTCCAGAAGTATAGAAGAAGTCTGCAGACACTGTCTTTGTAATTTTTTTGTTTGGTTGGTTGGTTTCTTTCAGGCTTTCACTGGACACTTGAGAATTCAGAATTTTTCACTTTTCACCTAGAATGATGACAGATGAAAACTGACCAAGGAAGATATTTCACAAGCATTAGACAAATCATAATATGAATGCAGATAGATAGTAGCAGCCTAGAGCAGAGTTTCCCAACCTCAGCACTATTGACATTTTGCGCCAAATAATTCTTTGTTGTAGGAGCCATCCTGTGTGTGCAATCCAGGATGTTTAGCATCCCTGTCCTCTACCCTACTGCAGGCCAGTAGTGCCATCCTGCTAAGTTATGGCTATCAAAAATGTCTCCAGACATTAGCCAAGGTTCCTGGGTGGTCAAGGGGACACAAAATCTCCCTAGTTGAGAACCACTGCTCTAAACTCTAATCATGGTGAAGTTTATTATATAAATGAAATGTCAGATGACAATACCTAAACTGTCTCTCAGTTATCTTAAGTCTTCTCAAACTCAAGATAATGATGAGTAAAGAATATATTTCTAACAACAAAAAGGAAATTTGATAGTATTTCTAAAGACAAAAAGGAAATTTGTATTCACATTCAGTTAGTCATTCCACCAGAATGACTTCATCACACAATATTTTGTGACAAGAACCTGAACAGCCTCATGTTTTACAATATTCTTTTCATCTTTTATTATATGCACCAAAATTTTCTTTTTTAAATTTTCTTGAACCTCTAAATCTACTTTAAAAATTTACCTGATACACTTTTTAAATGGACAAATGCTGAAGGTAGCTGTGTATACAAATGTGACTAGAAGGAAAAAGATGATGTAGAAATACAATAACTCCTTGAGTTGATCATTCTGATTGGCATTTATAGAGTAGAAATGTTTTGTAATTACAGAGGAAAAAAGATGGCCTTTCCTTCAACAGTTATGAGCCGTCAGAATTTTCAAAAATATTGCATTTTGACAATGTAGTTTCTAGTTTGACAATGATATATTTATCTTCAAAACCAGGAAAATGTAGATAAGGATTTGGTTTTATAATATTTAAATTCTTATTAAAATGTATAATAAAATTGTTTTCCCCATCACTTTATTCTTCTGTAAGTTATTTTACGTTTAAAATGTAAACAAATAAAAATAAGTAAATAAACAGTAGCAGCTTCTTTTCCTGGTGAATCGAGGATTGAGTATGTATTATATCTTTCCTGGACTATTGGAATAACCTCTCCCTCCTTCCACAGAGAAGCCATAATAATCTTTATGAAATACAAATCAAATCATGGTATTCATTCTTTAAATAGTTATCAATAAAAATAAAATCCCAACTTTATACCCTGTTCTGCAAATTTTAACGTGGTCTGAATTCAGCTTACATTTCTTCTTTCCCTTGTCTATTGCCCATCAGGCTCACTGGCCTTATTCCTTCACACCAAACTAGTTATTTCCGGGGTGGGAGGAAGGCTTGCAGTGTTTTCTCCATCTGCAATAGTCTTTCCCAAATCTTAGTGTGGATAAAGTTTCCTTCTTGTTACTTGAATCACAAATACTATGTTCTTAGTCATTCTCTGTTACATCATCCAGAGTACATTATATCAATTTTCCAATATTTTTATTTATTTGATTTCCCACTATAACAGAGGCTCTGTTAGTGCAGGGTCTTTTACTCTTTTGTAATCCCAACAGCAAGAACAAAACAAGGTACATAGTACATATTTAATAAATACCTGTTGAACAAATATGTGCCAGTAATATTTCTTCATGCTGCTGAATAAGTTAACAGCATATAAACACATACAAACCAAGTGGCATGGATGTCTGCTTTGATTTTTAGCCATTTAAAAATATACGTAACCCATCCTAAGGGGTTTATATTTGTTTTGCATAATACATTAATATGTACTCATTATTCATTACACAGTTAATATATCTATATTTGCAGGGAATATACATTGCTTGGAATTATACAAAAAAATATTATTTTTCGTTTTCTAATATTCAGGATACAGTGTTTTAATGGGGGTGTTTCTTCATTCTTTTTTTCTTACTGGTTTTTACTTTTTAAATTTGAAAGCCTTGCAGTGATCATAAGGATCTGTTCAGGCAAAGAACATGAAAGAGTTTAAATTTTTATCATTTTAGTGTTTCTTATTCTCTATATCAAAAACATTCACAGGTAAGTTAACAAGATCCTCATCAGGAGGAAAAGTAAATTGTTCACTACCATCCTCTAGTATCCTAATCTGGTCTTGTTGTTGGCTAACTTCAGCAGTTACTATTCTGTGATTGGTGTAATATTAACCAAATAAATTACTGGATTTGTTCCACAAATATTATATCTTAGATTGGTTCTTTCCTGTCTCTGAAAATAAAGTCTTGCAATGAGAATAAATTATTTTACAACAGTTAATTAGCAATGTAAAGTTTATTGAAAATGTATTTGCTTTTTTTGTAAATCATCTGTGAATCCAGAGGGGAAAAATATGACAAAGAAAGCTATATAAGATATTATTTTATTTTACAGAGTAACAGACTAGCTAGAGACAATGAATTAAGGGAAAATGACAAAGAACAGCTCAAAGCAATTTCTACACGAGATCCTCTCTCTGAAATCACTGCGCAGGAGAAAGATTTTCTATGGACCACAGGTAAGTGCTAAAATGGAGATTCTCTGTTTCTTTTTCTTTATTACAGAAAAAATAACTGACTTTGGCTGATCTCAGCATGTTTTTACCATACCTATTAGAATAAATGAAGCAGAATTTACATGATTTTTAAACTATAAACATTGCCTTTTTAAAAACAATGGCTGTAAATTGATATTTGTAGAAAATCATACTACATTTGTAGTTGGCACATTAAATGCTTTTTCTTACTCTGAATTCCTGATATGACTTTCTTTAGGATTGTTTAAAATATTCTAGTAGTTTTAGGTCAATTTAGATGTGATTTAGTTGCTCTAGATATTATAATTTTTAGGGGTTCCCTTTCATTTTTTTCTTACGTTTCTTCAAATAGTATAATGCCTTATTTTCATTTATGAAGAAATTACCCTGCTGTTGGTGATACGGGTATATTTAAATAAACCAGTTGCAGTGCATTTTTGCAGAAAGTCCATTAAGACATAAATTTTGTCCAGTAACCACAGTAGAAGTGGTGACTCTATGATTCATTCATGTTGCATAAGTAGGTGAAAAATATGAGCTATATTCTGTCTGTTAAATGGAATTCTAGAGATGAAGTAGCCCAGGTAAATGTATGTTTGAGATTACTAGATAACTGTTGTACAAATTGGTATGTCACTTAAATTGTTTTCTCTCAGAAAGTCCACATAAATAAATGAAATAGACTAATAATAGTAATATGGTGTAGAAAAAACTCCCTTAACATTATTTCCATAGATAAAACTAATTAGAACTGTAAATTCTAAGGAGATTATTTATCTAAACTAATTTTAAAATCAGAAGTTAAGGCAGTGTTTTAGATGGCTCATTCACAACTATCTTTCCCCTTTAAATATGATTTATTGTCTTTCTCATACACAGATGTATTGCTTGGTAAAAGATTGGCCTCCAATCAAACCTGAACAGGCTATGGAACTTCTGGACTGTAATTACCCAGATCCTATGGTTCGAAGTTTTGCTGTTCAGTGCTTGGAAAAATATTTAACAGATAACAAACTTTCTCAGTATTTAATTCAGCTAGTACAGGTAAAATAATGTAAAATAGTGAATAATGTTTAATTACAATAATAATTTATTTTAGATCCATACAACTTCCTTTTAAAAAACCTACTGCACTAACTAGTTTTATGCTTAAAAAAAATTATTACCAGTAATATCCACTTTCTTTCTGAAAAAATTTTCTTTAGATCGGCCATGCAGAAACTGAACCTGATTTGTTTTTTTTGAATCACCTAGGTCCTAAAATATGAACAATATTTGGATAACTTGCTTGTGAGATTTTTACTGAAGAAAGCATTGACTAATCAAAGGATTGGGCACTTTTTCTTTTGGCATTTAAAGTAAGTCTAATTATTTTCCCATTAAATTCTTAAGGTACATATTACTTGCTTTCTTAATAGATTTATAAATATGTATTACTTATATACTTTTGTTTATGTTTGGCTGGAAGAGTTTTCCATACTAAAACTATTTTGTACCAGTGATGAGCTTCTCAACTTTTGCTCTTTGAAATTTAAAAAGTAATAAATTCAAAACTAAATTTCAGTCATGAATGAGAGCTTAAATATTTTTAAAGATTTTTGTTCTACTTAAGTAAAATTTTCTAGGTCCAGATGAATATTGCTGTAGGTTTCACTGTGTGTATGGATTAAAATATCCCCAAAAAAAGAAAAAAAATGTTTTACCTTGAGATTCAGAACAATAATGTCAAACTCCCGTGGTTCTTACTGAAAAACAAGCTAATTAAGAATAAAAAATGTTTTGTAGAATGTGATATATGCAGTACTCAAAAGTTACAGGTCATAAACCATATAACTTTTCATAAATTTAGAAACAGATTTATATCTAATATGATATTTTAAGTGTTAAAATTTAAAAATGGAACCCAGAAGTTAAGTTGAAAACAAGAAGCGTAGACGTGTGTCAGAAGAGTCAAACAGCATTCACTGAGCGCTTTGTTCCCTCCCTCTTCATTTGATTATTTTTGTGCTCAATTTCCTTTTTTCATGCTTTTATATCTTGTACTGAGATTAGTCAATGAAAACTAGTTGAAATAAACCTAAAAACTAGATGTTTATTTAATCACATATTCAGGAACTACCTGAAACTCATGGTGGTTTTGCTTCTAAATTACAGGTTTTGAATAATGTTATTATTAGTATGATTGTAACATTTATTGGATTTCAAAAATGAGTGTTTAAATTGTTTAGCAAAGATTATTTGTATACTGATTTAAGACTATATATATATTTTTCTAATTTTGCATGATTCTTTTAGATCTGAGATGCACAATAAAACACTTAGCCAGAGGTTTGGCCTGCTTTTGGAGTCCTATTGTCGTGCATGTGGGATGTATTTGAAGCACCTGAATAGGCAAGTCGAGGCAATGGAAAAGCTCATTAACTTAACTGACATTGTCAAACAGGAGAAGAAGGATGAAACACAAAAGTTGTGTGACTCTAGTCTGTGTTTGAGACTCTTTTCACTGCAGTGGGGCAGAGTTGTTTAGAAGCCCAGTGTATATACAGATCATGGTCCTTGGAATCAAGCAGATTAGGATTTGGAACCAAGTTCCACTGCCTCTCATCTGTGTAGTGTTAGACACGTTATGCAGGCTCTCAAGACTCATTTTCTTTGTCTGTAAAATGGGAATAATACCTGCTTCGTAAGGCCATTGTGAGAATTAAATTACATGAGATATGCAAAGAACCTATCACAATCCTTGGAACACAGAAGGTGCCCAATAAATGTTAGATCCCTTTACTTTCCCTTCCTTTCTCTTATTCAGGTCCCTAAGTATTTACAGTGATTATTTCCTTATTCTGTCATTTATTATCTCTCAGTAATGACCCTGAAAATGAGTGGAAAGAAGTTAGTTTTTACATTTCCAAGTTTAAAATGGATTTCGAGTCACTCAGTAAATATATCACACCCTCTAGTCATCTGCTGTCTAGCTTAGTGTAACTAAGAGTAGGAAATACAATGTAAACTTTTTTTTTTGAGACAGGGTCTGGCTCTTTTGCCCGGCCTGGAATGCAGTGGTGCAATTTCGGCTCACTGCAGCCTTGACCTCCTGGGTTCAAGCCATCCTCCCACCTCAGCCTCCTGAGTAGCTAGGACTATAGGAGCATGCCACCACTCCCAGCTAATTTTTGTATTTTTAGTAGAGACAGTGTTCTATTCTGCTTTATATTAAAAGCCCCTTAGAAAATGGGAACCTGGTGAATATATAATGAATTGTAAAATATTTTAATGTGTAACTTTTTCAACTGTGAAACTGACTACTGATTTTTTGATGAAAACAGCTGCTGATAAAGTATTTTGTGTAAAGTGTAGTTCTTATTAATCAGGAAAATGATGACTTGATTAGACTGTATATGCCCTCTTGGATTTTATTTTAAATGGATTGGTGACTTTCACATAGGTAAAACACAGTCCATCTGTATTCTTTTTTCCATCAAAAAGCGAGTGATTTAGAATTATAAAAAAATTTGTGAGCAGCCTATTTGAAAGGCATCATGGAAATTTCACAGCACAATAACATGGATTTGTTTTTTTCTTAATGATGTAAATCCGTTTAATTCATATTTTGATCAATAGCCCATGCTTGCCAACTCTGAAGAAATTTAATTTCCAGCAGTATTTTAAAGCTAGCCTGTTAACTTTTTCTGAATATTTAAAGTTCCTCTTTTTTCTATGTCTGCACAAACTGCAGACCTGGGCTGGACCCACATACTCAAGAGTCCACCTTAAGAAATTATTTTGATGTCCAAGACATCACTAAAATATTTCAGTTTAAAGATAACATGTGGTGTTAATAGATTGTGGTGCTTTTACTATTTAAAGACAACTTTCATACTTCAGATGTTTTTGAGAAGAGGGGAATGTGAGGGGAGGGGGCAGAACAGGGAGGAGTTTGAATGAATTACATTCTTTATATCCATCCTGCTCATTTGGGGCATGTCTTTAAGAGAAGGCTGAAAGTTGTGAGAGTATATTGTATACCGTAAGAGAATCAACTCTTCATCATGGATGGGATTGTGAAGGCTGAACTGTAAAAGTCAGCATTGACAGCATCCTCAATTAATAATTCTTGGTGACAGAATAATACAGCTGGGCTGTTTTATAAATATAAACAATACCATTTTTAATTATTACATTAAAAATTTTAAATATATCTATGTGCCATGGCCTGGGAAGCCTGTTTTCTATTTTCATAAAAATTATTTTTACTGTATGAAAAGATTATGGGGTTTAGCTCAAAATATCTGTGGTCCTGATAAAATTGGATTGGTAACTCTACCTCAGAAGGAAAATGGGAAAAAAAAATAGATGAGTCACAATTCAATACTTCAAGCTCAGAAACTGTGCAGATCACTGAATTTTAGATTTATAAAGTCAGAGTTGGCATGCGTTGTTTTTAATGATATGGAAGACCTTAAGAAAAAAACTTGGCTGAAGTTTAATCGTTGGTCCAGCCATTTGAAAAAGGCAATAGTTCGAGGAGGTTTCCGAATTCGGCATTTGAAATTCATTTTGTTCTCTCTTCTTCATTATTAGTGCATTTGGTGTGTGTATACTTGCACACAATTCTGTTTGTGTACACACTGCTTGCTAAGCCCTAGTCAAGAGGCATCTTTTATAAAAGGTGTAAAGAAATATCAAGGTTCTAAAATTCGGAAGAGTTTAGAATTTATTAGGAGTTTCCCAAGTTGGGATGTTAGTCTTTAAATAAACTTCATGCACCTATTCCACTTAAGGTTTTGCACCTCCTTTTTATTAGTGCAGTGCCATTTCTTCTGCTTGATTTTAGGTATGTTAATATTCCAGCCTTGCTAGTTAGCATAAAGTGACAGGTGTGAGCCATGAGGAAATTTTCTGACTTAATTTTTATACAACTACATATGAGTTTTAGTGGAGAAAAAAAATTAGTCCCTTGTGCATATATAGTAGTTAGGTAAATGATTTTTCTACCAACAGTGTACTCCATTCCTCATGTAGGTAAGTACAGAAAAGGTTTTTAAATGTATTTTGTTAGCCAGTTAAAGTCTATGAATCTATCTGCAACCTTATTTAATCTGTCACTACAATAATTTTGTGGTTATGCTAAGAACCATGTATACTTTTAGGTATTCTTATTTTTGTCAATTTTTCTAGGTTAGCAAGGAGGCAGAAAAGCTTCACTGTTTCATATTAAAATATAATTAGACTAAACTTAATTCTAGTATGAATTTCCAAAATCATTATCTATTTATTTCATTTTTATTTAATTTTGTTTTTAGTTCATTTTTAAAAGTCCCTTGTTCAATTTAATTTATGTTCCTAAGAGTGGTTGGAGAACTTGGCCTTCATCTGATTTCAAAAACATTTTGAGTTTCAAATGAAGTTAATGGTTTCAGTGTGATTCAGTCCTCAGACCTAATTGGGTTGAATAAAATCTAAAAGAATATACCCTTTTGGAGCATAACATTTTAATACCTTGAGGAATGTGGCACTACCAAAAGAAGACTACTAACACGTCAGATGTTCACCTGGAAGCTTTAACAAGAAATTCGAACCACCCTTTTGGCCCCATTAATTGTAGCAAGTTTATTTCTCTATATTTTGTCATTCAGTGAATTGAAGTCCTGTGGTATACTGCATTCATTAGAAGAAAAACGTTTTTAATGTCCTTTTAATGATGGCCCAGAAAGCATTTGACACAGCAAGATGCATGTATTATTATATTGAGAATACAGAATAATAACAGTATCACTAAATTTAAGACCTCTTCCCAGTCTTGCTGTTCCTAGCAAGAAGTTTGGCCCGTGACTGCACTTACTGTTTATGCTCATCAGAAACTGTCAATGTCTGCTTTTCTTTAACTCTGCAGTCTGTAACATCATGCTGTTTATTAAAAAAAAAGAAAAATTACTTTGACTTGTGTCCAAACAATCCTTAGTGTACTACATAAGCAAAAAACTGTGATAATTCTCTTTTGCCATTCCTTTTGAAAAGCAAGCCAGTGTTGCTAAAATCAAAATTTAGCTGAATTTGAGTTCTTTTCAGTAATGACTAAGAATACTTGATTGAAAATCTGAAACTATTATACCTTAAAAGCCAATTTTTCTGCCCCAGTAAAGTGATGAATATTAAAGAAATGTATGTTTAAATATTTACTTCCTTTAAGCATAAAGAATTATATGCTTGTATTTTAAGAAATATATGTATGTATACATACATATGAATGTATGTATATGCAATAGGTAAGTGGACTTTTTTCCAAGTCATTTGAAGATCAGAACCTAGAAATGAAGTTAGGCTACAAGCAAACTGGTTTTGCTTTCAGTTCTCATAAACATTGCAAAAGGTAAGTGTGGGCTTTTCTTTGACCATTAATGCACATAGGCATTAACAACTTAGTATTTCTGAGCAATTAAGCAAATAATTACTTACATTTTATTTATTTGCCAAATGGTTTAAATAATTTTGAATTGACTTTGCTCTCCAGGGATAATATCTCTCTTTGCTGGAATGATTCAGGTAGCTCCTATCTAAATGGAAAACTGTGGTAATTGAAACACACACTTTACATTTTAAATTAGCAGTTTTGAATTTGTTAGGGAAAAAAATCCCAGCAATTGCATATTGTTAGGTAGAAGTCAAATTTACAAAGAAACGGAATAGAGATGTGCCCTTGAGAAAAGTGTAGAATCTCAATGTGCAGATGATTTAAAATGTGCGTGCATATAAAATGTTCATGTGTACTTACATACTTTATTACAGAGAAGTCTTTGGTATACAAAATAGTTTACCACAACCTTTTAAACAGCAGGTTCTGGGCCTTAAATGCGTATCACATTTAGCCAAGAGAACTCGGGTAGGGGCATGGAAAATGAACTGCAGCTCCCTATCCCTAGCCTCTATACCAGCTGTTCAATGAAAAGTACCAAGGCTCACTGAATGTTATAACCTAGCAGATTGTTACATAAATGATCTAACATTTTTGAGCACCGCTACTGGATGCTAGAAGCTAAGCTAAAGTGTTTCACATGCCCTACTTTGCTTATTCTATAAAATAACTGCGTGAAAGAACAGGTTATCCCCATTTTATAGATGAGAAAAGAAAGGTTTACACAGGTTAGCTTATTTGCCCAAAGTTGTGATTATGGCCTACAAAGTCAAATAAATCCTACTCTGAGACACATGTTCTTTCCACCATTGCACACTAGAAAGGAAAACACCAAGATTATTCATTACTGATCAAGTCAATATTGCTGTATTCAGCTAATTTAGTAATATGTGTCTTGAAATTAATTGCTAAAAGGGATTAAACTGACTTAGAATCAGTTTTTTGTTTGATTACATCTACATACAAAAGTAGCTTCAAATGTCTCATTCTACTGTCCATAATTTAAGATTTTTGAGTATAATACAATTTTAAAGATACTTTGAGGCACTTTGGAAAATCAGACCAAAATCTCTTTTCCACTCACAGATTCGGCTTAATCAATCTGGAAAGCATTTGTTGAGAGCCTTATGACATCATTTAATAACCACGGTTGATTCATTAATTAAAGTACAGACAATTGTTGACTATCCATGTGGGACTTTTCTATTAGGTTGACGCAAAAATAATTGCGGTTTTTCGCCATTAAAGGTTAACAGCGAAAACTGGAATTACTTTTGCACCAGCCTAATACGATGTGGATCATCTGAGATGAATGTTGAAATCCAGTATAGCTTCTTCATATTTCTGGCCCATTTTTCCCACCAGAAAGTGCACAAAGTGAAATGAGCTTATGAAAAGCTTAATTAACTAGAAAAATGTTACTGAAAGAAAAATTACATGGTACATGACAAGGCTAAATACTAGTAACTCTAAACTTAGTGAATTTTCTAGGCAGCAGCTTTCCTCTGCTGTCTAGACTGGTAAAGAACAAACTAAGGCCAGGCGCAGTGGCTCATGCCTGTAATCCCAGCACTTTGGGAGGCTGAGGCGGCCAAATCACCTGAGGTCAGGAGTTCAAGACCAGCCTGATCAACATGGTGAAACCCTGTCTACACTAAAAATATAAAAATTAGCTGGGCGTGGTGGTGCACACCTGTAATCCCAGCTACTTAGGAAGCTGAAGCAGGAGAATTGCTTGAACCCAGGAGGCAGAGGTTGCAGTGAGCCAAGATCACGCCACTGTGCTCCAGCCTGGGCTACAAGAGCAAAACTCCATCTCAAAAAGGAAAAAAAAGAAAAAAACTATAATAAATATGTTAGGTCCATGTTTTCTTAAGTTTTCTACCGGATTTTTATCTTCGTATAGTGAACGAACTGTTAAGAACTTTTTTATGAGAAATATTTTAGTATGACTATATTGCATAGAGTTAGGCTGATGGTTCAGTGTTCAGTAGGTTAGATACCCTCATTGTTTATTTCCATATTGACTGGTTCTAGCTAGAGCTGAAATTAGGCAAAGAATATCTTGAACTCATTTTGCTATACAGGAAAAAAGTGCTTCCTTAGCTCATTTGGAAAGAGATTGAGATTAGAAAAGATGGTTAATTTGTATGTATTTATAGAAATAAATAGAATACAAAATGAGGCTTTTAAATTTTTTCCCACATGAAAATATGATACTTTAATCATTACGTTTTACATTGTTAGTTTGCAGACAGGCATAATTAGGTCCTCAGTTGCAGAAATCACAGACATCTGAAGGCCAGCCCTTTAATTTGGCCACCGTCTTAAGATTTCTCTGCTCCTTCCTTTGCTCCTCCTCCTACTGCACAGTTTGAACTGATGCTGTTCTATATAAGGTACTTTTCCACCTACCTCATCTCTGACTACAGTGCTATATTTTTCACACAGTAAGGACAGGTGTTGTGTTAATCTCACCATGCCAACAATCAGGGCACCACCTAGCAGAGTCAGTGAAGGCCAAAATAAACAGTGGAAGATAGCCATTTGGTCATACTTTTTTATAAGAATGACATCTTCAGATTGGCTGGCTGGACTGTAGAAGCATGAAAAGGGGGTTCCATTTTTGTGATCGAAGAATTCTTTTATGTCCAGAGCACTGTTGAGCAAATCATTTCTATCTTGGTGGCACTTAGGTGTGTAAAAGCACTAGGAATATGGAAGAGGGAAAAAGATAAAGGCACTGTCACCAATACCAAATACTTAACAGTTTCTAATTATGAAATAGCTTCAGGCTGAAGTTATTAGTGGGCAGTTTCAATCTTAGAAGGTGGTAAAATATTACATAGCTCATGGGAAAGGGTTGATTGGAGGGCCACAGTGAAATGGCCATTTCCAGTCATTAAGCAAGGATGTGGAAGAGAATTCTTAGTTTATATGACATTGCAGGAGAGTCAGTGACCAATTTCATAAGGAATATGACTCCTCCCTACATGCAGGTTCTTGGACTCTTGGACAGTATGAATCCGTTTGTCCATTGAACAAAAATGTATTGAGCCTTACTATGAGCTTTCAACACCTAGTAATGCCTCTGTGGTCTCTGTCTTGATCTCCTGTAGCAAAATATTACCCTGAAGAAAAGCACGTTGAGGCTTTTGCTCTAGACTCACAGACAGGGAGCCCCACCTGGACTTTGGTTCCTGGGAGACAGAACCAGTGGAGAAGGGAGCTCTGTCAGCTGGTGACTTTTTTCAAAAAAGCTTGAGGTTTATTACCATATCCATTAGGTACTTGAGGTACTGTGCTAAAGGCCTACAAACTGTTTGAAATCTTAAAAATCATTGCATCCAAAATAGAAAACAAAAGTCATCAGATTGAAATTGATGCTTAAAGACAATAAAGTGTAACATGTCAACTAATCTAACACAACTCAACTTTTATAGTTAGGTATAAATATAAATTTTAAATCATATGAAAGACTATACTTTCAGGGATCATTTCTATAATTCGTTAAATCATATGAACCCATTGTGTAACTTATTAAAATAAAAATAATCTTTACATTTATTTGATAAGAAAAAATTACTCGCTTGATTCAAGGGAGACTGTGGTACACTGTAGCATATGTTATATGGCGCGGAGTGGAATCTCCAAAAGAAAGACTCCCCACAAATGACTACTCATTGGCTCAGCCTATAAATTCCAGACACCAAGTTGTGAAATTGGAATAATTTCTCTCCTTTCTATATACCCCATTTCTCCACCAAGAAGAAAGCTTCATTTATCCTGATTTGATCACTATAAAAATGTTCACTCCAAAAAAATAGATTTATCCCTAAAGACAGCCCTGGGTTATTTATGTACCCTGCTAGGGACAGTCTGGCAGGGAAAGGTTGCTGTCATAAGAACTCTTTAAACTTTACAATACCTTGGGATTTATCTGGACAGCCTCTTCATTATAATGTAGGAGAGCTTTCTGAGCTGAATGGGTGAGGTTCACAAACACCCGAAGACACGAGTACTTCCCGTGACCACGGCAGTGCACACCACAGGTGAAGGCACAGTCCAGCCAGTCGTCCATGATATCTGTGTGGATGGCAGTGCAGGTTGATTCTTCTCTCCGAATGCTTCAATTTGAAAAAAAAAAAAATGTTCTTCACTTACTAGAAAATTTCGTTCTACATTTTGGTGCGGTTATGAGCTTATGTACACAATTAGCTGGGATTACAGGCGCTCAGCTGCCATGTCCAGCTAATTTTTGTATTTTTAGTAGAGACAGGGTGTTGGCCAGGCTCGTCTCCAACTCCTGACCTCAAGTGATCCACCCACCTTGGCCTCCCAAAGTGCTGGGATTACAGGCATGAGCCACTGCACCTGGCCCAAATACTATGTTTTATCAATTCTAAAGTGCACTTTAGTATTTACATTTTAATATAACTAAAATCAATATGTATTTTGCAATCAATGGCATCTTGCTATTATTTGAAAACATTTCTTTAATAGTCTGTAAAATAATGGAACATGCCCAGATGCAGTGGCTTATGCCTGTAATCCCAGCACTTTGAAGGGTCAAGATAGGAGGATCGCTTGAGCCCAGGAGCTGGAGACCAGCCTGGCCAATATAGTGACAGAATAAATAAATAAGTAAATAAAATAATGGAAAATCTCACAAATGGTGATGTTTTAGGTTCGACAAAATACATTAACTAGCCCATTTAGTTTTCTGAAATTATTTTGATGTTATTGCTTACAATATTTGTTCTGTGGTACACAACCATAGGATTAATAATATTGATGAAAATAATAAAAGAATAATAAGCATGTATTGAGCTCTTCCTGTGTGAAGTTCTGGACAAATCCTCATAAAGCCTTAAAAGGCAGATACTAGGCTGGGCACGGTGGCTCATGCCTGTAATCCCAGCACTTTGGGAGGCCGAGGCAGGCAGATCACGCGGTCAGGAGATTGAGACCATCCTGGCTAACATGATGAAACACGGTCTCTACTAAAAATACAAAAAATTAGCCAGGCATGGTGGCACGTGCCTGTAGTCCCAGCTACTCGGGAGGCTGAGGCAGGAAAATCGCTTGAACCTGGGAGGCTGAGGTTGCAGTGAGCCAAGATCGCACCACTGCTCTCCAGCCTGGGCGACAGAGCAAGACTCTGTCTTAAAAAAAAAAAAAAAAAAAAGAAAGAAACAGGCAGATACTAGCCCAGGCACGGTGGCTCATGCCTGTAATCCCACACCTTCGAAGGCCCAGGCGGGTGGATTATCTGAGGTCAGGAGTTTGAGACCAGCCTGACCAACATTGTGAAACCCTGTCTCTACTAAAAATACAAAAATATTAGCCAGGTGTGGTGACAGGTGCCTGTAATTCCAGCTACTCAGGAGGCTAAGGCAGGAGAATCGCTTGAACCCGGGAGGCGGAGGTTGCAGTGAGCTGAGATTGTGCCACTTTACTCCAGCCTAGGTGACAGAGGAAGACTCTGTCTCAAAAAAAACAAACAAACAACAACAACAACATCAAAAAGAAACCTATAGTAATAAAATTGAAATAGAAGGAGGTTTGCAATCAAAATGACTGACTAGGAATGAAATAGGAAACATAATATTTTGCATCTGCATAGGGAAGTCTGAGATTGGCTGATCTTGTTCTCTTCTGTAGGGGAAATACTAGTCCAGAACTTGGGGTGCCTGCCAAGAGGGGAGCAGCCACAGTAGGAAAGGGGGACTCTGGAATGCTAGGGTTCTGGGGTCTGTGGACACAGGAGGCAGAGGACATGTGTTAAGATGTTTTAAGAAATGAATGTTGAACTGGATATGAAAATATTTTTCAGCCGGGCGCAGTGGCTCACGTCTGTAATCCCAGTACTTTGGGAGGCTGAGGCGGGTGGATCATGAGGTCAGGAGATCGAGACCATCCTGGCTAACACGGTGAAACCCCGTCCGTCTCTACTGAAAATACAAAAAGTTAGCCAGGCGTGGTGGCGGAGGCCTGTAATCCCAGTTACTCTGGCGGCTGAAGCAGGAGAATGGCGTGAACCTGGGAGACGGAGCTTGCAGTGAGCCGAGATTGCACCAGTGCACTCTAGCCTGGGCGACAGAGGGAGACTCCATCTAAAAAAAAAAAAAAAAGAAAGAAAATATTTTTCACTATAGAGAGGCATATGTCCCCTGAACTTGCCGGGATCCACCTTTCCTGCTGGTGCATTCTGTGAGTTAGAAGAAAACTTCCAAAGAGCCATTTTTTCCACCCTGTCTACTGTATAAAATTGCTTCTCAAACATGTGCTGCATTGCAGAGGATTACCATTGTTTTGCTAACCAGCGTCTGGTCTTTCTTATGTGGCGCTGCAATTACTAGTGTCAAACCCTGTTGGTAATACCCAGAGGACGGTGTCTGAAGTCTTTACTCAATATTCACATTTGGCCGGGTGTGGTGGCTCACACCTGTAATCCCAGCACTTTCGGAAGCAGAGGCAGGCGGATCACTTGAGGTCAGGAGTTCAAGACCAGCCTGGCCAACATGGTGAAACTCCATCTCTACTAAAAATACAAAAATTAGCCGGGTATGGTGGCGGGTGCCTGTAATCTCAGCTACTAGGGAGGCTGAGACAGGAGAATCACTTGAACCCAGGAGGTGGAGGTTACAGTGAGCCAAGATTGTGCCACTGTACTCCAGCCTGGGGGAAAATTCACATTTGTAGAGAGTTTAAATTCTTTTTTGATACGGAGTCTCGCTCTGTTGCCCGGGCTGGAGTGCAGTGGCAGGGTCTTGACTCACTACAACCTCTGCCTCCCAGGCTCAAGGGATTCTCCTGCTTTAGCCTCCTGAGTAGTTGGGATTACAGGCACCCACCAAAACACCTGGGCAATTTTTGTATTTTTATTAGAGACAGGGTTTCACCATGTTGTCCAGGCTGATCTGAAACTCCTGACCTCAGGTGATCTGCCTGCCCTGGCCTCCCAAAGTGCTGGGATTACAGGCATGAGCCACCACGCCCGGCCGAGAGTTTAAATTCTTAAGTCCTACACTCCAATGTGTGGGAAGTATTCGTGCTATGCTTTTATAACTAAATCATCTCAGTATTTCTATTTCTAGCCCCCTTTTTCTGCCTGATGGTAAGATACTTAATCTAGTCAATTCCAGGTAAACTTTGGCCTTTTATGATTTTTCCTGATCAGGCCAAACCTCAACCAAGTCCCTTCTTGATCTTCTCCTTCACCTCCTTCTCTCATTCACCCGACAATTAGCCTCCAGTCCACGGGCTGATGCAGCATCTTGGTGTCCTGTGGTCTGAGGTCATTTTCTGTCTTTCTCAAGCCTCAGCTAAAGTTTACAATCCTACCTTTTCTCATGACCTTGAAATGCCCTAAGGTTCAGGGGCTTCATGGTTGCTGCTTCATGGGGGAACCTGGCTGTTCTCTGAGGCTGCTCGGCCGCGAACACCCCATCAACTACCCGGGGCCCATCTACGCCCGAGGCCTCAGCCATTCCTGCTCTACAGCTCTGCTGTCCCATTGGCACAGGGAACTTCTTGGGGCCCCAGGGTTCCAGATTGGAAGCAGAGAATCTCCTCTGTTCTCAGACCCCCAAACTTTGTTGTGGATTCTAATTGTCCTTTCCCCCATCTCACTCCTTGGAACCCACTGGGAGGTGAGTAGAATCCCTGTCAGAGATTCTACCACCATCTCCCTCATTCTTACCCTAACTTTCTTCCTCTTCCTCCCTAGTTAGGAAAGAGGATCTTTAGCCTGCGGCGGGGGGGTGGGGGTGGGGATGCTTGATGTTTCAGGGGAAAAGGTGACTCAGCTACTTTTGGAATATCTGTCATACCTGTCTACTGGTGCAATGAGCTGGGATCACACCACTACACTCCAGCCTGGGTGACAGAGCAAGATTCCATCTCAAAAATAAATAAATAAATAAATAAAGACTCTGGAGAAACAACTCAATACACATGAGAAGAGGCTGGCCCATGTAGGGAAAGGACTGGCAAACTATGACAACTCTTTTCTGTTGTTTTGTTTTCAATAGTCTCTTCACAGTTCTTTTCACAGTTTGGAATTGATACCTTTTTCTCTTCATCAGAACTCCAATGTTTTTGTAGATTGAAGTCTTTTTTTTTTTTTTTCTTGAGAAAGGGTCTCACTTTGTCACCCAGGCTGGAGTGCAGTGGACCAATCACTGCTCACTGCAGCCTCGACTTCCTGGGCTCAAGAAATCCTTCCACCTCAGCCCCCCAGTAGCTAGGACTACAGGTGTTCACCACCATGCCCAGTTAATTTTTATTTTTTAATGTATTATTATTATTATTATTATTATTATTATTATTATTATTATTATTTTGAGATGGAGTCTTGCTCTGTTGCCCAGGCTGGAGTGCAGCGGCACCATCTCGGCTCACTGCAACCTCTGCCTCCTGGGTTCAAGAGATTCTCTTGCCTCAGCCTTCCAAGTAAGTGGGACTACAGGTGCATGCCCCCACACCTGGGTAATTTATTTTTTTGTAGAAAAGGGGTATCAGTGTGCTGTCCAGGCTGGTCTCAAACTCCTAACCTCGAGTGATCTGCCTGCCTTGGCCTTCCAAACTACTGGGATTAGAGGTAATGAGTCACCATGACTGGCCTACGTATAGCCCAAATGGATGAGCAGTTCCCAAGGCTCATTCCCAGCCTCCACTATCCAAGTCAGCCTCTCATCTCCTTCATTTCCCAGGACTTAGTTCTCATTTTCCTCCCCTGTTTTCTCCGGATTGTGGCTATTGTTCCCTGGTTGCTAGATCAACCTGGAGCACAGTAAAGCAGTGTCACAAAGCTGGAAGGGGTCTGGGATGAGTCCACCAGCTACAAGTTCTTATAGAAAACGTACTCCGGGGATGGCCGGGCCCAGTGGCTCATGCCTGTAATCCCAGCACTTTGGGAGGCCGAGGCGGGCGGATCCCCTGAGGTTGGGAGTTCGAGACCAGCCTGACCAACATGGAGAAACCCCGTCTCTACTAAAAATACAAAATTAGCTGGGTGTGGTGGCACATGCCTGTAATCCCAGCTACTAGGGAGGCTGAGGCAGGGGAATCGCTTGAACCTGGGAGGCGGAGGTTGCGGTGAGCCAAGATTATGCCATTGCACTCCAGCCTGGGCAACAAGAGTGAAACTCCATCTCAAAAAAAAAAAAAAAAAAGAAAATGTACTCCAGGAATTGTCATTTCTGAAATTCAACAGCTTCTGGAATTGAAGCAAACAGCTCATCTTGGAAGAGAAATATGTAGCCAACTCCAAAGCCAAAGCCTTTGAGTATTGAGACCTAGCATGCTAGGAGACCTTGATCCTGTAACCTCAGAAGAAGAATCTGGATCTGGCCAAATTGAGGTCAAATTCTGCTCAACTTCTCCATAGTCAGTAGGAGAAAAAAACCAACTTGATGTTTGAGTCATATGTTTTGACAACTAAAGAGGACACTTATGCTGGGGTCGGTGGTTCATGCCTGTAATCCCAGCACTTTGGGAGGTCGAGGCGGGTGAATCATTTGAGGTCAGGGGTTCGAGACCAGCCTGGCCAACATGGTGAAACCCCGTCTCTACAAAAAATTCAAAAAAATTGGCTGGGGGCAGTGGCTCATGCCTGTAATCCCAGCACTTTGGGAGGCTGAGATGGGTGGATCACGAGGTCAGGAGTTCAAGACCAGCCTGGCCATTATGGTGAGACCCTGTCTCTACTAAAAATACAAAAATGATCCGGGCATGGTGGCGCACGCCTGTGGTCCCAGCTACTCAGGAGGCTGAGACAGAAGAATCTCTTGAACCTGGGAGGTGGAGGTTGCAGTGAGCCGAGATCACGCCACTGCACTCCAGGCTGGGTGACAGAGTGAGATGTCATCTCAAAAAATAAATAAATAAATAAATAAAATTAGTCTGACTTAGTGGCGGGCCCCTGTAATCCCAGCTACTGGGAGGCTGAGGCAGGAGAATCACTTGAACCCGGGAGGTGGATGCAGTGAGCCAAGATCATGCCACTGCACTCTAGCCTGGGCGAGTGAGACTCCATCTCAAAAAAAAAAAAAAAAAAAAAAGACACTTAAAGATGACATTAAAGAGGATACTTAGATTCTAGACAAAATCAAGATATAGCAAATTGGGGTGGGACACACCTGTAATCTCAGCATTTGGGGAGGCCGAGGCAGGTGGATCACCTGAGGTCCAAAGTTTGAGACCACCCTGACCAACATGGCGAAACCCCGTCTCTACTAAAAATACAAAAATTAGCCAGGCATGGTGGTGGACACCTGTAGTCCCAGCTACTCAGGAGGCTGAGGCAGGAGAATCATTTGAGCCCAGGAGGCAGAGGTTGCAGTGAGCTGAGACTGCACTGCTGCACTGGTGCCTGGGCCACACCAGTCACTATGCCTGGGTGACAGAGCAAGACTCTGTCTCAAAATAAATAAATAAATAAATAAAATTTTGTTTTGCTGTGTTGCGGCTAATATGCGTGCTATAAGACAATGGTTTCTTGAGTCTCATTCTCTCTGCATATGCCTAAAGCTTTTTTATTTTTATGATTCTAAAAGATTGTACCTTCTCATCTCCTAGATTCTGTCCCATAGGTTCTGATTTTTCCTAGAGTAACTTGGAAGTTAAAAAAGTGGAAAAAGCTTTGCGTATTAGGTGCCAAACCCACTCAGCTCTGCTCAAACCCCTTCTTTAATGCCCAAGGTTGTCCAATCCTAGCCCTTCCCCCTACCCTCAGCTTTCTCCTCACCTACACAGCAACCTTAGTATAGTCCTAAAGTATGTGTTCTTATCTTCTGTTATCTATGCCAAGGATGTTTGCTGGTTTTGTTTTGTTTTGTTGAGACAGGGTCTTGCTCTGTCTCTTAGGCTGGAGTGCAGTGGCACAATCACAGCTCACTGCAACCTCGATCTCCTGGGCTTAAGTGATCCCCCCACTCAGCCTCCTGAGTAGCTGGGACTACAGGTATGCATCACCACGCCTGGCTAATTTTTTTTTTTTTTTTTTTTTTTGAGGCAGAGTTTTGCTCTTGTTGCCCAGGCTGGGGTACAATAGTGTCATCTCAGCTCACCACAACCTCTGCCTCCCAGGTTCAAGCAATTCTCCTGCCTCAGCCTCTCAAATAGCTGGGATTACAGGCATGTGCCATCACATCCGGCTACTGTTTTGTATTTTTAGTAGAGATGGGGTTTCTCCACGTTGGCCAGGCTGGTCTTGAACTCCTGACCTCAGCTGATCCACCCACCTTGGGCTCCCAAAGTGCTGGGATTAAAGGCTTGAGCCACCATGCCCGGCCCATGCCTGGCTAATTTTTTTTAATTTTTATTTTTGTAGAGATAGGGTCTCACTATGTTGTCCAGGCTAGTCTTGAACTCCTGGACTCAAGCGATCTTCCTGTCTCAGCCTCCCAAAGTGCAGGAATTATAGGCATGAGCCACTTTGCCAGGCAAGGATTTTTTTCTTTTTAAGTTACATTTCTGCCTGCCACCACAGCAGCTCTTTCTCCTGCTCTCTCTCTCTCTCTGTGCTTTAAGATGATAGTCCCTTCTTTTTTTTCAAATAACCACAACAGGAAGGACTGACCACTCTTGTAAGCTGCAACTGATGTTTTCAGACTCCTAAAGTGACATCTAGACATAAGTCCATATATGTCAGAATATCATGCAGGGAATGCTCAAATAGTTGGGAAGAGATTGCTGCACTGTGTTTTGCACGCCCAAAGCCCACATAGGTACTCAGTTTAAAAATCTTAATAGAATTGAATCCTGCTCTTATCATAGGAAAGGAAGAGCATCTGATAGAAACACAAAATGAAAAGGTCAAGAACTGGCTGGGCACAGTGGCTCTCGCCTGTAATCCCAGCACTTTGGGAGGCTGAGGCGGGAGGATCATGAGGTCAGGAGTTCGAGACCAGCCTGGTCAATATGGTGAAACCCCGTCTCTACTAAAAATACAAAAAATAGCTGGGCGTGGTGGCGCGCACCTGTAGTCCCAGCTATTCAGGAGGCTGAGGCAGGAAAATCGCTTGAACCTGGGAGGCGGAGGTTGCAGTGAGCCAAGATCACGCCACTGCACACCAGCCTGGGCAACAGAGCAAGACTCCGTCTCTCAAAAAAAAAAAACAAAAAAAGTCGAGAACTGGAAAGGAACTAAGCGCATGAAAAGAAATTTTATGTTCCTTCATGTTTTTATTTAAAGAAAGTGAATCAAGTACCAAACACGGAATAAAGGCAAACATTCATTTTTGGGGTGATTGTTCCCTTCTTGGCAATCCCTGTTTTATTGAGGGTATCACTAGTTATTCAATCCAAGGATTTTTTTTGTTTCCACAGGAGGTGGGTGTTTCTTTGTCTTCTTAGAGTCAGGATTCCAGATCTCCTGATGTGTGGGACTTTTCTTGGCCACTACGATTTCATCTACAGTCACGAGCTGTAGCACCACCTCAGCCACTGCTCGAAATCCTTGGGCTTTGACTATTAGGGTGTCCCACACCCCTTCCTGGGCCACATTTATTATCCCTTCAGTTCCCACACCCATTAGGAGGTTCCCACCTTGGTGCACTCCACTCATTTCTGCCATCACGTCTGAGACAGCTAAGCCTGCATTCTCTGCCAAAGTTTTAGGAAGATACTTCAGGGCCCAGGCAAATGCTAGGAATGCAGGCCCACTGGGCCCTTCCAATCTGCTTCCTTTATCAGAAAGCATTTTTGCCAAAGCCATTTCTGTGGCCCCAGCTCCTGGAATCAGTCTGGGATCTTGACATAGCTGGAAATAGGCATCAATGCCGTGGTAGACGGCCTGCTCTGCACTCCGCAGCCCCTGGGTGGTGGCTCCCCTGAGAACCACAGTGAGGGCAGGTGTGCCTGTACATTCCCATTCAAATACCACAGCCAAACCATCTCCCAGCTCCTGCCTGTAAACCCTCTGGCACTTGCCTGGCCTCTGGGGAGGGAGCAGACGAGGCAGCAGAGGTGTGTCCAACACCTCACTCAGGTAAATGATCTCCATCCAAGACCTAGCTTGAATCACCACGATGCCATACTTGTCCGCCAGTGTGAGGGTCTCCTCGTCGACCTCCCCCAACACCACTGCCACATTAATTCCTGCAGCTGCTAGCTGGCCTACTTGCTTTTCTAGTAATTGATCGCTTCCTTTACTAAATTGAGCTAGATCAGCAGGACTAGAAAGACGGGCCGTTGCTGGTGCATTTGGATGGGCAGGACCAAAGGGGCAAGCAAAGAGAGCCACCCTGGCACCACTTAACACTGTGGCCATTTGCCCACAGAGCTTCCCAGATATTGCTAACCCCGGGAGGAGGCAGGAATCCTCCAGTGTCCCCCCGGGCAGCGCGCACACCCCAACACGCTCAGGCTTGAAGCTGCCGTCTAGTTCCTTGATAGCCCAGCAGGCGTGGGCCACCAGCTTGGTCAAGTGGTCCATGGGGGACAGGGTGTGGGTATTCATCACAGAATGGAGGGCCCAGGATGGATCTTCCAAAGGCCCCAGAGATTGGATGGCCAGGGAGGGCAGTGTGGCCAGGACCTCTGCAGTGGCCGTGGCGTAGGCCTCCCGGAGCTGCGGGCGAGGCAGGCCAGCCTTCAGCAGCTGCTCTGCCTGTTCCAGCAAGGCTTCCGTCAGCAGAACCACGAAGGCTGTGCCGTCCCCACTATTCTCTGCCTGGGTTTGTCCTGCTTCCCGGAGGAGCCATGCTGCTGGGTGCTCCAGCTCCAGGGCCCTGAGGATGGCAGTGGCACACCCCGTGCACACTGTTTCTCCTTTCATGGTCACCAGGAACTTCTGCCGGCCGTGGGGGCCATAGCAAGGCCGGATGACACTGGCCAGGGTCTGGACTGCAGCCAAGCTGCTCAGCAGGTGGGGCTCCTCCTCTTCTGGACTCCTCGGGCTCTCCCTTGGGTTCAGTGCCAGCCGCTGGGGCAGCTCCAGGGCTGAAGGGACTGTGCTGTCCATGGCCCGCAGAGAGAGGAGAGGCCACCGTGGGTTGCAGAGATGCTCTAGAAACAGCAGCTGGGGCACTCCTGACACCGATCGTTGAAAGTACTCAAGAGGTCAGTGGAAGCAAGGAGCCAAATGCCCATTGATTGGTATCTGAAGACATCAGCACGGACCAGCACTCCACTGTGGGTCCAAGGATGAGCTCCAAAGAGCCCAGTCCTAAAGCCACCCCAGGGTTGATTCTGTAAAGGAACTGGGTCTTGGGGCCTCTCAACCTTGGTGGCTGAAATGGGATCTTTAACTGATGAAGTCACAAAGTGGAAAATGGAACCAGGATAGAGAATGAGGTCACAGAAGGCTGGTTAGAACTGAGGAGGCCCTACCAGCAGGCAAAAGTCAGGCCTTGTCCAGCAATGGAGGTACATGCACCTCTGCACCAGGTTTGAGACTTGTTTAAACGTAAGAGACAATGAGGAGGAGATCAAGTGAAAAACTACCCATTTCACCCTATCTGGAGTGCAGGGGCATAACCATGGTTCACTGCAGGCCCAGCTCCCTGGTCTCAAGCAGTCCTCCTGCTCAGGTTCCCAAGTACCTGGGACTACAGGCACACACCACCACACCTAGCTAGTTTTTTTATTTTTTGTAGAGACAGTGTTTCTGTCTGTTGTCCAGGCAGGTCTCGAATTCCTAGCCTCAAGAGAGCCTTCCACCTTGGCCTCCCAAAGTGCTAGGACTACAGGTGTGAGCCACCACCTCACCCACCCTTTTTTTTTTTTTTTTTTTGAGACAGAGTCACACTCTGTTGCCCAGGCTGGAGTGCAGTGGTACAATCTTAGCTCACTGCAACCTCCACCTCCCAGGTTCAAGCAGTTCTCCTGCCTCAGCCTCTCAGTAGCTGGGATTACAGGTGCCAGCCACCACGCCCGGCTAATTTTTTATATTTTTAGTAGAGATAGGGGGATTTCACCATGTTGGCCATGGTTGGCCAGGTTAGTCTCAAACTCCTGGCCTCAAGTGATCCGCCCACCTCGGCCTCCAAAAGTGCTGGGATTACAGGTGTGAGCCACTGCACCTGGCCTTTTTTTTTTATTTGAGAAGGAACTGAGAGATGATGTCTGTGTTTTGTTTTGTTTTGGTGTTACTTTCTCTTGCAGTACTGTGTAATATTAGCCATGTTTTGCTGTCTGCCTTTGACTTTTTGGGTATCTTATCAGTTTGTGCTTGTGTATCAGGTTTCTTAGGGTGTCTGTTGGTCTTTCAGGGTGCAGGTGTGGGAGGCTGCACAGCGTGCATGCCTGTGCCACGACTCCCAACTCTGCCTCCCTGGCAGAGGCAGGGCAAGACAAGTGGGGAAGGATGCTGACAGCTCACAGACAAATAGAAGTGAACCCAGAGGGGTGAAAAGCAACCAGCCTCCCAGCGGTCAGGGAGGTAGAAGCCTAAATGGGGTCCTGAGATTTAAATGCGAATCGCCTTCCCATCCTAACCTTCAATGCTTACAATTTAAGTCTCTTTTTTTCATTCTCTCTCCTTTCCTCACTTGTCTCCTCTTTCCTCCTATAGAGCCTACTCGGGTAATGATGCTTCTGCTTTAGTTTAACACATATTTAGTCTGGGCGTGGTGGCTCATGCATGTAATCCCTGCACGTTGGGAGGCTGAGGCGGGAGGATTGCTTAAGCTCAGGAGGTTGAGGCTTCAGTGAGCCATGATTGCACCACTGCATTCCAGCTAGGGCAACAGAGTGAGACTTGTCTCAAAAAAAATAGGGGAAAGGTCATTTGGAATCCTAGTCCAGAGATAACCATTGTTTACAACTTGATGAACATTACTACTTTGCACATATTATATGCATACATAATTATAGATTTACACCATTTTACATAAGATTATGATACATATATGCTATTCTGTGATCATTTCCCCCTCAACATTATCTTGGCTCAGAGAAATGTTTCTTTTTTTGTTTGGACATGGAGTTTCGGAGTTTCGCTCTTGTCGCCCAGGCTGGAGTACAATGGCGCAATCTCGGCTCACCCTCGGCTCACCACAGCCTCTGCCTCCCGGGTTCAAGCAATTCTCTTGCCTCAGCCTCCTGAGTAGCTGGGACTGAGTAGCCATGTGCCACCATGCCCGGCTAATTTTGTGTTTTTAGTAGAGACAGGGTTTCTCCATGTTAGTCAGGCTGGTCTCAAACTCCTGACCTCAGGGGATCCACCCGCCTCGGCCTCCCAAAAGTGCTGGGATTACAGGCGTGTGCCACTGTGCCTGGTCTGTGAGCCACTGTGCCCGGCCTGAGAAATGTTTCTTTTTTTCTTTCTTTTTTTTTTTTTAAGCAGAAACACATTCATTTATTAACCAAAGGGATGATCCTAATGAATCCAACACACTTTGAAATAGCTGCATGTAAAATGTTTGTGATAAAGATAATTGAACACAGTAATGAAAAAAAAAAAAGAAAGAAAGAAACGGTATGGAGATTTGCTCATTGAACTGAGCTTGGTCATTCTCTTAGTTAACTCCTGTCCAAAGTGATGATGGAATCTTTATTGTACTTTTTCATAGATCCGAGTACAGGCGACATGGTTCATGACACAGTCCACCACTAATTTCCCATCTTTCAATGTTCTTGTTATTGTGCTTTCCTTCCCATCCCACTCCTGATGCTGAACCAATGCACCATCTGTAAAGTTGCACACAGTCTGAGTTTTTCTGCCATCAGCTGTGGTTTCTTCAAACTTCTCTCCCAGGGTACAAGAAAACTGTGTTGTTTTCAAAGTGCTCTCAGTTTTTATGGTGAGGTTTTTGCCATCACAAGTGATGATACAATCTGGCTTGGCCATTGCGCCCATTTTTTGCAAAGCTATTTCCTCCTAGCTCCTTCATGTATTCATCAAAGCCTTCGCTGTCCACCAGGCGCCATCTTCCTTCCAGCTGCTGAACTGTGGCCATGGTGGGTGCAGGGGGGCTGGTGTGCAGAGCAGGGTCTGCGTCGGCGTGGCAGCGTGCTGTCGAGAAATGTTTCTAAGGAGATCTTATTTGGTCTGAGAACCATGAATGATTATTTTGAGCACTTTTGATTCTGGAGACTCCATTTGGATCAGGCATGGTCCTCCAAATTCAGGCTTCTGAAAGCCTGTACCTCAGAGTAGGCTTGATGTTCCATAAAAGATGTGGTTATGAGTGCAAAGATGACTTGCCTGTATTGTTATACAAATGTAAAATGTAACAATCAACAAAAATGTAGCAAAGTATGCATGTATACATTTTCTCTAAAGATACAGTTTCTTTTTTGAAAAAATAAACACATTAGGCAGGTGTGATGGCGGGTGCCTGTTATCCCAGCTACTCCGGAGGCTAAGGCACGAGAATCTCTTGAACCTGGGAGGTGGACAAATTGCAGTGAGCCAAGATTGCGCCACTATACTCCAGCCTGGGCAATAGAGCGAGACTCAGTCTCAAAAAATAAATAAATAAATAAATAAATAAATAAATAAATAAAATAAACACTACCGGCCAGTGGCCATGGCTCGAGCCTATAATCCCAGCACTTTGGGAGGCCTGAGCCAGGTGGAGTTCAGGCATTCAAGACCAGCTTGGGCAATATGACAAGACCCCTGTCTCTACTAAAAATACAAAACAATAGCCGGCCGTGGTGGTGTGTGCCTGTAGTCAGCTGCTTGGGAGGCTGAGGTGGGAGGATTGCTTGAGCCCTGAAGGTGGAAGTTGCAGTGAGCTGAGATAGTGCCATTGCACTCCAGCCTGGGTGACAGAGTGAGACCCTGTCTCAAAAAATAAAATAAAATAAACACTCCTATAAAGGATCCTCTTAGCTCTTTTTCTAACACCTAATCTACATTTTCATATTCATTTCAGTTACCCTACAACTGTTCACTGAGCTGCTGTTGAATAGGGGAAATAAGGCAGATAACTACTGCCATCTCCGCTGGAGGGACGATACAGACATTAATCTGGGCACTTTGATTACAGGCAATGAGAGCTGTGAGTGGGGAAAGCACAAGGTTGGCAGAAGCATTTAGGGGGACACAGCCATTCTCACGGAGGGCAGAGGTCTAAAGCAAGAGCTGAATAAAAAGTAGGAACTGGCCTCGTGGAAAGGGGAAGGGTGATGGGACAGCCTGGTGGTTTGTAGCCCACTGGAAGGAGTTCTGAAAACTGGTGGTCAGGTGAGAAGGAAAGCTGGGGAAGAGATGAGCACGTTCGCCAGAGGGTAGCAGGGGCTCTCCGGACCTAGTGAGTCAAGCCAAGGAATTAAGGCTTCAGCCTGCAGGGTGATGAATAGGGCTGTCTATTCCATTTCTTCCTTCTTTCTTTCTTTTCTTTCTTTTTTTGAGACAGCGTCTCACTCTGTCACCCAGGCTGGAGTGCAGTGGCACGATCCTGGCTCACTGCAACCTCTGCCTCCCTGATTCAAGCAATTCTCCTGCTTCAGCCTCCAGAATAGCCGGGATTACGGGTGCCTGCTACCACGCCTGGCTAATTTTGTATTTTTAGTAGAGGCGAGGTTTCACCATGTTGGTCAGGCTGGTCTCGAACTCCTGACCTCAAGTGATCTGCCTACCTCGGCCTCCCAAAGTGCTGGGATTACAGGTGTAAACCACCGTGCCTGGCCTGAAAATTTCTAGTTTATGATACTTGCCAGCAGAATGTGTTCTGTCACCCTCTTCTGAATAGATATGGTTGTCTGCTATGACTTCTCCCACTGCTGCCCTTCCCCCTGAATCCACAGATGCATTTCTTTTAAAACTATGATCTTGTACACAATGGATGTAAATATTTAATCTTTCTATTTGTATGTTTTTCCATGTTTCTTTTCTTTCTTTCTCTTTTTTTTTTTTTTTTTTTTTTTTTTGGAGGTGGTGTCTGCCTCTATTGCCCACAGGCTGGAGTGCACTGGTACAATCTCGGCTCACTGCACCCTCCGCCTCCTAGGTTCAAGGGATTCTGCTGCCTGAGCCTCCTGAGTAGCTGGGACTACAGGTGTGCACCACCACGCCCGGCTAGTTTTTATATTTTTAACAGAGACAGGGTTTCACCATATTGGCCAGGCTGGTCTCGAACTCCTGACCTCGTGATCCTCTCACCTCGTCCTCCCAAAGTGCTGGGATTACAGGCATGAGCCACCGTGCCCGGCCTCCATGTTTATTTTCTAGTTGCTTACTTGTCCTTTTGTGTTTATCCTTGTTAACTACTACTGCCAGGCTTAAAGTATAGACCCCTAGAGGGCAAGATTTGTATCTATATAAAATGTACTGCAAAACATCTACTTAAGCCTCACATTCTTAAACACAAATTACTTTTGAAGATGACTGTTCTGTTTGTTTCCTTCCTGGTTTCTTCCTTTAACTTTTCCACCAAACAGGTACATGATATACTTTACTGAAATAACTTATATAGCAATATGAATTTTTTTTTTGAGGCGGAGTTTCGCTCTTGTTGCCCAGGCTAGAGTGCAATGGCGTGATCTTGGCTCACTGCAACCTCCGCCTCCTGGGTTCAAACAATTCTCCTGTCTCAGCCTCCAGAATAGCGGGGATTACAGGCGCACACCACCATGCCAGGCTAATTTTTGTATTTTTAGTAGAGACGGGGGTTCACCATGTTGGCCACGCTGGTCTCGAACTCCTGACCTCAGGTGATCCGCCTGCCTTGGCCTCCCAAAGTGCTGGGACTACAGGCATGAGCCACCGTGCCCGGCAAATTTGAGGTGGAGGTTGCAGTGAGCTGAGATCGCATCACTGCACTCTAGCCTAGGTGACAGAGCAAGACTGTCTCCCACTTCAGCCTCCCAAGTAGCTGGGACTACAAGCATGTGCCACCAGACCTGGTTAATTTTTTTTTTTTTTTTTTTTGAGACGGAGTCTCGCTCCATCACCCAGGCTGGAGTGCAGTGGCGCGATCTCAGCTCACTGCAAGCTCCCCCTCCCGGGTACACGCCACTCTCCTGCCTCAGCCTCCCGAGTAGCTGGGACTACAGGCACCTGCCAGCACGCCCGGCTAACTTTTTGCATTTTTAGTAGAGACAGGGTTTCACCGTGTTAGCCAGGATGGTCTCGATCTCCTGACCTCATGATCCACCTGCCTTGGCCTCTCAAAGTGCTGGGATTATAGGCGTGAGCCACCGCGCCCAGCCAGGCCTGGTTAATTTTCTTTGGTATTTTTTTGTAGAGACGGAGGTCTCACTATGTTGCCCAGGCTGGTCTCGAACTCCTGAGCTCAAGTGATCCACCTGCCTTGGCCTTCCAAAGTGCTAGGATTACAGGCATGAGCCACGGTGCCCAGCCTACAGTGCAACTTTAATAATAACAATATGAACACAAAAATTCTAAGATCTAAAATTTAAGCTTTCAGTAGTCCTTCTATAACTGTGAAAGTTTGGTTCCTAAAAAGCCCTGAGGAATTTATGGGAAAACAAGAGAGACAACATTTAGTAGTGAACCTGTGCATTCTAAATAAAGACAATATCAATGACGTGTTATAGGTCTTCAATTAGTAAGAATGAATATTGGACTATGAATTTTTATTCACTGTCACTTGTTTGCTAGATGCTTTGAGAATCTTCCTTGCCTATATTTTCCTGAGATGTTGGTTTTTCTTTGTCACAGATAACAATGCTCATTCCCTCCCCATTAAAAACTAAATATATATATATATATATATATGATTAAACGATTACTACATGTGCTTTGAAATATTCAAATATTTTAGACAGTAAAAGTCCCTTGTAATTCAACCCTTTGCAGATGATTGGTTAACAGGTTAGTACACATCTACCTAAATTTAAAATCCCATATTTAACATGTATACTTATTAGAAAGTACACATTCTAATATTTTTCTATTGTATTTGGTACTATTTTCAGATGCTCCTGCCTTTTTCTTTCGTAATTTTGAAGGACCTCAGCTCCCTGCCTCCTAGATTTTTGCTACTATGGTCTCAGAGCTGTGTAATTTGGATGACTGAGATGGAAAAACCTCTGGAAAACCTTTATTTATGTTGAATAAGTATTCCTTGAATCCTTCCTCAGCATCCTGGGTTATATTTGATTTGCTCTGCTCATGATAACTTCATGCCAAGGAGACTGCTATCAGTTCTCTTAAAACAGATCCCAACTCCCTGCTCATAGTGGCCAAAGGAATGGAGATTTCAGGCTGAGTTTACTTACGTGCATCATCTTCATCTATCCAGAAGCATCCCTGCACAAAACCTCTGTTTCTACCCTTCCATTCACTCGGCTCACTTTTCTGCTCTTAGTACCCTTTGTTTCTTGTGAACTCTCCAGCAGGAGTGACTTGCAATTTGTATCCACTGACACTTAAGTTCTCGGAAGTGCTGGAGAAGTGTATGGAAGTAAATTATCCTGATGTATAATTTTGTGCATGTGAAACTCACCGTGGAAGTGCCTATCTAATTTCAGTATGGAACACAGCTAAACATTTGGATCAATAATCCAGTTTTGAAACCACACTTCATTTAAAGTACAATGTGCTGAAAAAAATGAAAAAAGGGTGCTTTCAAATTTGTACTTAGTAAACTTTCACTAGATCACATCATATGTTTATCACTAGTCATGTTGTATTTCTATGTGTAATCGCCAGGCACTTTTAATTTCTAGTTTGCATTTACCATGCCAGCCTCCTCCTCAATCCCAAATTTCCTTTGGTTATAAATTTAGTAAATTTGAAAGAGCCAGCAGGGATTAAACCCTGAAGGTATTCAAATGACTATCTGACGTTATTCCTCATTTCAGCCATTTCGAAAAATTATGCTTTCATTTAGAATAGGCTCTGGGAATCAAAGTGTGTGTATTTTGCCCAAGTAGAAGACACAGTTTAAAGTTAACATCCTAGCTACTAGAAGGGAAAGCAAACAACATCGCTGCAAAAGGAGCCTATTTTTTTTTTACCTTACACTAAAACTACATTGTGAAGATCAAACGAAATCAAGATGAGAGTGTGCCTCTTAACGCCAGGTCCAAAGTAGATGCTTATTAAATGATAGTTTACCCCAATCCTTCACAAATGGTTGATAGGTCTTACTATTTCCCCCCTATTCAAATCTAGAATTTTTTCACTCCCATATACTAATCGATAGTTAATGGAAAGCACAGAATAGATCATCGTCCAAGTGTTAGGTATTAGCCTGAGGAATCCGGAATCCCATATTTGTAACTGTCCTTCTTGAGAAAGTGCATTTTTCAGGCGGATTCTAGCCCCATTTTTCCTTTTACCATTTTTACATGTTATGAGAGGTGGCTTAGAAATACTTCGATTTTTGCCTCTTCATCACAACACACTGAACGTTAAAATCAAGTGGTTGGGTTTTTATTGGCTTATTTTGTCTCTAACCGTTTTATTTCTCGAGCTGTCATCGTTCTTTTCGTCTTACATCCTTATGAACCTTTTCTGGATTAAAAAAATGACGTTATAATAAGGAAACTGTAACTGGCGTTGGATTAGAACGAAGTTGACTCCATTCCTTTTCCTCCCCGTAGTGTGGGCGATACGAGGAAAGACCTCGGCAAGAACCAGCGAAGCCCCGGCTGCCCTCGCCCTGCGGGCGCACACTTGCTCCTCGCGCCGGGCTGCGCCGGGCGCCCGCGCCGCCTCGGCGTGTGTCCGCGGCTCCCTCCCGCCCTCGCCCGCAGTCCCCCGATCCCGATCCCGGATCTCTGGGTCCACAGCTTGGCTCCCTCCCGAGCCGGAGCCGGAGCCGGAGCCGAAGTCGCGGCTGGGCCCGGCCGCCCCGTCACAGGGGGAGGGAACCCATGGGGAGGGGGAGGGGCGGTGAGGTCAGCGGCGGCGGCGCGTCCGCGGGCGGCGGGAGCTTCGCATGCGCGGAGCGAGGCCCGTGAGTGGCAGCGGCGGCGCGCGGGGGGCGGGCGAGGGGCCGAGAGTGGGGGAGCGGGCGGGGGCCGTCGAGGAGGCGTTGTGTGGGCGCGACGGCTGCGAGTTGGGGAGGTCTGTGGTGCGGGTCGCCCCGGGGGATCCCCGGCGCGGGCCTCGCGCGACGGCCACGGTCGCGCGGCGTGTGTGGGGGGTCCACGCACACCCGCAAAACTTCCTCCTCCCCTGCTCCGGGAGAGCGAGCGAGCGTGTGTGAGAGCGAGTGTGAGGAGCGAGCCGCGGCCCGACGCCCAGCGCCGCCGCTGGAGCAGCTGTCAAAACTTCGCCGCCGCCCGGGCCCCGCGGCCCGCCCTCCCCGCGCCGGGCCCCTTTCTCTTCCTGCTGCGGGCGGCCCGGGGGAGGGGCCGCGGGCGGAGACCCCGGAGGCCGGCGCCCCTCACGCCGCCCGCCCGCCCGCTCCCCGCCCGGCCCCTGCGCGCGTGCGTGTCCTGCTCGCTCCATGTTGCCGCCTCTCCCGGTACCTGCTGCTGCTCCCGGGGCTTCGGGAAATGCGAGAGTCTGAGCCGGGGAGGAGGAACCCGAGCAGCGGCGGCGGCGGCCGCGGCGGCGGGAGCCCCCCAAGAGGAGGACCGGGATCCATGTGTCTTTCCTGGTGACTAGGATGTCGTCGGAGGAGAACAAGTGCGTGGAGCAGCCGCAGCCACCACCCCCCGAGGAGCCTGGAGCCCCGGCCCCGAGCCCCCCAGCCGCAGACAAAAGACCTCGGGGCCGGCCTCGCAAGGCGCTTCCCCTTTCCAGAGAGCCAGAAAGAAGTAAGTTGAGTGCGAGGGAGCCAGGCCGGGAGCCAGCGGCGGCGCCGGGCCGGAGCTGCCACCGGGCGCCCGCCCCGCGGCCTCCACGCCTTGGCGCCCCCCGGCGGGATGGGGGCGGGGCGGGCCCGCGGGCGGCGGCAGCTCCCGGCCCCGGCCCCACGCCCCTCGGTAGCCGCCCGCGCCCGGCCTCCCCCGCTCCGCGCCGCCCGCCCGGGCTCCCGTCGGCGCCCGGCTTCGCACACTTTACTTTTCAGTCGGGCCTTTTCAGTGGGTCTTCTCCGCGACTCTTCTTTTGGAGAAATTTCTCGTAGCCGCGTCTTGGCCTAGCTGGATCATTGAGAAAACAAGCCCGGAGCGCGCGCAGGTAGTCCCCGGACGGACTCCGAGCGAACCGCCGAGCCGTGGGCGCTCGGGAAACTCGGAGCTGTCAAAACGCCCGGGCCAGGTGGTCTCGGGGCGCGGGCTGGGGGCGAGAAGAAAGCGGCCGGGCGAGTGCAGCTTTTGTTTGTCAGCGACTCGTTCGTGGAACTTTTCCTGGTCCCAAACCTGTGTTTTCTTCTTTTGATGATATATTAGGAAGCCATTTGGCTTCTTCCTTCCCCCTCCCCCAACACCCAGCACCGCACTCCCGGGCTCCGAAAGCACAAGTCCTGTGGGAACCCCCAGCTTCGGGGAACGGCCTGCCTAAGTTTTGGAGACGTAGCCAGCGTCCCCTCGTAAGGCAGAATACCAAGAGCACTTATTCAGAGAGAGTGCAGATGTAAATGTCGTTTCCCTCGTAAGTCTTAGCTGTAAGGGGCTTGGGAATAGGGTCGCCTGCCTTTGACCGACCGTACTGTAGGGCTGGACACCGGCTTATTAGAGGACCAGAAATGTCTTCTTACAGAACGGTTATTTGACGGCTTTGCTTGTAAATTAAGACACCGTTTTAGTGCCAGCGAGCTGCTCGGCTTCTGTGGCTCTCGCGTGTGCCGTGGAAGAACTGTGAATGTCTTTCGAAGTTGTAGAATGGCGTGTGTGCTTACTCATTTCATGAGATGATATTCTCATTGAACTGTCGGGAGTGGAAGGGTGCGCTGGGACGTGAAGGAAGCCAGCACGTTTATGGATAGGCTGTTTCTTTGGTTCGGGTGCATTCACTTAGTAATAGTGTTGTTTGGTGATTTGTAGTAAAAATAGTAGCGTGAACTGAGGCATAGCAGAGCTGGGTTGTGGGAACCCATTAAGCTCTTGACTTGAATGTGCTCTTTTCTTGCCCCGCTGTCCTTTTACTATGAAAATGATTCAGGGCCTTCAACTTGCCTCCATATTTTATTGCCAGCTCTTACCTAGCTATGATAATCGTGAGGGAGGCAAGTACAGGATGTGTGTACGTTATTACATTAGCTTCTTCGTGATACAAAGTTAGGACTTACTTATGCCACTTGCGTTGTAATACAATGGCAAATATAAAATGCCCTTATTCTATATTAACTGAAATTTGGAGAAGGAAGTGGAGGTTTAAGTAATTTTTAGACGTCTAAGCCACTTTTTTGCATCCTTTAAAGCAACTCAGGACAAGCCATATTGGGGGTTTTACCTTGATTGCCTCCCATTTCACTATTTGCAAAGCATTTCTTCATCTCTTACTGAACATTAATTTGCAATTTTTTTTTTTAATTTGCATTTGAATTCTTACTCCAGAAAGATTAGATCTGTGTTGTCACACCCCACACCCCATACTCCTGTAAGGGCGTGCTTGTGCACGCGCACACGCTCACACGCACGCGCACACTCGCACACACCCTACTTTTGAAATGAGCTCATTTGTATTAGTGCAGCTCCTGAGTGCACTGGACGATTAGGGTATTGCCACTTTATTATTTTAATTCTTAATCTCATATTATGAAGAAATAGGTAGCCTTTGGAGAAGATAAAAAATTTCTGCTGAATAACAGTATAATCTAACTATGAAACATCAAAACTTTTGGAAATATTTAGAACAAATGTAAGTCTGTAGAGAGCTTTTTCTTTTAGATTTGAAAACTAGTACTGCTTTCTTTATAGGAAAGTAAAGTCTACTGGTAAATTTCACGGGTCTAAACTTTTTAGAGCTTTTTTTTGAAATTGTGTCTTTTGAAGGGAGTGGAATCTCCAGTTGTTTTTAGAAACATGTAAATGGAAACTAACATATGAATTGGAAAGCAAAGAGAAAGTTTTTCAATTGTGTATCTCTATACTGTATAAGAATCCATGCAGAAAAGACCCTGTAGTTGGATAGTAAAGACCCTGAAGGTGAAACTTATGTGTAACCAGTGTAAATTAGGTTTGTAACCAGTGAAATTATGTGAAATTGCAAATAATTCACCTGAGAAATGAAAATTAATCTTCTTTGCTAAATGCCATAGAGATATTTTAAGTTGCTAATGTTACTTAGATGTTCATTAACTTAGTGAGTTACATTAAGTAGAGAAGATGCCTTTTTTTTTTTTCTGTACGAAGTCTTGCTCTGTAGCCCAGTGTAGTGGTATGATCTCGGCTCACCACAACCTCCGCCTCCTGTATTCAAGCGACTCTCCTGCCTCAGCCTCCAGAGTAGCTGGGATTACAGGTGTGCACCATCGCACCTAGCTAATTTTTTGTATTTTTAGCAGAGACAGCATTTCACCATGTTGGCCAGGCTGTTCTTGAACCCCCGACCTCAGGTAATCCACCCTCCTTAGCCTCCCAAAGTGCCAGGATTACAGGCGTGAGCCACTGCACCCTGCTGAGAAGATGCCTTTTGACAATGAAGTGGATTTGTATATTTATCTTTGGCTTAAAAAAACATGCACCACCAATTACACTTTCCTCAAGTTTAAATTTTTAATAATTAGGAAAATAAAGCATTTTCTTGTCTTATAGTGTTAGCTAGATTGTTTTTGTGTATTTTGTCATGAATAAAAAGCATAGCTATATAGTTACTGCTTTTACATTAACTATAAATATCTTAAAATTTTACTACCTAAAATCAGGAAACTTGAACTGAAGCTACTAATCTTAGAGTTGGAAAAGTAAATACATAGAGGTTTCCTGTTGTACAAATGTCAAGTGGCACAGTGAAATTTACATTCATTTGAAAGTTTTCCTTAACTGTAAAAAGTATCAAATTACTTGATACTTTGGAGTAGTTCATCATCTTTATCAGAGGCACAGGTCTTAACCATTGGCAAGCCTCTGTCAGAATATGCACATATTAAAGATCTGATTATTTTTGTGTTAATGTTAAAAAATTTTTCTGAAGCTTTTATCTTATTTTTTCCATCCTTACACCGTAAATTCACATTACCAAGTTGGGAAGCCAAAGAAACATTCTACTCTACTATGTTTCTTACCAGTTCATGAAAGTTGATGTTAGAAATGGGTGTGGGTGTGGGGGATGGGGGTGGTTGTACAGAAGCAGCAGGTGGTAGGGATAGGATTTCTGAAGCACTATCCTTGGCCTTTTTTGAGTAAACTCTTTATACCCTGAGCCACTTTCTTTTCAGAGGGCAATTGCTATTATTAGAGAGCCACCTTAAGCATTATTGTTGTAGAAAAATTAGGCACAACCAGTGATTGTCATTACAAGGACCAGCAAAAATGGCTAGGTTGCTACTCTGTATTTGTAACGCCCTTCCCCCAACAAAATTTCTCCTTTTCATATCTGTGAATTAGAAATAAGTGATAGAAAACTGTACTGCATTACAATATATACCATTTAATAAAACAAGTTTATAGTTGAGAGCACTATTCATGCTTTTTGAGATAATGCAAATTTGTAATTTTTATGATAGCAATTCTTAATAATTTATTGTCCAAGAGATTTGATAAAATTTTTGATAGTTATTGGTCTCTGGGACTCAATAGGCACTGAAATGTTTTAATTCAGTTGAAAAGTTGGTTCAGGATTGCTACCCTCTCTTACCTGTTAGGAGGTTGTTGTTTAACCTGACCTGAAATTCCCATGAATAAGAACCTGTTTTTTTTTTTTTTTTCTTTGACAGAGTCTTGCTCTGTCGCCCAGGCTGCAGTGCAGTGGTGCGATCTTGGCTCGCTGCAAGTTCCGCCTCCCAGGTTCAAGCGATTCTCCTGTCTCAGCCTCCCAAGTAGCTGGAGTAGCTGGGACTGCAGGCACGTACCACCATGCCTGACTAATTTTTGTATTTTTAGTAGAGACGGGGTTTCACCGTGTTAGCCAGGATGGTCGCAATCTCTTGACCTCATGATCTGCCTGCCTTGGCCTCCCAAAGTGCTGGGATTACAGGTGTGAGCCACCGCACCTGGCCCAGGGAATTTCTAATATTTGAGAAGATGTTATTTTTAGTCTATTATACAAATTTATATATTGTTTACTAATATATAAATTTACATATTGGTTACTAATATGTAAACACCAATTTACATATTGGTTACTAATATGTAAACTTGATAAACATGGATTTCCATGGAAATTTAAAAGTATCACAACAATTTGTTTTCCCATTCTGAAACTTGTGATTTATTACATTTTCCTACTATTTCAGTTAATTCCATAATGCCAGATTTGTTGTCAATTTGCCGAGTGACAAGCCACACTGCTTCCTCTCATTCCTCTATTCCGCAAAACTGCAAAGTTTCCCAGACCACAGTCAGGTTTCTCTGGGTTGTCCAACTCTGTAAACTTACAGAGTGGTTGTCCAACTCTGTAAACTTACAGAGTGGTTGTCCAACTCTGTAAACTTACAGAGTGGTTGTCCAACTCTGTAAACTTAAGTCACTTTAAGTTTATGACGGAGGGGCTTCGTGAAACTTCATTGACCTTCCAAGGTGAAAATTGGTCAGTTTTCAGTTATAAAGGACATTAAGGATGGGTGTGGTGGCTGATACATGTAATCCCAGCACTTTCGGGAGACTGAGTCAGGAGGATCACTTAATCCTCATTTAAAAGGAGTTTGAGACCAGCCTGGGCAACAAAGTGAGGCCTTGTCTCTACAAAAAAATTAGCTGGGTGTGGTGGTAGGCACTTGTAATCCCAACTACTCTGGAGACTGAGCTGAGAGAAGATTGTGTGAGGCTTGGAGGTTGAGGCTGCAGTGAACGGACATCACACCACTACACTCTAGTCAGGTGACAGAGCAAGACTCTAAATAAATAGGAACATTAGATGGTCTCTCTGCACTCTTGCCTGGTGGGGACGTGTTAGATACCCTCGTTAGGTTGTGATTTAGTTTTTAATCTGTGAGATGTTTGGGTCAAACAATTTTTAGCTGCCATGGAATAAACTTTCCAGTCAGCGTGTGAGTTTGTGTTTGCCTTTACTTTTTTTTTTCTATATTGTTTTGGTCTATTTTTATCTTTTAATTTCAGAAAGCTGATTAATCTCTTCCTTTTCTCTTTAAAAATTTTCTTTATCATGTTTGTGCTACAGTGGTTATTTTGAGAACTTGTTGGCAGGATAAGTTGCAAAAGTTATGAAGTAGAATAGGGATGATTTCTGTTTTTGTTTTTTTTTTTTTCAGACAGAGTCTCACTCTCTTGCCTAGGCTGGAGTGCAGTGGCGTGATCCTGGCTCACTGCAGCCGCCGCCCTCCGGATTCAAGTGATTTGCCTGGCTCAGCCTCCCAAAAAGCTGGGATTACAGGTGCATGCCACCACACCCAGCTAATTTTTGTGTTTTTAGTAGAGATGGGTGTTCACCATGTTGGCCAGGCTGGTCTCAAACTCCTGACCTCAGGTGATCTGCCTGCCTCCGCACTCCCAAAGTGCTGGGATTACAGACGTGAGCCACCATGCCTGGCTGAGATTATTTCTTTTTTTATTATAGCCATTGCTTGTAGATATATGCTGGTGGTTATCTGTAAAAATGTAATAGAAAGGCCGGGCACGGTGGCTCACACCGGTAATCCCAGCACTTTGGGAGGCTGAGGTGGGCGGATCACAAGGTCAGGAGTGGGAGACCAGCCTGGCCAATATGGTGAAACCCCGTCTCTACCAAAAATACAAAAATTAGCTGGGCATAGTGGCGGGCACCTATAGTCCCAGTGACTCGGGAAGCTGAGGCAGGACAATCGCTTGAACCCAGGAGGCAGAGGTTGCAGTGAGCTGAGATCGTGCTATTATTGCACACCAGCCTGGGCGACAGAGTGAGACTCCGTCTCAAAAAGAAAAAAGTAATAGACCAATCTTGAATTTATAATTGGAAGTGTTGATCCCTTTATTTGCAGAATTTATTTATTTGTGACGCAGCTGTTGCTACCTCGCCTTTTCTTTTGTTGAGCTTAATCTCATGTCAAGTCATTCAACCAACTCAAAAGCGATGAAGACATTATTGAATCAACCTGAACTAAATCAGACCTAGGCTTCTTAAAATATACAGCTTAATGCTTCCAAATGATTTAGAAAACTAAAAAACCTAGCTACGCTGTAGGACACACAGTGGCCAATAATACAGGACCCCCAAACTGGCCAGTGGACCACTGCAACCACTATTTACTTCCTCCGTGTTTAGGAATGTTCAACGCTCCAAGCCCCATAGGCTGATTCAAGAAGATAAAGTGAGACTCAAGGAATTTCGAAGTGGAACAATACACCAAAGCCTTAAACCTGAAATGACTCTCCTTTTCTGGGGGGTGAGGGGGAAAGAAAAAGAAAAAGTTTCTAGGGCTCTCGGGGTGGCCTGGATGCCAGGGTCCCAGAAGTGGCCTTTTCTAGCTCCTGTAACTAAACCTGGCGGAAAACTCCCCGCCTGCTCACTCCACCCCCACCCGCCCAAGAATGCGTCTTCCCGTCTTCGGTGGCCCTACCCAGAATCCCAAAATGTGGGTTCCAACCCGGGCCCTGAATGTCTTCTCAAATCCCCGGGACCCAGGTTCCGGTGCGTGCCTTGCGTGCCGGGTCTTGCCCCTCGGGCGGTACCACCCAGGCAGCCCTAAATCCAGCCTCCCGGGCCCCCAGCAGCGCCCTCCGCCCCTCCACTATCCGGTCCGGCTCGAAGTCGGGGCCAAATCCAGAGACAAGAGGGCTGTGCCTGAAACTGAGCAGTTTCACCACTCGGCACTCCTGGCGGAAACTTCCCTTTAAAAAAAAGAAAAGAAAAGAAAAGCAACAGCACTTTTGGGCTAGCATTTCAATCCTTCCTGCCCTTTAGAGTTCCCAGTTCTGCTTCCAGCTGGCTTTGGGTGTTCCACTAGAATTGAGTTGTAAAGATATTCTTTAAGTGTTTATAGAACATTAAGACTTAAAAAAAATCTTTAAAATTAGAGGAGGGAAAAAGCCACCTTATCGCACACATCCAGGAAATGCAGCCCCGTGCATCCCTGCTCAGGGATGAGCAGGCGCCCCAGGACTCCCGGAGACAGATTTTTGGGCACCCGAGGGAGTCACCGGGCGCGTGTCGGGGTCCGCGGTGAGGCCCAGCCCCTCCGGCGGTCCCTTAGACGCGCCCTCTGCCCGGCCGGTGTGGACCGTCCCGGCCATTGTTTACGGGGGATGCCCGTCCAGACGCATTGTTTTGGCCGTTTCCAACTTGCCCCGGCCCTTTCCGGGGCATCGCGGGGGACCCTACACCGACGTCCCCCCTCCGCCCGCGCCCCAAGGGCTGACTGGGCAAATTGGCAGATCCGCCCCGCGGGGCGACCCAACTTTTCGGAACAGCCCCCCACCGCCCACCCCTGCAGATCCCCGGACCCCCGCTCCCGGCGGAGATTCAGGGAACCCCGCATCCCAAGCCCTTCTAAATCGTGCGGCCTGAGTGTGACGGCCAAGAGCGGATGCAGCCCGGGATCGCCCGCACCTTCCCGTGGGCGGAAGCGCAGGAGCCGGCTGGGGAGGGGGCGCCCTAGAGAAGCGGCTAGAAAGCTGAGACGGGGAACTGAGGTCATCCTGGGGGGGACAAGACAATGAGAGCCGGGCGCCTTGGGGGCGGCGCGGGAGCCTCCGCAGGACCAGGCGGGCGCCCCCTTTACCTGCGGCTCCGGCGCCTCGGCCGTTTCCTCGCGCGGCGGCGGCCGGGACTGAGCTGACACCACTCAGCCGGCGGGGTTTGAATGAGGAGGAGCGGGCGCGGAGGGGAGGGGGCGGGGAGGGAGGGAGGGAGGCGTCGCGGAGTTTCTCTCGGCCTTTTGTGCCATCCGCCGAGGCGCCTTGAGTATAAATCCAGATAGTGCAGTTTTTGTTGTGCTTGTGCTGATCAACTTTATGGTGTGATTAAATACGATTTTTTTTATTACGCTCTTGAAATTGTACTCTTGAGGTTGCAGAATGGCAATTAGATGGCAGTCGCTGATAGCCATGTAGAAGTTTTGATGAACATGCAAGTTAATTTTAATTTCTGATCAGTTACGGTTAGTGACTGTGGCCAAACATGTGCGTACTGATTCTACATGTGTGCTAATTCCGTGACGTTTATTCACCAGCTATGTGTCCCGTGCCTAATCCTGTGTCAGGCACCTTGTTCCAGGCATTGGGGGCAGCAGTGGACAAGGCAACAGAGTCTCCATCCTGAGGTGTTACTTTTAGAAAAAGATAGTTACAAGCAAATAAACAGGATGGTTTTAGATCTGGACAGAGGTTTTCAGAGGAAGTCATCCTTGAGCTGTCACAATGCTTTGGGGGTAGGGTGTGCTGGGTAATCAGGGATGGCACATTTGGGGTGCCTAAGGATTGCTGTGGCCCTGGGAGCCTAGGACAGTTGGTCACAATTGACTTATTAGAGTCAGTCTCAGAAGCTTTCCTGGAGAAAGAATTGCTGCTGTTTTGCCAGGAGGGTTTCCTTCCCCATCTGACCACACAAGAAGACCCCTTGGCCTAGAATGCCTACCCTCATCTCCAGGTCTCCCAGGCTGTTCACCCTCCCAGGCAAAGTGGAAGCTTCCTCTGTCCTAAGATCGTTTCCCACTGAACCTCCTTCATTTTCCTTCACTGCAGAGAAATAATCCTACAAGGTCTTGTGTGGAGAGTGATGGTAACTTCTTTAACCCAGATAATTGAGAATTGGAACCAAAACATCTGTGTATTAATAAATATTTTCAGTAACTAGGTTATGCTATTTCCCTGAGTGGGAAATAACACTCCATCATGTTTCTTTTTTTGGGGGGCAAGGGGGGAGTCAAAGTTGTCAGGCCTCTGAGCCCAGGCCAGGCCATCGCATCCCGTGACTTGCACATATACATCCAGATGGCCTGAAGTAATTGAAGATCCACAGAAGAAGTAAAAACAGCCTTAACTGATGACATTCCACCATTGTGATTTGTTCCTGCCCCACCCTAACTGATCAATGTACTTTGTAATCTCCCCCACCCTTAAGAAGGTTCTTTGTAATTCTCCCCACCCTTGAGAATGTACTTTGTGAGATCCACCCCTGCCCACCAGAGAACAACCCCCTTTGACTGTAATTTTCCATTACCTTCCCAAATCCTATAAAACAGCCCCACCCCTATCTCCCTTCACTTGACTCTCTTTTCAGACTCAGCCCACCTGCACCCAGGTGAAATAAACAGCTTTATTGCTCACACGAAGCCTGTTTGGTGGTCTCTTCACACGGATGCGCATGAAATTTGGTGCCGTGACTTGGATCGGGGGACCTCCCTTAGGAGATCAATCCCCCGTCCTCCTGCTCTTTGCTCCGTGAGAAAGATCCACCTACGACCTCAGGTCCTCAGACCGACCAGCCCAAGAAACATCTCACCAATTTCAAATCTGGTAAGCGGCCTCTTTTTACTCTCTTCTCCATTCCTCCTCCTTCTCCCTTAGCTTCTCCAACCTCCCTCACTATCCCTCAACCTCTTTCTCCTTTCAATCTTGGCGCCACACTTCAATCTCTCCCTTCTCTTAATTTCAATTCCTTTCATTTTCTGGAAGAGACAAAAGAGACATGTTTTATCCGTGAACCCAAAACTCCGGCGCTGGTCACGGACTGGGAAGGCAGCCTTCCCTTGGTGTTTAATCATTGCAGGGACGCCTCTCTGATTATACACTCACGTTTCAAGGGTGTCAGACCACGCAGGGACGCCTGCCTTGGTCCTTCACCCTTAGCGGCAAGTCCCGCTTTCCTGGGGCAGGGGCAAGTACCCCTCAACCCCTTCTCCTTCACCCTCAGCGGCAAGTCCCGCTTTTCTGGGGCAGGGGCAAGTACCCCTCAACCCCTTCCCCTTCACACTTAGTGGCAAGTCCCGCTTTCCTGGGGCAGGGGCAAGTACCCCTCAACGCCTTCTCCTTCACCCTTAGTGGCAAGTCCCGCTTTTCTAGGGGGCAAGAACCCCCAAACCCCTTCCATCTGTGTCTCTACGCTCTCTTCTGTGGGTTTGCTTCCTTCACTATGGGCAACCTTCCACCCTCCATTCCTCCTTCTTCTCCCTTAGCCTGTGTGCTCAAAAAGTTAAAACCTCTTCAACTCACACCTGACCTAAAACCTAAATGCCTTATTTTCTTCTGCAACACCGCAACCGCTTGGCCCCAATACAAACTTGACAATGTCTCTAAATGGCCGGAAAATGGCACTTTCGATTTCTCCATCCTACAAGACCTAAATAATTTTTGTCGAAAAATGGGCAAATGGTCTGAGGTGCCTTACGTCCAGGCATTTTTCACACTTCGTTCCCTCCCTAGTCTCTGTTCCCAATGCGATTCCTCCCAGATCCTCCTCCTTTCCCTCCCGCCTGTCCCCTCGGTCCCAACCCCAAGCGTCGCTGAGTCTTCCCAGTCTTCCTTTTCTACAGACCCATCTGACCTTTCCCCTCCTCCCCAAGCTGCTTGTCGCCAGACCGAGCTAAGTCCCAATACTTCCTCAGCCTCCACTCCTCCACCCTATAATCCTTCTATCACCTCCCCTCCTCACACCTGGTCCGGCTTACAGTTTAGTTCCGCGACTAGCGCTTCCCCACCTGCCCAACAATTTCCTCTTAGAGAAGTGGCTGGAGCTGAAGGCATAGTCAAGGTACATGTACTTTTTTCTCTATCAGACCTCTCTCAGATCAGTCAATGTTTAGGCTCTTTCTCATCAGACCCCACTAAATATATACAGGAATTCCAATATCTAACTCTGTCCTACAACTTAACCTGGAGTGACTTAAATGTCATCCTGACTTCTACTCTCTCCCCAGATGAACGGGAAAGTTTTTTCTCTAGCCCAATCTCGTGCTGATAACCGCCGGCTTCATGAGCCAGACCTCCAGGAAGGCATTAGAGCAGTTCCCCGAGAGGATCCCCAATGGAACTATCAGGCAGATTCCCCAGGTACAGCTAGGCGAGATTACATGGTTTCCTGCCTAGTTGAAGGGCTTAAAAAAGCAGCTTACAAAGCTGTTAATTATGACAAGCTTAAAGAAACTACCCGAGGTAAAGACGAAAACCCAGCCCAGGTCATGGCCCACTTAGCAGCAACCATTAGATGCTATACTGCCCTAGACCCAGAGGGGCCAGAAGGCCGCCTTATTCTTAATATGCATTTTTATCACCCAATCCACTCCTGACATTAGGAAAAAACTTCAAAAATTAGAATCTGGCCTTCAAACCCAGCAGGAATTAATCAACCTTGCCTTCAAGGTGTACAATAATAGAGAGGAAGCAGCCAGACGGCAACGCATTTCGGAGTTACAATTACTTGCCTCTGCTGTGAGACAAAACCCAGCCACACCTCCTGCATACAGGAACTTCAAAATGCCTAAGACGCAGCAATCAGACACTCCTACAAGACTTCATCAGGATCTTGCTTCAAGTGCCAGAAATCTGGCCACTGGGCCAAGGAATGCCCACAGCCCAGGATTCCTCCCAAGCCATGTCCCATCTGTGCAGGCACCCACTGGAAATCAGACTGCCCAGCTCGCCCGACAGCCACTCCTGGAGCCCCTAAAGCTCTAGCCCAAGGCTCTCTGACTCCTTCCCAGATCTATTCGGCTTAGCGACTGAAGATTGACGCTGCCCGATCGCCTCGGAAGTCCCCTGGACCATCACAGAAGCCGAGCTTCGGGTAACTCTCACAGTGGAGGGTAAGTCCATCCCCTGTTTAATCGATACGGGGGCTACCCACTCCACGTTGCCTTCTTTTCAAGGGCCTGTTTCCCTTGCCCCCATAACTGTTGTGGGTATTGACGGCCAAGCTTCAAAACCCCTGAAAACTCCCCCACTCTGGTGCCAACTTGGACAACACTCTTTTATGCACTCTTTTTTAGTTATCCCCACCTGCCCACTTCCCTTATTAGGCCGAAATATTTTAACCAAATTATCTGCTTCCCTGACTATTCCTGGAGTACAGCTACATCTCATTGCTGCCCTTCTTCCCAATCCAAAGCCTCCTTTGTGTCCTCTAACATCCCCACAATATCACCCCTTACCACAAGACCTCCCTTCAGCTTAATCTCTCCCACTCTAGGTTCCCACGCCGCCCCTAATCCCACTTGAAGCAGCCCTGAGAAACATCGCCCATTCTCTCTCCATACCACCCCCCAAAAATTTTCGCCGCTCCAACACTTCAACACTATTTTGTTTTATTTGTCTTATTAATATCAGAAGGCAGGAATGTCAGGCCTCTGAGCCCAGGCCAGGCCATCGCATCCCCTGTGACTTGCACGTATACATCCAGATGGCCTGAAGTAACTGAAGATCCACAAAAGAAGTAAAAACAGCCTTAACTGATGACATTCCACCATTGTGATTTGTTCCTGCCCCACCCTAACTGATCAATGTACTTTGTAATCTCCCCCACCCTTAAGAAGGTTCTTTGTAATTCTCCCCACCCTTGAGAATGTACTTTGTGAGATCCACCCCTGCCCACCAGAGAACAACCCCCTTTGATTGTAATTTTTTATTACCTTCCCAAATCCTATAAAACAGCCCCACCCCTATCTTCCTTCACTGACTCTCTTTTCGGACTCAGCCCACCGGCACCCAGGTGAAATAAACAGCTTTATTGCTCACACAAAGCCTGTTTGGTGGTCTCTTCACACGGACGCGTATGAAAAAAGTCTCGCCCTGTTGCCCAGGCTGGAATGCAGTGGCACGATCTTGGCTCACTGCTACCTCCACTTCCTGGGTTCAAGTGATTCCCAAGTAGCTGGGATTACAGGTGTGTATTACCATGCCCAGCTAATTTTTGTATTTTTAGCAGATAAGGGGTTTCACCATGTTGGCCAGGCTGGTCTCCAACTCCTGGCCTCAAGTGATCCACCCACTTCGGCTACCCAAAGCATTGGGAGTACAGGGGTGAGCCACTATGCCCAGCCTCACATCATATTTCTAATCCCGAGACTGTAGAGCTGGTGTCTCTTTTTGGAAAGGATGTCAGTAGAGAAATGGAGTTCCCCAAAATTACAGTTTCACATATTAGTAAAGTTTCTAAAATACAGTAATAATGTTGAGAGCTGACATAGGGACTAACTTAGTTTTTTTTTTTTTTTTCAAATTGTCACCTAACTTTGATTTTGCTAAATAAGGACATTAAAAGAAAACCAAAAAAGTCCACTATTGGCTATTGCCACTATTTGATTTTTTAAAAAATAAGCGTATTTTAGCATCTAAAAGTAGGAAGGACCTCAAATAAATGAGTCTTTGTTCTTGGCCAGGGAAAACAGCGTTGTCAGCATTTGATAACTGTTTTTCTAGGGTATGTGCTGTTATTCAGTTAAAACCTTGCCTGGGACGCTAGCATTCGGTAAATACTTGTTGAATAAGCAAATGAAACTTAAGCTTCTATGTATAGAAACCTAAGTCACTTCACATTCTGATTAGCAGAGTAATTGAATATTCTTTTCAGTGTGTAGATCTATACCCAGAACCACAGAATATTGGAACTGTAAAAACCAACTGCATTAAATAGATGTGGTATGTGGCAGTGACAACTTGAAGGTTGTGACTAGAACTCCGGTCTCTGGAGTGTTCTATTATATCACACCAAGCTGGTCACCAGCCCATGTGTTGATCCTCCATTGTGATAGCAACAAAGAAAAGACTTCAGGACATTCTTTCCTTTACCCTAATCCTTGATCTTCAGTCTTATTTAGAAAAGCTTAATGTTAAAGATCTAGTTTATTCAAAACTAAAGATAAGGAGTATGAGAATTTCTATTTCGGAGTGTAAAGGAGGAGATGTTTCCTTGGCTTCTCTGAGCCTACAGGCCTTCCTTGCTCTTTAAGGAAGTAGAGAGAGAGAGGAAAGTAAAGTATGCTTTTGTTTTTTAAGGTTACTTTGCTGGGAGTAGTTTGCATGCCATTTGGTTTTCTTGGGTGGAATTAACTGACTTAAGTTTTAAGTAGTTGGGACTATTTAGAAACAATGCCTATCCAATGTTTGCCATAAAGGCAGAGGGTATTGGCTTTAGAAGTTAATTCTTCTCCAGGAGTGAAAATGAGCTGCTAAACCAGAAGCAGCAGAGCTAAAGAAAGTAATTTTCCACCTGGCCAGTGCATGATGTGAAAGGTAGACTAAAAGAATGAGAGGACCCATTTTCTGATGAAAGACTAAGCCATGTTGAAACAGCCCTGTTGAGGATTTTATTTTAAATCTATACATTCACAAAGGAGCTTTGTGTATGTCTTTCCCTATTTGTTGTTTGGACTAGGAAGCCCCACCCAGTGCTTGTTGAAGGCAGAAAGTTGTTGAAAGCAATCCGGGATTTGAACAGTGGATTGAGGTTTCGAATATCCAGTGAACCAAAATATATCAGGGTTCCCCTGGCCAAGATGAGTGACCATTCTGAGGTGTTACGTATTTCTTGAATGGGGATTTTAGGAAAAGTTTCTGTATTTCTGTGCTCATTTTGTTGACCTCTGTATGTGCAAAATCTCTAAGGGGGTGTTTGGGCACTTAGATTTCTTGGATGCAGATTTGTTTGTGTATGAAACAAATTTTAAATTGTTTCGTATACACTGGATTTAAAATAGTTTAGTTTACTAAAGTGTTTTAATGTTTTCATCTTAATTTTCAGTTCTTATAGTCTTTAGATTTAGGGAGGCTGTTGATGGCATCCACATATGCATTTTAATGTCATTTAAAATGTATTCTGCTGAATTTAACAATTTCTGACCTAAAACTTGACATTTTAGATTTAAGTCGGTAAAGCACTGATTTAAACTGGATTTTAACTGGATGAAATTCTGATTTAATGAGTGTACTGACTGGATAAAATGCCAATGATTTAATTAACAAGCACGTTTAACAGGATGCCCTATATATTAGTTAAAAGTGAAGCAATTGAATTAGGTACCATTTCAAAATGGTTGCTGTACCCACTCACCCTCTCTATCCTCCAATTAGGGTATATTTTGAAATGATTGCTTTTCCCTTTTCCTTGTGTAAAGAGCCTGAGGAAATTTTCTTCGGCCTTCATCATGAGAACCTGGTGGGGTTTCTGGAAGTAAAATTCATGAAAGTATAAGGGGCCCCCAAGACGGGACTCCAACAAGTTTTTAACTCTCAAGCTAGTCCACACTCAGCCACCAGTAAATTTATTGATTACCATTGAAGTGTTCCTACCAATTACTGGCTCTGTGGCTTCTGCTCTCAGGTAAACTGATTTTCTATAGTCACCCATCTCTCTAGTTTTTGAGGAAGTGGTTTCCCTGTGACCTCTATTCTCGGAGAGATCTAAGAAAAGTTGTTGATTTTCAGTTTGATTATCTTTTTTTCCGTTGTGAAGATGGGAGTGATGACTTCCAAGTTCTCTACATGTTGGAGTGGGAACTGGAAGACCTAATTAACTTCTTAAGAAACTGTCAAACTGTTTTCCAAAGTGGATCTAGCACTTTACATTCCTGGTATTGTATGAGAGTTTCAGTTTCTCTCTATCTTTGTCAACACACCATCTTTCTAATTTTAGATATTCTAATAGGTATCTGGTGGTTTCTTACTGTAGTTTTAATCTGCATTTCTCTAATAGCTAGTGATGATGACCATTTTTTCATTTGCTTATTTGCCAGTTGCAAATCTCTATTAGTGAAGTATCTGTTCACATATTTTGCCCATTTTTTAAAAGTTGGGTTGTTTTCTTACAATTGAAGTTTATTTTTTCTTATACTCAAAATTTTAATTCACGCATAATAAATTGTACATATTTATGAGGTACAATGTGATGTTTCGGTACATTTTACATTGCATAATGATCAAATCGTGGTAATTAGCATATCTATTGCCTTAAACATTTACCATGTCTTTGATGTAAGAATATTCAAAATCCTCTCTTCTAGCGAGAATATGAGTGTATTTTAAATGTACAACTATTTGTTTTCTCACAATCCTATAAAATGATAGCTTGAGTCAATGAGTTTTCCCCTCAAGTCCTATCAACTTTGTCTATTTTAGTGAAATTTAATATTGTCTAGAAAACACTAAACAAACATAGTTATTCAGAGAGGATAACTGAGCCCTCTGGTTATTCTCTCTAACCCACAAAGGAAGCTGAACACTTGATGTAAACTTCTTCATCAGAGTAAATAATAAGAATCTGCTCCATTACATACAAAAGAAAAAATAACTGGAGAGAGAGTCTCTGCTCTGAGGTTATTATCCTGTGGTCTTTGGTTTTGGCACATTCTCCCCCACCCCATGCCTTTCTCCCTCATCTTTAATGAGTATCCGTATGTATGGCAGAACAGTATTTTTTTTTTATTATACTTTAAGTTTTAGGGTACATGTGCACAATGTGCAGGTTAGTTACATATGTATATGTGTGACATGCTGGTGCGCTGCACCCACTAACTCGTCATCTAGCATTAGGTATATCTCCCAGTGCTATCCCTCCCCCCTACCCCCACCCCACAGCAGTCCCCAGAGTGTGATGTTCCCCTTCCTTGGTCCATGTGTTCTCATTATTCAATTCCCACCTATGAGTGAGAATATGCGGTGTTCGGTTTTTTGTTCTTGCGATAGTTTACTGAGAATGATGATTTCCAATTTCATCCATGTCCCTACAAAGGACATGAACTCATTTTTTATGGCTGCATAGGATTCCATGGTGTATATGTGCCACATTTTCTTAATCCAGTCTATCACTGTTGGACATTTGGGTTGGTTCCAAGTCTTTGCTATTGTGAATAGTGCCACAGTAAACATACGTGTGCATGTGTCTTTATAGCAGCATGATTTATAGTCCTTTGGGTATATACCCAGTAATGGGATGGCTGGGTCAAATGGTATTTCTAGTTCTAGATCCCTGAGGAATCGCCACACTGACTTCCCCAATGGTTGAACTAGTTTACAGTCCCACCAACAGTGTAAAAGTGTTCCTATTTCTCCACATCCTCTCCAGCACCTGTTGTTTCCTAACTTTTTAATGATTGCCATTCTCAAAGAACAGTATGTTTTTAAGTCTCTGCAGTCTTGGGCCAAGCTCGTTCTATTCCCCACTCTACAAGAATCACAAGAGCGCCAGGATTCTGTTTGGGGTTGCCGTGGACACAGAGTTCTTATTACAGAACTGACATTCTCAATACGAGGTAAAGACCTAGAGGTGAGGTCTCTGAGCAAGGGAGTCCCATCCCATCCTCTGCCCTCTGTTGGCTGTTGTCCTCTCATCTTCATCAGGAGAATTAAAATCATGTAAAGTTTTGGCGGGGGAACTAGATGGTGGTCTCTGGGGCCCATAGACAGGAAAGTTTGCTTATACCCAGCTGGGGGGACCACTAATTGACATTCCTTTCCCCTCCCAGGGACCTTACAGAGTCCCCTTACCCTCACGGTACTGGGGGACAACCAGTGGGTGTCAGGCCAAATAGCAGTAACCTTGTTACTTGCCAGGAATTGGGTCAAGATTTGATTTAACAAGCTTGGTTTTGGGAACTAAAAAATGAAAAAAGGAAAAGCCATAATCTTGAAAGGCAACAAGAGAGAAAACTGCCAACAGGATCTTGATTAAATTTCTCCCTCTTAGAGAATGTTGTACTGACGACACAAGATCTCAGACTTGTGTGATTCTAGCAGCTGAACACACCCCAGGCTCTTCTGACTGGCAGTGGCTCTGGAAGCAGTCTGGTCTATAGGTAAGCAGGTCCAGGGCTTACAGGGAGAAACTCCCAGAAATCCAGCTCTGCCTTGGGTTGCCCTGATTCACGTCCAAAGATGTGCTTGGGCCACATCTCTGGAGCACAAGGTGGTAGACTGAGAGCTTTGATATTTCTACTCCTACTGCAGATGAGCTGGTATAACTCCGAAGGTATGGAATTTGCTGTTGTCTGTGACCCAGCAAATAAAAATAGAAAAATAATTCGATAGAAAAATAATAGAAATAGAAAAAATTTAAAAAACAAACCAAGCCTCATTCTATGACATTTTAGGCAGTGTGATAATATGCATATACTGGTCACTTTAATCTTTCCTACAGGGGCAGCTGGTTGCCCTAATGGTGGATTCTCTGTTCAAGGATGGTGAGCTAGTGTTCAGCTCAGGAAGCCACTCCACAGAGATGGCCACCAAAAGGGCTTCAGTGGTCCCATCTCAATTAACACCTGAAACATTGTTAATTACTACAGTGAAGGTCACAAATGGGTTTTTATTAGTGAAACTGTTGGCTTACAAAGCAGCATGATGGATGTTACAATTATATGACATTTTAAGATCTGTGAATCAACTAACGTGTTTTGGAGACAGCCCACCCTTGCATAAGCAGGATAAAGGTGTATGAGGGTGGCCTGTAGTGTATATTTAGAGACGACACCCAAGGCTTGATCCTCATATGGTCCTATCTCCAGGAAGGTTTAGGAAGATTTTGGCCTCTGAAACATTAGGAATCTGTTGAGAATGAAGCTTTCATGCTTGGAGCACCTAAAGTGCAGAAAGCTTACAGAAGCTTATGTACTGTGCCTGCTTGCTACTGAATGTTTTGTTAAATGAATATCTGTATGTATGGCAGATTTGGTCAGAGACCTACTTTTCATTACAACCTGGTAGCATGATTATAAAGGTGTAGCTAACTTTCAACTAACTCAAACTTCTGTGGTTGCTCCTATCTACCAAAAAGCATTTAAGAATTCTGCATGACCACTTCAGTTTAGGACAGTTTGCAATTCTCACCTTCCTTAGAGGGCAATTTAGCTAGTTACTTATTCATGTCCCATGAGGGAAGTCATTCTGTGCCCCAAAGCAGCTTATCAAAGTATTATTTCAGACTTCATGCAGTACTCTCCCTGAAAGGAGTTCAGGTAACATCTATGGATGTCTCGTGCCCTTTTTGGAGATTAGTTTCCCAAGGAACTTGCTTAGCAATCCTGGCTTGTCACCTGAATCTGGAGTAATTTGAGTGTCTTCCAGTTCTCTTCCTCAGTAGAGGATGTCTGAAAAATCTAGTAATCATTTAATAAGGCTGCTTATGTCAGAAACTCAAATTCTTAACCTTTTTGGTGTTTTGAACATTTTCCCCTGTTATAATTTATTAGTGTATTCTGCATAGACAATCCAATTATTCATCCTGCTGAAAAGTAGCGGATGCCTATAGATGCCTTTCTTTTTGTAAAAGGTATTGTTTTTCCTGAGACCTGGATGAATTTCCAGGAGCCATTCAAGGACATGAGAACAGCCACTTAGAACTTGAAAGGTTCCTCTCATGGCCCTCAGACCAGGCTAATGAGATTCGATAATTTGAACTCTGGCACTCCTTTCCTCACAGGCTGAAAGACTAGCACAATATTAATGTCTATCTGTGCTTAAAGGTTTGAGCTATTGATCAGAGTCCAAAATTAGTTTGTGTAGGGGAACTTTTCTTAAAGACATAAAAAGATACCATTTAATATATTGTTTCCAAAATATGTTTCTCACATATTTCCACTGTGAGAAAGAGGTTCTGTGGTCAAATAAGAAACCTCAGCACACTCTTAGAGAATCCCAGTTGTTGTCAGCAGCAAAAAAATGTATGTGATCAGTTTCTTAAACTTATTTAAATGTTTGAAAAGTTAGAAAATTGTGGCGAAGAGCATTCTTGAGTCTTGGGAGTGTATTACCTTGATGAGAATGTTTGTGTATTTGAAACTAAAAATGTGTATCAGTTTATATTGCCACATACTGATTTTTATGACATGATACATGGTGTAGAGAGCAGGTTGTCTAAAAACCAATACTGGCAAAATGCTGAATATTCAGCATGGTTTTATGAAGTTGACAGATGTGGAGTGTATTTTGCATGTGTCTTAACTTACAGATGAGGAAATGAAGTTGCAGAGAGATTAAATTAGCCAAGCCAGGGGTTTCGGTGCTAGGAAGTCTTGATATTGTAAAATATAGCCATATAACTTTAAAAAAAAGAATCCAGACAAAAGGAAAACAAAATCATTGTAAACACATAATCCACTTTAAGTTCACAAAATGTTTTAAACATAATTAAGGCTATGCTTGACTTACCTACTTGTTTATTTCCTATCAAGGATGACCGGGAACTAGCCATTGATAAACATTCATTATTCTTACATTTTCTTTCTTTTTTCTGCGTCCTCTCTCTCTCTCAGACACACACACACACACACACACACACACACACACACACACACACACACACACACACACACAGTCTCAGAAGTACTAGTGCTGTATCCTGAAATTGTTTCTTTAGTTCTTGTCAAAATTCCTCCGATTTTATTTTTTGTGTCCTGAAATACTGTTGAGATTAACATCCTCATTGCCTTCCAAAATATCTGACTTTATTTTTTGTATGTGCCTTTTACTCTTTGGTAGAGTTATGGATTCACTACCAGATTCTACTGTATGCTCTGACAACTATGACCACAATGGGTGAGTTGACTGATCTAAGTGGTGAAAAATACTGGGAGCATCAATGGCAATAACAGCTTTCTATCAGAGACTTTAAGCATCTTTGGTAACATTGTTTTTGAACCAGAGTGGAAAAAATAAGATCAGGTTAGAAGAGGGATGCTGGGTGCTCAAAGATAGTTTGTGACCCCAAGTAATTAGCAGCCAAAACCTTAGGAAACGATCAGAATGCCTGTGTATGAGACTCTGTCAAGAGTGATCCAAGAGAGTAGAGAATCCTACTTGGAGAAAGAAGGTGGTAGCATTGGACAGGCAGCGGAGGAGCCCTCAGCAGAAAGAAAGGAGCTAAGAGACCCTGTATCTGTCCCTCACGCTTCAGAGCTGGTGCCCCAAACTCAAAGCCATCATCACATTGTATGGAGCCCCTGCCTCAGGTTTAGTCACTTGATCCTATTTGAGGGGAAGCAAAGATATCTGTGACTCATGAAGAGCATAAAGGTGGAGGAGGGACTTGATAATTAGGAAATCAAAATGGGCAAGAATAATGTGTGCCTACAAATGGGACATGAATTTGAAGCAAATTTAAGTTAAATTTGCTGCCATACATGATGATCAAGTTCAGTAATAAAAAATTGTATTTAAATCTTGATTCATTAAACTTTTTTGAGAGTCCTAAACAATTTTTATTACCAACACATAGAGACTTCTTTCTAGAGAAAAATCAAGTACCAGGTGCCAAATAACAGATTTACATGAGAATTTTCAGGGACAACACATTGTAATTTGTAGCACAATCATAGCCAATTTGAACCAAAAAAAAAGTTGTGTATGCATTTATGTTGTTTCTTACTATTTACCTTTCAATCCTTTGCACTGACCCCAATGAATTGACATCAGAAATCTGTGCTGTAGTCAACAATGAAAGATGATGTCATAATATATATTGGAGATGGGAGGAATTCAGGTTTGTGAAATTCAGTCTCAGAATTATTCATGGGAAAATAGTTTTCTGGACACTGATTCTAAAATTCTTTCTAAAAAGTTGGGTCTTAAGTAAGCTAAGTCATATTTACCATATCTTTTAGATTCAAGGAATTTTGTTGTTCAAATAAATTGGTCATATCACCACTCCATGTGGCAAATCTCTAATATATTTTTGCATTTGATGTTTGAAGTAAAATGCAGCAACCTTACATAGAGCTTTAATTATAAGCTTCATGTGTTCAAATATAATTGGTACTTTTATAACTGATGCAGTTTTTGTTATACTCAGAAAGTTATTTATCGTAAGATTACCAATATAGTCACCAAAATATTTTTTTATATTTTGAATTAATTTTCCACATTTAAATAAAGCGCTGCTGCTGTTGTTACTATTCCCTTTTAACGTCTCCCCAAATTAGTGTTTTATTCTGTACACTTTATGAGATGGCAGCTTAACAATACCCTTAATATGGCCCAAGGATTCTACAAAAGGAAATGCTGGTGTGTTTTGTCAAAAGTGTTTTCTGGCTGGGCATGGTGGCTCAAGCCTGTAATCCCAGCACTTTGGGAGGCTGAGGCAGGTGGACCATGAGGTCAGGAGTTCAAGACCAGCCTGGCCAATATGGTAAAACCGCGTCTCTACTAAAAATACAAAAACTAGCTGGGCATGGTGGTGCATGCCTGTAGTCCCAGCTACTCGGGAGGCTGAGGCAGAAGGATCACTTGAATCCGGGAGGCAGAGGTTGCGGTGAACTGAGACAGCACCGCTGCACTGCAGCCTCGATGACAGAGCAAAACTCTGTCTCAAAAAAAAAAAAAGTGTTTCCTGTGCAGATTATCTATTCACCACTTGCAGATTTGAAGTTTACTAGGCATGTGTGATATCTAAAAGTTCATTTGAAGAAAAAGTTTCAATGCCAAAAATGTTTAAAAGTGGGATATAGGAAGATGATGCAAAGGTGGAATCTCCAAACATTTCCATTTTCACCAGGAGGACTTAATAGAATGTCTAACAGCTACTTTTAGATATTTTTGAAATGTGAGAGGGGTGAGTTAGTTAACACAAAGTAGACTGTGAGATTAAAATGTCTATTCACTCTAAAATCTCAGCATTCACTTTCTTATTGTCAAGTTATTCATCAGACTCTTTTCAGAGACAACCTAAATGCAAGCTCTTAGAATATTACAACATCTTTTATATGAGATGACAGGAAATAATTTCATGGCCTTTTAAAGGATAGATGAGGGATTTGAATACCACTTTCAGATTAAGTAACTCCTTTATTGAATATTACACTGTTTTATGGTTCATATCTCTATTGTGGTTGAGAGTTATTGCCAGATTTATTCGCTGACAAGTAAATATTATTCAGTTTATAATTAATATCCACGTTGGGGGGAGATACTTTCAGTCTATGTTAGAACTATCTTCAATGTTCAGTATCCTGTTCCACATAAAACTTTCATGCACTAGTTTTAGCATTCATTGATTTTTATGTGAATCAGTTGTAACTGTGATCATTACAAAATGGTGATTTTTTTTTAAAAAAAGCAGTTCTTCTGTGTTTAATAAGTACCATTCTATTATAAGGAGAGCTATTCCTGCCCCTATTTATTCACTATTACTATGAACTTATAAATTCTTACATTATTTCAATGAATTACAATCCTTTCTGTCATTATTTATTTTGATGTTTAAATGGTCCCATATTTGGCCAGTGGGACTCCCTAAAAGCTAGCCCCTGTGTCCTTTTGACTTGACATGTTCCCATCACTTTTTGAGCATTTCCCCAGCCCTAGAATCAGCCATTTACCCAAAGAACCTCATTCCCTTTAGAAACCAATATTTTGCATTTGGTATGCTGATTGCCATTGGCTCATTGCTACTTGTAGGCCTTTTTAATATATAGATGAGAGTACAGATATACATATTGACATATACAGATATATATACATATGCAACAATTTTAATATGTTTAATACACAGTATATACATTTATATGTGTTCTGTAAACTATGTATTATTGTTTTGCCTATATGTTTTTAAGTTTACTTAAATGGTATTAAGTTGTATCTCATTTTGTTAGTTTTTTGCTTAGTAACATAAGATTATTCTTCTTGTGCATACCTTTTGTTGTTGCTTTTAACTGGTATGAAAAATTGCACAGCATGCATCCCCTAGTGAGGAACACATATATTGCTTCCTACCATTTGCCTTCACAAAGAGTGCCGCTAAATGATTATCCTTATGCCAGACCCCTATAGACCTGTTTGAGTATTTCTGTAGGAACATGAAACAGGACTTGATGGGCCATGGGATTGCATATTTTGAATTTGACTGAATACTGCCTATTGCTCTCCAATGGTTATACCAGTCTGCATCTCCTGAACAATGCATGATGGTTCCTACACATACACATTCACAACAACACTTGACATTATCAAACTTTCCAATTTATATAATCAGTCTAATAGATGGTAACATATTGCATTATGTTTTACTTTGAATTTATGCGATAACTTATGAATTTGAGCATCATTTTATGTTCTTATAACATTTGGGATTTCTTCTGTAATGGTCTATTCATGAACTTAGCCTGTTTTTCCACTAGTGTTCCTATCTTTGTCTTGTTAATTTACGTGTGCTGTTTTTGAATATTTTATATTTTAGAATAAGTTAATCAAATTTCTTTTAAAATTATGTTTAATTTTCAAAGTGATTATGTTACATTTGTAAACAATATAGCAAGAATTCACTCTTTTTAGTAACATTAAAAACATGGTGCTATTGTTTGGAGGTTTGTACCCCCAGAACCGCATGTTGAAATTTGATCCCCAATGTTGGAGGTGGGGCCTAATGGAAGGTGTTTGGAAGATGAATAGATTAATTCCCTCCCTTGGAGTGAGGGTGAGTGAGTACTCACTGTATTAGTTCTTGCAAGAGCTGGTGGTTTAAAAAGAGACCAGCGGCTTCCCGCACCTTGATTCCCCTCTTGCCATTTGACCTCTGCACGTGTCAATTCCCCTTCATCTTCCACCATAAATGGGAGCAGCCTCAGAAGCAGATGTTGGCATCAGGCTTCTTGTGCAGCACACAACTGTGAGCCAAATAAACCTCTTTTCTTTATAAATTACCCAGCCTCAGGTATCCCTTATGGCAACACTAAACAGACTCAGATGCATGGAATCCCATTCAAAAGTTTGGACTATCGCTTTATGTATTCAAATCATCCTTCATGTCAGTTTTAGACATTGAAGTTATGTTCTCTAATCCATCATCTGCCTGTTAGCTTTGGCATTGTTGTTCTTCATTCTCTTCATGACAGAACTTTTTGCCTTATTATTTTACTTTTGAAGTTTGAAATTTTCCCACTTTCAGTCTACAAAGGTAATTTCTAATCCTCATAGTTTTAATTTACACATTTAATGCTTTAATGTACTTAGAGTCTACCCTTCAATATGGTGTTAGGTAGGGATTTGGTTTCATTTTTCTCTCAATGGTAGGCTGATTTTCCAAATACCATCTATGAAACAGTTCATCCTTTTTCCTTGTTTATATAATCATCGTCAATGACATATATCTACATAGGTTTATCTCTGAGCTCAATATTTTGCTCCATTGATACTTACGGCATCCCTACACCTTTTTTTATTACCATGATTAGTTATTAATGGAGCCTTTATATGTTGATACAGATTTTGTAGTAAGTATGTCAATATTCTAAAAAATTTTGAAAAATACCTATGTGGGCCCTGTGGTGTTTGGGAGAGGGAAGTGCTTTAAATACTAGGTTGATTTCTTTGTTACTTGAGTATTCTATTTCTATATAAATATATTTTCTTGCACTAATGTTAGTGTCTTATATTCGTCTAGGAATTTTTCCATTCCATCTAAGTTTTCACATTTATTAGCATATAATTGAATAATCTCATTTTAAAAAATTTTAGTTGTGTTCTAGTTATGCTCCCTTCTTGTACATTTTATTTGGATATTCACTCTGTTTGTTCTTGATTATTATTGCCACAGGTCTATTGTAGTAATCTTTTCAAAGAGACACACTTTTGTTTTGTTAATCTTCTCCACGGTTTTTTCTTCTCCAGTTCAGTGACTTATGCTTACCTCCTTATGTTTTGCTTCCTTATTACTCCATAGACTTTGCCCTGTGCTCCTTTTCCAACCTCTCTACTTAAATGTGTACTCTTTGTTTTTAACCATCTTGACTTCTTATTAATGCTTATATATTGGTAAATTTTCTTCTAAATATTGCTTCATTGTATCCTACAAACTTTGTCATGTTATTATCAATCAGTTCTTAGTATTTAAAATATTTCGTGATTTCCCTTTTAACATAAGAGGCATTCAGTAATGTGTAATTTAGTTTCAAATGTGGGTTTTTTTAAAAAAGCTAATCATATTACAGTATATTCAGAGAACAGCAATATGATATTGATCCTGTGGACTTTATCCTGTGGAAGCTTTCTTTATGGTACAGAGAGCTATGATGTTGGTCTGTCCTTGTGCCCTCATAGGTCTTTTGCTCTTTCTAGAAGGTGTTAGAATTTTCTCTTTGTCTCCATTAGATAATTAAAGCTGATATATTTCTTTCTTGAATTCTGGGAAATTTATCATCATAAATTTTCACATTTTATTTTGCATTTTTAGTTTTCATTTCTTCTTAGATTTTCATATTCTAGATGTTAGATAGCTGTTTTTATTCTCCATAACATTCTTCTTTTTAGTATGTTCTCTTTATTCTTTTCTACTATTTTCTGGGTAGGTTTCTCAATCTAATCTTCTAACTCTAAATTAATTAGCTTTTCACATATATCCAAACTACTATTTATCCCTCACCAATTTATATTTTTTGACAGTCATACTTTTACAGTTAAGGCTTTCTCTTTTATTTTTTCTTACGACTCCCATTCTCATTTCATGTTTCAACATCTTCCTTTGTGTTCTCTTATCCTTAAGAATATTTGTCATGCTTACTTTAAAATCTTGGTCAGTGTGTTCCAGTAGTTTTGCTACAGTTGGTATGCTGTTGTTCAGCTTGTTGTATTTCTTTTTCAGTAGTTGTATTCCTCAGATATCTAATCATGTTGGTTTGTGAACTCAGATTTTTTGTGGCTATTGGCTACTCTGTCTTGTCATTTGTATTGGGGAAGGACTGAAGGACAATCTCAGTCTGCTGCTGTTCTTACAACATAATTATTAATAGCACCCACTTTTTCCTTTCAAAAGTGTCCTGGTTTGGGCAGGAATTATATAGTCAGTCGCACTGAAATCTAGGACGTAAGCTGTGTCATTGTCAGTAAGTTTAAAATGAAGAGAAGTGATGTGCCCCAGGGTAGAGAGTCTCAGGAACCATGAAACACTGACCAGGCAACTCCTGTGGGTTGTGAAAAGGAAAAACTTTAGACAAGGTAAATTTAAGAGTTTAATAGTGCAAGAATGATTTGTTAGTTGGGAAGCTTTTAGAACGAGAACAAGTTCTGAGAACTGCAAGCTGGCAATGTGGCCAGACAGCATTATGGACAGAAAATGGAAATGAGGTCCAGAAACAGCTTTGTTGTTTACAACTGATTACAGCTGGATGTTTTGTCTTATTTGAATCAGTCAGCCACCCGCAATTGACTGAAGCTCAGCCGCTCTAATTGACTGAGACACAGCTGTCTGTTACAAGTGTATATTCTATTCATAATTATGCTGTTAGTTTACACACTAGGTTAGCTTGCAGTTTGTTGCATAAGGACTCAAGTACAGAGGCAACCTCAGGGAAAATTTCGTTTAATTAAACAACTATATCACCTTGAAGCTCCTGAACAAAGCAGCATTGGAGGAGACAATCTCTCTGGTTTGTAACCTGGGCTTTGGAGATGGAGGCAGGTGGAGGAGTGAAGGCCCAAGGATGGCTCTTCAGCCCTTCCCTGTTTTCATCAGCCAGCCTAATGCTCTCCTAATTTTACTGTAACTACTTCTAGGTAGTTGCTGTTGTTGTCTATGGAGACAGGCAGGGATGGTCACTATTGTTTCCAAATGGCTAAATTGCATGTGTTGTGTTTTGTTTTTTTAGAACAGCTAGTTTATTAGTTGTAGGGTTATTGTAGCTAATTTGAATAAAAATTAAGCCTACAAATTCACATGGTATTTGATTATGTACAATTTAGTTTAATTCTTTAGCTCTGACCCAAATGAACTGATATCACTAGCCCATGATGGAGTCCTCAGTGAAAGTGAAATGATATCACTAGCCTATAATGGAGTCATCAGTGAAAGGTGTTGTGTGTGTGTGTATGTTCATAAAGATACACGCAAATGTTAACTATAGAGTTTCTTGGACACTGTTTCTAAAGTACTGGTAGTTTCAGCTTCTGTATGTAACATCCTTTTCTTTTTGTGTCTACTTGGATACAAGATAAATAGATCACAAGAAGTCTACTTCTTCTTCCTAGCTGAGTTGACTCGTAGCCAAAACTTTTAGAAAACTGTTAGATTGCCTGTGTATGAGATTCTACCAGGTTGGGCTATATTAGTTTCTAGGGCTGCTTTAACAAAGTATCACAAACCAAGTGGCTTAAACAAAAATTAATGATCTCATAGTCCTAGAGACTAGAAATCTGAAATTGAGGTTGTCAGTAGGGTTGGTTTTTTATGAAGGCTATAAGGAAGAATCTGATACCTCTTTGCTAGCTTTTGCTGGTTGCTGGCAATCTTTGGCATTCCTTGGCAGGTAGACTCATGTCTAGAGTAACTGCAGCTATTTGACCAAAAGTGTAAGTCCAATTATGTTTGTATCTGAATAATATGCTTTTATAATTCCTCAGCCCACAGCCAATTGAGTTGATGGTAGTAACCTATGATAGAGCCACCCATGAAATGTGAATTAAAAACAAAGATTTATATACACGTAGGTATATATATACATATATACACATAACATACACGCATGCATACACATACACAGAAACATAAAACAAAGAGAAAGAGAAGTTGATATTTGTAAAATTCACTGTCAGGCATATCCTTGGAAATACAGAGTATCTTTGACACTATGTCTAAATCTTCTTACTGTAGGATCTATAGATAACCTTCTTTTTTTTTTTTTTTTTTTTTTTTCAGACCAAATTGGATAAAAGAGGATGAAGTCATGAAAGGGATGTTTCTTCCTCTTAGTATATTTGTCACTCTAAGTTAGTAGTATGCAATCCCTTAGGAACCTCTGAGGTTTTCCATTTATGAGACTCTCCTACTACTAGAGTGGGCCAAAGGGAGAGAGAATCCTATTTGGAGCAATGGGGAGGTAACAGGTGACAGGGAGGAGTGAAGCACTCAGCAAAAAGAACAGGGTTCATGAAACCGTAATGGGTTCCTCACCCTCTAGTGTTCTACCACCATGTGAGGCTGGTGCCCCAAACCAAACCCAAACCCACAATCATTTTGTAGGGAGTTCCTGACTCAGGCCTACAGCTACATGGTCATATCTTCTGGGCAGGAAAGACAGCCATGATGGGTGAAAGTAAAGAAGTGACGGACTTAGGAATCAAGAATTTAGATGGGGTAAGAGGCATGTTTCCTTACAGACTGCAGTTACGTTAGAAATAAATGCCACTGGCCAGGCATGGTGGCTCATATCTGTAATCCCAGCACTTTGGGAGGCCAAGACGGCTAGATCACTTGAGGCCAGGAATTTGAGACCAGCCTGACCAACATGGCAAAACCCTGTCTCTACTGAAAATACAAAAATTAGCCAGGTATGGTGGTGCATGCCTGTAATCCCATCTACTCAGGAGGCTGAGGAAGGAGAATTGCTTGAACCTGGGAGGCGGAGGTTGCAGTGAGCCAAGATGGCAACACTGCACTCCAGCCTTGGTGAGAGTGAGACTCCGCCTAAAAAAAAGGATACACCTAGTTCGAATTAGTGATATACACATGAATATTTAAATATCAACCAGATAGTACATTATAGAGTAACTGTAGCTGTTTGATCCAAAAAGTAAGTTTAGAATTACATGTGTGTCCAACTATCTGCTTTTATATTCCTTTAGCCTGCATACAGAATTGACATCAATGACCTATGATAGAACCACCAATGAAATGTGAATTATAAAATATATATTCACAAATATTTAAAGAAATATATATGCAGATATACATACTTCTGTCTATCTAGACACACAAACACAGGGAGAGAGAGAAAGGGAGAGAAAGAGAAAGAAACAACAGAGAGAAAGATGAAGATTATGTGCTTACTCTCAGGATCATCCATGTCCATACAGAATGTCTTTTACACTGTTTATAAACCTCCTCACTATAGGCCCTGCAGGCCCCTTATTCAACTTTTTGATTAAATTGGATAAAAAAGGAACAGGGCAAAAGGAAACTTCTTGTTATTGTCTTGTCACCCTTAGTAGCAGGCACATACTTAGGAAAGTCAGATTTCCTGTGTATGAGACATACTAGAGTGGACCAAGGGAAGAAAACCCTATGCAGAGCAACAAGCGAGTAGCAGTGGACAGGGAGCAGTGGGGCCCTCGGGGAAAAAACAGAGCTAATGGCCCTGGCAGGGTTCCTCACACCCAGAGCTCTACCACCATGTGAAGCTAACACTGCAAGCCCACACCCATCATCACATTGTATGGGGCAGTTTCTTGACCCTGTGTGAGAGCAGAGAAGACACCTATAATGGCAAAAACAAGGCACTCATGAAGGGATTTTAGTGTCAGGAAATGAGATGAGGTCAAGGGGATTTGTATATAGAAACTGCAGCTGAATTTGAAATAAAGTAAACCACCAAATGCTTAGTTTGTGCTTCATTCAATTGTAAAGAACTAAACATCGTTTGTGAGTAATTCAAACCGGAAAGTGAAGTGTAGGATGTCATATTGGTGTTGGACGATACATATATATATTTAAATTCTGTAGCACTGCCAAGTCTGAATTCAAATCAGTACCCTGGAATGGAGCTATCAGTGAACTGTGAGACAGAAATAAATCAATATAGAGGCTGGGCACGGTGGCTCACGCCTGTAATCTCTTGACCTCATGATCCACCCACCTTGGCCACCCAAAGTGCTGGGATTACAGGCGTGAGCCACCGCACCTGGGCTCTATCTCTTTATTTTTGAATTGTCATTTAAATTTAGTTTTTGTCTGTCGTGTATAGCATGTAATGCCTTTAATTTCAAAGTTATCTGAGAGTATTTCTCAATATGCAATATGAGAGTAATATGTTTGTATTTATGATTTCTGGTATGTTTGGTTTTATTTATCATCTTTTTCTTTATTAAAAATACTTTGATATTTTCTTTGTAAATTTGTCTGTATTTTGCTATTAATTGATTTGTTTTTATCCCTTGCATTTTTTGTTGATATGCAAGTCAGAAGCCCATTTCTAGTCTATCAATGTTTATATTTAAATGTTTAGAAAACATAATTATACCATTTTATCCATCAATATCGAGAATAAAACTGGACTTGTACCTGTGAAAGATAAGAAATGCAACCTGCCTTTACTTCTATCTTCTTCCACACCTTGAATCCTAGTGTAAGAATGCCTAAAAATTCAAATCAATACTATTATTCATGATTTTATATTATTTATCTTTACTTTTACAATCATTTATTTACATTTTCACCTGCTACATTTTTTTTATTATTATACTGTAAGTTCTAGGGTACATGTGCACAATGTGCAGGTTTGTTACATATTCATGCATGTGCCATGTTGGTGTGCTGTACCCATTAATTCGTCATTTACATTAGGTGTATCTCCTAACGCTATCCCTCCCCCATCCCCCCACCCCATGACAGGCCCTGGTATGTGATGTTCCCCTTCCTGTGTCCAAGGGTTCTCATTGTTCAATTCCCACCTATGAGTGAGAACATGCAGTGTTTGGTTTTCTGACCCTGCAATAGTTTGCTGAGAATGATGGTTTCCAGCTTCATCCATGTCCCTACAAAGGACATGAACTCATCCTTTTTTATGGCTGCTTAGTATTCCATGGTGTATATGTGCCACATTTTCTTAATCCAGTCTATCATTGTTGGACATTTTGGTTGGTTCCAAGTCTTTGCTATTGTGAACAGTGCCGCAATAAACATACGTGTGCATGTGTCTTTATAGCAGCATGATTTATAATCCTTTGGGTATATACCCAGTAATGGGATGGCTGGGTTAAATGGTATTTCTAGTTTTAGATCCTTGAGGAATCGCCACACTGTCTTCCACAATGGTTGAACTAGTTTACAGTCCCACCAACAGTGTAAAAGTGTTCAATTTCTCCACATCCTCTCCAGCACCTGTTGTTTCTTGACTTTTTAATGATCACCATTCTAACTGGTGTGAGATGGTATGTCATTGTGGTTTTGATTTGCATTTCTCTTGTGGCCAGTGATGATGAGCATTTTTTCATTCTTGGCTGCATAAATGTCTTCTTTTGAGAAGTGTCTGTTCATATCCTTTGCCCACTTTTTGATGGGGTTGTTTTTTTTCTTGTAAATTTGTTGGTGTTCTTTGTAGATTCTGGGTATTAGCCCTTTGTCAGATGAGTAGATTGCAAAAATTTTCTCCCATTCTGTAGGTTGCCTGTTCACTCTGATGGTAGTTTCTTTTGCTGTGCAGAAGCTCTTTAGTTTAATTTAGATCCTGTTTGTCAGTTTTGGCTTTTGTTGCCATTGCTTTTGTTCACCTGCTACATTTTTATGCTACATTAACAATTATTATTTAGACTTACCTAATTTTGAGTTTATATTATTTACCATCTTTTCTCTGTAAGTCATCTTCCTTATTTCTATGTTCTTCATTTTGATTCATTGCTCAGCTGACTCAAGCACTTTGAGTAATTGTTTTTAGGAAAGGTACATGGAGGCTGTGCTTCGTGTTGCTTCATGTTGGAGTGTCTGTCTGTTGCTCCCGAGTGTGAACAGTACTTTTCCTGGGTATGGATTTACTGAGTCATAATTATTTCCTTGCAAACTCTGCACATAACTGCTTGAAGCTGCA